>NC_000024.10:19598245-20207793 GCF_000001405.40 Homo sapiens
CATCTGCACTTTGTGTACTTGATGTGAAAGCTCCTGATTTAGGATACTGCAATAATAAGACTAGCTATTGCTTTAAAGGAGTATGTAGAGATAGGGATAGACAGTGTGCACAGTTATTTGGAAAATTTTCTAGGTCTGCTAATCTTCTGTGTACAGAAGAAGTGAATTTTCTAAATGACAAATTTGGAAAATGTGGTTCCTGTTGTCATTTTTATGATATCATTTATGGAAAGATTGTCTGTCACTGGACACATTCAGAACCAGTATCAATGACAGACTTTGATATACAATATACTTACTTTGGAGGTCACGTATGTTTGTCGGCACATGCAAGAAATGGTTCAAAACATGAGGGACATATACAGAACCTGTGACTACTTGTGGTCAGCACAAGGTATGTAGATTCCAAGGATGCAGATATCTTAGTGTAATAAATATAACAAGATTTAACAAATTGCAGAGAGATTGTGGTTTGCAATGAACATTTCCATTGTCAGTGTGATCCTGGTTATGAAGAAAGGTAACTAAATGTAATGTTCTGCGTGGCTTGCTGCTGTTATTCTCCCACCTAAAATAAAAAGTCTATGATGATGGCATTAATAGAAAATTGCTTTTTCGACCTCTTTTAGGTTATCTTTTTCTTAACTGTACTCCCACTAATTTTATCCCCCATCAAACTATTTGGCTTCTGGTTTATTTTTCTGCATACATAAAGCAAAGAGTTAGCCTTAATATTAAACTAAGAACTAGATACCCTCAACTAAGCTAAATACTCTAAAGGGATGCTCTTTTTACAAGAAAAGGTTTTCAAATGCAAAGAAGACTTAGTAATACCCAAAGCATTATGGTTATATGAAATTCACAGCTATACCACTGTACTTCAGTTTTTATTACAACTGATGGAGTAGAGCTAATAAGTGATTTTACTTTTTGTTTGTTTATTTTGTTTTGTTTTTTTCAGACAGAGTCTCACTGTGTCACCTAGGCTGGAGTGCAGTGGTGCAATCTCAGGTCACTGCAACCTCCGCCTTCTGGGTTTAGGCAATTCCCCTCCCTTAGTCTCCCAAATAGCTGGGAGTACAGGCACTTGTCACCATGCCCGACTAATTTTTGTGTTTTTAGTAGAGATGTGGTTTCACCATAGTGGCCAGGCTGGTCTTGAACTCCTGACCTTGTGATCCACCCGACTTGGCCTCCCAAAGTGCTGGGATTACAGGCATGAGCTTCCATGCCCAGCCTTACCTTTTAACATTTACAGTTAAAGATGATGAAGACAGTGAAGTTTCAGTGCATTTCAGTGGGTTATAAACATTTCAGGTATATATTCTGCAGTTCAGGGATTGGGTGTGTGTTTCTGTTGTTTTTCAGTCATGTATCAAACCTAATGTTTAATTATATTAAGTTTTTTGAAAGTTATTATGTTATTTTAAAATCTTTTGGGGTTTTAAATTGCTTTTCTGAAACTCTGAATATTTGATCATTTTTTTCTATAGCTTTTCCTTTATATGGATAAGTTTGAAGAATTCCAGACTACCATGGCAAAAACCAATGAACTTTTTACAGCCTTCAAGCAGGAAACGGAAAAGGTATTTACATATTTTTAATAGAATATTATGTAAAAAGTAATTGATACAAGAGGTTATTTTAAGCATAACTGTGGCCAGGCGTGGTGGCTCACACCTGTAATCCAAGCATTTTGGGAGGCCAAGATAGGAAGATTGCTTGACAAGAGGAGTTCAAGACCAGCCTGGGTACCATATTGCTACAAAAGTGGGAAAAAAAAAAAAGTGGCCATACGGGGTGGTGTGCAGTTGTAGTTCCAGCCACTCTGGAGGCCAAGGTAGAAGGATTGTTTAAGGCCAGGAGGTCGAGGCTACAGTGATCCATGATCATGTCACTGTACTTCAGCCAAGGTGACAGAGGGAGACCCTGTCTCTGAAAGAAAAAAACAAACAAACAAAAAAACATAATTGCACTTATATGAGTTTATATTAATCTGATAGTATCTTTTTTTTTCTTTCACCAGCTTATTCAGGTATTTTGCCCTAAAATTGCCCCAGAATACTAATTATCATGGTATTCTGAGACTTCTATTACAATTAAAGAGAATTCTTCCATTAAGGACAGTTTATTTGTAGATGATTTTTGTTTAGTCACCTCTCTTAATTACCCAGTTCTTTCACATAGCCTTATGTAAACTAAAAATTTTATATAAAATTATTTTAAAAATCCAAGCCAAGGAAAGTAATAATATATCTTGGTAGGAATAGCTTTATTTCTGAGGACCTAGCTAAACCTGAAATATATTTACTCTTTGAAATTTAAACTACATATATGTATAGTTTTTATATATATATATATTCACACAATATACAAGATGTATTCTTAATACAAAATTTAATTATATATATAAACTATATATATATTATATATAAACTATATATGTATTCACACAATATACAAGATGTATTCTTAATTAATACAAAATTTAAACCGTTTTTTAAAATTAGATGTAGAAAAATGTTATGGGTTATTCCAATTCAGCATACAGGCTAAAATAGCAATTTTAAAGAGCAGAATTATCTGTCTCCCCAAATAAACACATAGCACTGCGGTTTGGAGCATAAACTCTGAAACTGAGATCTCTAACTTGCACTTCGTGACTTCCTTAGGGTGAGTCATTTACCTTGGCATTTCCCTATTTAAGTTAAGATTTCTTTAAAATGTGCTGATTGGAGATAGTACAGTAGCTGTGTCTGGGAAATTCATAAGCATTCAATATATGTTAGTCTTGATTATTATTAGATCTTTTTTTGCTATAGATGACCATAGAACAAGTTATTTAACTTTTCCATGTCTTTCTTTTCTCATGGTTAAAAATAAAAACAGCAAAAACATCTAATATACTTAAGTCAATTCTTGGTTGTGTTAAATACTCAAATTACTACCTTCATTACTTTTTAGACTTAGTAATTGGGAGAATTCATTGAGTAACAAATAAGTTCTTCCTGCCTATCCTTTCAGTTATGACTGCAGTGGAAGCAGAACTGTTAGGCACAGTGAAAGTGTTAGATGGACTGTAGCATATGCTACATAGTGGGTGTAAAGGTGACTGTAGTTCAGCACCTAACAGATCTTCCAGACCTCTTCTCCTGCCTTTTGTACGAGTTTGACTTGTGATACAGTTTTGTTTGTTAACCAAAGCACAGGATATTTGCTTTATCTTACCCTTATTTTCCGTAACATTGCCTGGCTCGTTACCTGTATTTGGAACAAAGCTGATTGAAGGATATACCTAAAGTTTATCCTGAGTGTCTGGGAATTCGGTTCTTGTAGTATAGGTTCTTCCTCCCCTTATTTTTGGACCATTTTGGTCTTTATCAAAATGTGAAATAAAGCAATCTTGTGAATTGAAAGGATAAGTGAAACTAAGGATTCAGAAATGTTAATACCTCTTTCCTGATTAGTTCCCTAAATTACGCTACCTCTAGCTCTTACACTGATTTCCTTTCAGATTCTTGAGCTACTTTGGGACTGACAGTATATAAAATAATCTGATGGATTAGTGTAATTTATCATTTCTCCAGAAAACTCGGGGACATTTTTTCATATACTTCAGGAGCAGGAGGTCTCAGCTCTACTGTCCACACCTGAGCTGAGCTACACATCAGTCTTAATTGAGAGAATTCAGCTACCATGTGCTGATTCCCTTGAAATTAAGGACAACAACTTTGTTTTCTTTTAATGTGAAACTTCTGCTTTGGTTACTGCTGCTTTTACCATAGGAGCTTCTGAGATAAACTTTACTAACAAAAGAAAGATACCACTTACTCTTATAAAGAAAACACAAGTGTCAGCTGGTTGAGAAGAATGCAGTGATGGAGGAAGGGAAGAACATTGTAAAGTGATTTCTGTGGTGGATCAGGAAGTGAAACTTAGAATTTAAGTTTATGATTATGTTGATTCACAGCTGACAAAGAAAATTAAAAAACTGGAAAAAGAAATGGTAATATGGTATACCAAATGGGAAAATAATAATACAACACTTCTGCAAATGGCTGAAGAGGTAAGAAGGTTTTACGTGACTAAATAATGAGTACTTACTTATTTCAGTACGAAGACTAAGTCATTATTTAGTCTTAACTAAATAACCTCTGGAAGTGTGTCTTTACCTTCAGAATGTGTGCCTAATAACTACAAGTTTTATTTATACACTTTCCTGCAGCGAATTAGATTTTCTTGCATGTGATCAACTTCTTTCCCTCAACATAGTTATCTCAGAGTTTTGTTGAAGAAAACTTTATCATATTGAGATTTTGCTTTCCTATAAAGCAAAGTTGAGGTTGCACAAACTCAGTATTATTAAACCGACTTCCCTGTTCCCCCCATAGTTTTTTGCTTTGTTAGATTCTGGTGTTGCCCAGGAATTTGCATTTCTAGGTATTCAGGCGATGCTGATATGCTAGTTCAGATACTGTGACTTTGAGAGTCACTTGCTCTGTGTTAGAAAAGATAGCTTTATTCAGATTTTCCCCTGAGAGCATGAATTAGTATCTCAATTGCTTTTCTACCTTGATTTATTCATTTCCAAAAGGCAACTAAGTAGAGTTTACCAAGTTTGCTGTAAATATAGCTGAGTTGCATACCATTTGCAGTCACTTAAGTTTTTATTTTGTAAACTTGATTGGACTAATTATAACATTTCATAAGAAAATGTTGGAACATTCTCTTCTCAAAAATGGTAGAAAGGAAGAAAAACCCATGTAAAAATAACTTTAATGAACTCTTACTGCTGGCATTTTTAAAACATTTTCTCGTTATTTTTATTATATCAATGATAATATTTATAGCAATAAGTATCATTTAATGGTAGATATTATAATGTATAATGAATTGATTCAGTTAGATTTTACAATGAGCAGTCTACTCAGTCATCCTATGATACTTCAGTAATGAGATAATATGGCTAAAACAAATTATTTATATTTGGGTAGAAAAACTGCAAGTAGATGAAAATAGCATCTTCCCTTAATAGTTGGATATGATTTTATGTTCTTTATATATATTTTTAGCTCTTCACTAAAGAGCTTATTAGATGATAGAAAAACATAATATGGCTTATTTTAATTAAGATAATTAAAATTGACAGTTATCAGTTTGAAATTATTTTTTCAGAAAGCAGATAGATGTGCATTCCTTTGGTGAGTTATTTTATATAAAAAAGAAATTAACAATTATAACATTATCTTTGCTTCTATAGGAAAAGTTTTGCTGGTATTTTTGATTAATAGCCTTGATTTTCTTCGTACTTCATAAGTCATACTTAAAGTCAAAAGGTCCCTTTTGGTTACTTTAAGGAAAATGACAGAGATAATTTGTATCGCATTGCATAACAATAATTTTAAATATTTAACATAGCACTATATAGTGAGGTTTAAGACATGAAAACAAAGCAACTTTTTTTTATTATGGCTCAATTTACTCAATTTTGGATATAGTAACCTAATGATATTTAATAAGGTTACATAAACCTTATCTTTTTTTCTTACAGAAAACTATTCGTGATAAAAATTATAAGGTCTTTCAAATAAAATTGGAGCGGTTAGAGAAGCTGTACAAGGCTCTTCAAATAGAAAGGAATGAACTCAGTGAGAAACTGGGAATTCTGAAAGGGCAGGTCTCTGTGAAAGTAGCAGATGTAGATTTAGCAGTGCCTGTGACGCATTCCTGTGCTGACCTGGATTCTTCCAATATGCTGAACACTTCCTCTAAAAGAGCCCCAGGAGTCCATCTGGAGGCTGACCCCAAAGGAATGAATGAAGTAAAATGCTACTCAAAAGCCCTCTCCACAGGATCTCCTCTAGGCATTGATTAAGATTAAGTGTGATCATTGTACTGATGGATATATTTTGTGTACATGTTTCTCTTTTAGTTGTAACTATTGATTTTGTAATGAAAATTTCCTCTCCTTTTTCTACCATATCTCTGTTTTTTTAGAACTACTCAACTGTGTGGTAACAGAAAGCTTCTTACCAATTTCCCCAACTATGTTGCACATCAGCCTCATTTTCCCCCTTTATTGGAATGCATGTTTTCATTGCCTTCTCCTTTCAAAGTGTACGTTTGTGTGTTCATCACCTTAAATTATCTTAATTTGAGACTTTTTTATAATGGTTTCGTAATGTGAAATCAAATACTAATTTAAACTCTGGAGCCCATAATATCTACATAAAAGAAAATATAAACTGACTAATATTGTCAAGTCATTTAAATGATAAGTAAAACTTCAATGGATTAAGAAACAAGCATGGCATATTTGATTCAGATCAGTTTTTTGACAATATTTGTATGACTTTCCAAATTGATGTGACTGTAAACTTTGAATTCCTCAAAATTGACAGAATATATATATATATATATATATATATATATATATATATGTATGTACACACACACAGAGAGATCATTTAAATGTAAATGATGTTAAGAAAAACCAAAACAGTAGCATATGCAGGCAAGTCATTGGACCAATAGGCTTAATATTTATGAAACTGACAATTGTTCTGCTTTAGTTTCAGGTTACAATTATGTTTAAAGAAAAAAAAATCAGTATCTAGATCTCTGCACTTGGCATGGAAAATTTTGAACTATTTATTCCTTAATTTTCTTTTATTTCAGTTTCTCATAGAGCTAAATGGTTTTACATATATTCTCTTGTCAGATTTGTGGTCTAATAGAGGTAGAAAATGGAAATTTTCCCAGTACTTAGAAATATGGTACTTAGGAAGAAGTCTAGGATGTGAATTACATATACACTTCCCCTAGTGACTATGATAATCAAGGGGGCAGATAGCAGAGGAAAATAAGTTAACATGAAATTTGACAAATTTTATTACTTTGCCAAAATTAGCAAAACAAAAATACTCACCTTCCCCTGCTCACCCCCCAACTTTTTATAAATATTCAATTCAGCTACAAAACAAAATACTGGACCCACTTCTTTCAGAAGAGATGAAGATACCTTATATGCCCTAAAGTTAATACCAGCAGTCATATTTTATCAGATGTAAATCTGGATGTAAGCTCTTAATGTTATACTAAGGCAGTTTCTTAGGCTGTGACACTTCTTTGTGGTACTTGTTTTGTGTGAAAGGTAAATTTTGGGGAGAAAACAATGTGAAAAACAGAACTTGTTCTGTTGTTTTTGGCATACTGTTTATGTTAGATACACTGTGTTACAATACAATATTACGAAGATCTGCATTGTATTTTGGAATTTGGTTTCCTTTCAGAATTATTGCTCTGGCTAGCATTGGAAACAACAACAACAACAAAACCCAAAGGAACCCTTTGCAGAAGATTCCCTTGTAAATGGCCCTGTGGCATGCCCAGTATCTGCAATGTTCTAGAATAGAAGTTGGCAAACCTCTCTGTTTGCCAAGCCTGCAGAGTTGAACATGTCCATAAATGTATACAATCTGACCCTGTTTTTTGGCCCTGTTTCTGGACACTGTAGCTGACCAAGAAAATGTTTAAATGTTGCGATCAATTAAATTTTTTTGTTGTATCATTCTGGAGTTGTAATATGTATAGTGGCAGGGGATTCCAAGCTATAGAAAAAACATGAGTCTAGAATGACAGAGTGTGTCATCTTCAAATGTGTATTAATATATTTCTTGATGATGAGACCAATATTTCTAAGTTAATGGAACTATTTTATTACACCTGATAATCACAGTTCAATTCTTGTCTGTTGCAGAATTATCTACCTCTTTCAAACTGTAAATGAAAATAACTGTGAAAAAAAGGATGCAGTACTGATAAAAACACTGCTTTGTTTTTATCTCACCTCTTTTTTAAGGATATGATTTTATAAGAGGCAGTTCTCTTTTGCTTTTCAAGACTTCTGTAGAGTTTGTGTTTTTTGTTTTTGTTTTTGTTTTTGTTTTTGTTTTTTTACCTAATGTGAATCTTATTTTATCTACTCAACTTCGTTCAGGTTAACTAAAGATATAGATATAATGGTTAATATAGTAGCCTCTGTGTATTCTTTATAATGAATGTCACCTCAACTGTGTAACAGTGAAGTTCAAAAATAACTGTTGGAAAAAGTTACTATTTTTAAGGTCTTAAAAAACATAGTTAATTGCACAATTTAAAGATGCGTTACCATCTGGTTAGTTGGCAAAAATAACTTCATTCAGTCAGATCTCTGTTAGCATGGCCACTCCCAAACCCCCATTCAAAATAGGTGACCTACCCCTTTTAAAGTGGGTTACTTTAAGATTTCTGTAGTTTAACTTCTGGCAAGGCTTTTAAGAATCACAGTATTCAAGAAATTTTCTACTATCAGTTAACCTTAGCCTATCCAAATTTACTGGGAACTGAATAGATATAAATAGCAGGTGATACTTGTATAAAGAATTTCAGTGTCTTATTATTTAGTCATGGGTGAGCAAAAGTTAATATAACATTATGTAAACAATTAGATAGCTTTTACTTTCTAGACCAGGGGTTCCCAACCCCCAACTGGTAGTGATCATGGCCTGTTAGGAACCAGGATGCACAGCAGGAGGTGAGCAGCAAGTGGGCAAGTCAAGCTTCATCTTTATTACAGCCACTCCCCGTTGTGACATTACTGCCTGAACTCCACCTCCTGTAAGATCAACAGCAACATTAGATTCTCATTGGAGCACTAACCCTGTTGTGCCCTATGCATGTGAGTGATCTATCTTGCATGCTCCTTATAAGAATCTAATGCCTGATGATCTGTCCCCCAAGATGGGACTGTCTAGTTGCAGGAAAACAAGCTCACAGCTCCCACTGATTCTATATTATGGTGAGTTGTATAATTGTTTTATTATGTATTACAATGTAGTAATAATAGAAATAAAGTGCAAAATAAATATTATGCATTGAACCATTCCCAAACCATCCTCCTCCCTCCAGCCCCTCAACTGCCCTGTCTGTGGAAAAAATTGTCTTCTATGAAACCTGTACCTGCATCCAGAAAAGTTGGGGACTGCTGTTCTAGACAACACTGAAGGAAAAGTTGAGGCACTTTTAAAAGAGATCAAGAAGTAATGTAATGGAAAATAGAAATAGGGAGAGCCAAGAATCAGTTTCTATTGAAACAGCCATTAAATAGGCAACAACATCAACTCTTTTGGAACTCTGGAATCTAATATAAACAGAGACCCCAGGGTACTACTTAGTTTAGAATGAAGAGACTGCTAAAGTTCTCTAAGGATTGTGGCATTTGACTACCTGCCTATTATCCTATATTGTCCACCTTGGCAATAGTTGTGGAGACAGCAGCCCCACATTACTGGTATAGCTTACTGGCTTTAACAATGTGAATGAAATAAGAACATAACTTGAAGTTAATTTTTTAAAAAAAGATATCAAAATTTGTGGGTGTAGTAAAAGGAAACTCAGAGCAATGAATATTTGTAAATACATTATAAGATAAGAAAGATCTTCAATTAATAACATGTTCATACCTTAAGGAAAAAGGAAAAAGCAAACTACTAGCTACCAGAGGAAGGAAATCAATATTAGGGTATAGATATGTGAAGCAGATAATATAAAAATAATAGAATCTATGAAACCAATGGTTCCTTCTTGGAAAAAGATCAAAGTTGTCAAACCTTTAACTGAACTTCCCGAAAATGAAAGAAGATGTAAATAAGTAAAATTAGAAATGAAAGTCGGGACATTACTACTCCACAGTAAAAATGGCTATAAGAAAATACTATGGAGCCAGGTGTGGTGGCTCACACCTGTAATGCTAGCACTTTGGTATGCTGAGGCAAGTGGATCGCTTGAGTTCAGGAGTTCAAGACCAGCCTGGGTAACATAGCAAATGCCTGTCTCTACAAAAAAATACAAAATTAGCCAGTGGTAGTGGATGCCTGTAGTCCTAGCTACCTGGGTGGCTGAGGCAGAAGGATCCCCTGAGCCCAGGAGTTGGAGTCTACAGTGAGTTGTGATCCTGACGGTGCACTCCAGCCTGGGCAACAGAGGGAGACACTGTCTCAAAACAGAAAATACTGTGAACAATTGTATGCCAACAAATTAGATAATTTTGATGAAATGTATACATTCTTTTTTTATATACTTTAAGTCTGGGGTACATGTGCAGAATGTGCAGATTTGTTACATAGGTATACACATGGAATGGTGGTTTGCTGCACCCATCAACCGATCATCAACATTAGGTATTTCTCCTAAAGCTATCCGTCACCTAGCCCCCCACCCCACAACAGGCCCTGGTGTGTGATGTTACCCTCCCTGTGTCCATGTGTTCTCATTGTTCAACTCCCACTTATGAGTGAGAACCTCTTCCCCTTCCGCTTCCCTTCCCTCCCTTTTTATCTGAGGTGGAGTCTCAGTGTGTCACCAAGCAGGCACGATCTCATCTCACTGCAACCTCCACTTGAGTTCAAGCAATTCCTCTGTCTCAGCCTCCCAAGTGGCTGGGACTATAGGCCTGCATCACCATGCCCAGCTAATTTCTGTATTTGTAGTAGAGATAGGGTTTCACCATGTTGGTCAGGATGGTCTCGATCTCTTGACCACAGATGGTCCACTTGCCTCGGCCTCCCCAAATGCTGGAATTACAGGCATGAGCCACCAGGCCTGTCCTTGGTTTTCTGTTGTTGTGTTGGTTTGCTGAGAATGATGATTTCCAGCTTCATCCATGTCCTTACAAAGGACGTGAACTCATTCTTTTTCATGGCTGCATACTATTCCATGGTATATATGTACCACATTTTCTTTATCCAGTCTATCACTGATGGGCATTTGGGTTGGTTCCAAGGCTTTGCTATTGCAAATAGGACTGCAATAAACATAAGTGTGCATGTGTCTTTATAGCAGAATGATTTATGATCCTTTGGGAATATATCCAGTAATGGGATTGCTGGGTCAAATGGTATTTCTGCGTCTAGATCCTTGAGAAATTGCCAAACTGTCTTCCACAATGGTTGAACTAATTTACACTCACACCAACAGCATAAAAGCATTTCTGTTTTTCAGTGGCTTCGCCAGCATCTGTTGTTTCCTGACTTTTTAATAATTGCCATTCTAACTGGTGTGAGATGGTATCTCATTGTGTTTTTGATTTGCCTTTCTCTAATCGCCAGTGATGATGAGCTTTTTTTCTGTTTTTTGGCTGCATAAATGTCTTCTTTTGAGAAATATCTGTTCATGTCATTTGCTCACTTTTTGATGGCGTTGTTTGTTTTTTTTTAACTGTAAATTTGTTTAAGTTTCTTGTAGATTCTAGATATTAGACTTGTTTGTCAAATGGGTAGCTTACAAAAGTTTTCTCCCATCCTGTACATTGCCTGTTCACTCTTATGATAGTTGCTTTCGCTGTGCCGAAGATCTGTTGTTCAGTTAGATTCCATTTGACAATTTTGGCTTTTGTCGCCATTGCTTTTGGTGTTTCAGACATGAGGTCTTTGCCCGTGCCTATGTCCTGAATGGTATGTGCCAAATTTTCTTTATCCAGTCTATCATTGATGGGCCCTTGGGTTGGTTCCAAGTATTTGCTATTGTAAACAGTGCCACAATAAACATACATGTGCATGTGTCTTTATAGTAGCATAATTTATAAACCTTCGGTTATATACCCAGTAATGGGATTGCTATGTCAAATGATATTTCTAGTTCTAGATCCTTGAGGAATCGCCACATGATCTAGCACAGAAAATCTGGAACAGAGCTATAAGAAACAGACTGAATCAGTAATCAAAACACTCACACTTCTGGGCCCCGGGGCTCATGTTTATAATTCCAGCCTTTTCAGAGGCTGAGGTGGGTAGATCTCTTCAGCGTGGGAGGATGAGGCAGCAGTGAGCTGAGATGACAGCACTGCACTCCAGCCTGGATAACAGAGTGAGACCCTTTCTCACAAAAATACACACACAAAAAACAAAAAATACTCCTTACACAAACTAAGACCTGATAGCTTCAATGTCCAAAAAATGGAAAAAGAGTGAACACTTCCAACCTCATTCTATAAAACACTACTCTGATAAAAACAATCTTCATGATCATATAGACTGATACAGAAAAGTCATTTTAAAGTACCATCCTTCCATGACTAAAAACACTCAAAAACTAGAAATAAGGGGAACATAGGAACTTTCTTAACATGATAAAGGACTTCCTCAAACAAGCCACACTGCAGCCTTGACCTCCTGGGCTCAAAAAATCCACCTGCCTCAGCCTCTCATGTAACTGGGACTACAGGCATGCACCACCATGACTGGCTTTCATTTTGTTGCCCAGGCTTGTCTCAAACTCCTGTAATCAAGTGACACTCCTACCTCAGCCTCCCCAAATCCTGGGATTGTAGACCTGAGCCACCATGCTTGGCTAAGAGCATTTAGAAAACACAATTAACATTTAAGTTATTACTAACTATAGGCACCTTGTGAATTGCATGCCTATATCAAAACATCTCATGTACCCCCCATAAATATATATACCTACTACGCAATAACAAAAAAAATGTAAAAACCACAATTAAAGTACTTGAACAACAGTCTTCCCCTGAGGTTAAGAACAAGAAAAGTCTCTTATTTTTTAGTATTTTATTGATTTTCAAGGTTTTAAAAATCACACAAACACTACATGATTTTATAAGAATTACCATTACTGCAATAAGTGAAAAATGTAACTAACAAAATTGTTATCATTCTCCTGTCCTCACCCTCTCAGTCCCCAGAGGAGCCTCCTGTAAAGGATACCCATTTTTACTTTTTATAAGACATACAGTATTTTATGAGTATTTTACGAGACTTACAAGCCATAAGAGTTAGGCCAGGAAAAGACATGACATTACCATATAACAGGTATTTGTGTCTTTATATACCAGCAATGAAATTGGTGAAAGTTTTCAAAATTGAAAATTTAGAAAATAATTTTAATTACAATGTTTTGAGAGTAACATATACTCAAATTTATTGAGAGGTAAATTACTTGTACACAGAAAACTACAAAATAGTGCTGAAAATAATTAAAGAAGTTCTTAAGTAAATAGAAAGATATGCCATATTCATAAAATATGTTATTAAAAGTCTAAAGGCTTTTAATGCAAAAATGGAAAAGCCCATCCTCAGAATTATATAGAATTGCAAGGAATCCCAAATAATCAAGTTGAAAGACTCACACTGCTTGATTTCAACACCTACAATAAGCCAGTAATTGAAATAGTGCAATAGAATAAAAATAGTCATATAAATCAATTTAATAGAATTGATAATTAAGGACAAACTTGTCTCTCTATGCCTAATTGATTTTCAACAAAGGTGCCTAAGATAATTTGATTGGGCTTTGGCACTTCTAGAAATGGTGCTGGAAGAAAAGAAGAGCTCTATGTAAAAGAATGACATCATGCTTGTTTCTTATATAATTAAGATGGCTCAAAAACCTAGATGCAACAGCTAAAACTATACAATTTAGAATTAAACATAGGAAACTACTTGAATAAAATCTTTATGTCCTTGAGTTTGGCATTAAATTCTTAGTTATGACACCAAAAGCATGAGCAAATAATAATAATAATAAAATTGGACCTCAAAATTAAAAAGTTTATTGCATCAAAAAATTAGAAAGTAAGTAGATAAATATTTGTAAATATTTTGTCTCATTTTATAGATTTATGTCTCATAAAATATGTCTCCTCTATAAAATTAGACAATATTTCTGTGTTATGTATGTAATAAGAATATGGTATATATATAAAAAAACAACAAAAACCAAATTGGAAAAAATAACTTGAAAGATTTCTGCATAAAATCTGCATGAAAAGATGTTCAATGTTAGTAATCATTAGGAAAATGCAAATGAAAATAATATTTTTATTAATATTTTATTTCTTGCAAAGACAATCAAGAACTGCTCAAGAGAACAAACATAAAAGTTATTCTTGAATATTTGCAAACAAGAATTTTAAGAAAATAAGGACCTTAATGGTTAACTTAATGGGGAATTTCCTGCTACTTGCATTTTTAAGATAGATACATTTCTTAAGCGACAATTTGTTCCTTAATAGCTAAAATATTATACAAGAAAGTAGCTCATTTAAAAGTGCTGGAATTAGGGTTTAATGAATGATATGCCTTATTTCTCACTTGCATTTTGCACTTGAAAAATCAAGCTTTCATGTAGAATTACATTCAATGGAGGATATTTTAAAAGTAGTCCCCAACTCTGCAACAATATTTTCAAGGAAGTCAAGTCATTCCAAACACTGAGAAATAATTCCTTGTACTTTAGGTTGAAGACATTTGATACCCCGGTTCCAATCCTCTGATGTCTGGCTCTTCATCTTTGTAAATATTTTCAGCCTAGAGATAATAAAATTAATTCAAGAGTAATGTGGTTTGAATGTTTGTCCAGATTAAATACAGCATATAACAACTGTGTATAATCGTATTTTTGATTAGTTGTTCCAAAATTATTTGGTTAATTATTCACTAAAATTTATTCAAAAATGATGCTAGCATTGGAAATTTGGTTTGGACTTTTGGACTTATTTGGAGGGGAATGTATTTACTCATTTCACTTCTCTGTTTTTCTCCCAGCACTTCAATAACTTCATGAGAAAAAGGCAAGGCAGGTATCTTCAAAAGTTATTTGCAAGTGTATAATAACATATATATCAGCAACCCATGCACTACTTTCATTTGTTATTCATACAACATTTTGAAAAAGCATTTTCAGGAGGGAGGAGCCAAGATGTCTGAATAAGGAACAGCTCTGGGCTACCGCTCCCAACGTGAGCGACACAGAAGACGGGTGATTTCTATATTTCCAACTGAGGGAGGTACCGGGTTCATCTCACTGGGGAGTGCCAGACAGTAGGTGCAGGACAGTGGGTACTGTGCACTGTGCGTGAGCCAAAGCAGGGTGAGGCATCGCCTCACCTGGGAAGCACAACGGGTCAGGGAATTCCCTTTCCTAGTCAAAGAAAGTGGTGACAGACAGCACCTAGAAAATTGGGTCACTCCCACCCTAATACTGCGCTTTTCCAACAGGCTTAAAAAACAGCGCACCAGGAGATTATATCCCGCACCTGGCTTGGAGGGTCCTACCCCACAGAGCATCGCTCATTGCTAACACAGCAGTCGGAGATCAAACTGCAAGGCGGCAGCCAGGCTAGGGGAGGGGTGCCAGCCATTGCCGAGTTCGTTGTGTGATTAGGTAAACAAAGCAGTGGGAAGCTCGAACTGGGTGGAGCCCACCACAGCTCAAAGAGGCCTGCCTGCCTCTGTAGGCTCCACCTCTTGGGGGCAGGGCACAGACAAACAAAATGGCAATTACCTGATGACCCAAAAGTTACTACCCTTGAGTTCTTTTCTGGGCAAAGCAAAGAACACTCCCAGACTAAGCCCCAATTTGGGGCTCACCTGCATTGTATCAGTTTGGTGTCCAACATGGGACAAAGAAGAATATGACAGTGTGAAAGTTGGTGATGGCGTCATCAGTGAGGTGATGTCAAGAGAAGACAAATTTGTGAGAGTAAGGCAATCAGTGAGACTATGAGAAGAAAAACAGTGAGATGTGGTGAAGCAATTGGTGATTGAGTCTCCAAAAGCTCTCTGTTAACACTTAAAACCTGTAACAAAAACCAAAGGCTCTTTGTAGAACAATCATTTTCCCTGGCAGGCAGCAGAGCCAAGTGGACAGGCATAGTGCTGCTGTCTCTGGTGAGACAGGAACAATGCTGCTACCTCATGTGGGACCCACTGCTCTAACTGGCAGGCTTCTGGGTTACCAGTCCTCATACTGGCCCCTCCTTCAGTGGCACCTGTTCCCACTCAGTTTTTTATTTAGAAAATTCCCAAACTTCATTATTGGTGGCCTATAATGAAGCTGAGGGATCCTGGAGAGACCTTAACCCAGGTTCCACATAGATCAGTCAGTACCATCTTGGCTTCTGTGGATGGATAAGTATTCTTTCTGCATGCCACCCCCTCTATAGTATCGACATAACTACAGAATAAAAGCCTTTGGTTAAGTGGTCAGTTAGAAGTTCCTCATCATTAGAGTGCCCCGGAGTATACCTCTGTCACCTCTTCCCCATAATCCTTTCTTCTCTGACTCCATTTTATTGTTTCCTTAGACATTTTATTTTCAGTTCTAAAATGGATATTTTCTTTGCAATGTTATATTTGCTTTTGACATTCTGTTAACTGTTTGTGCAAGTGTCCAAGGCAAGACACTTGGTTGTATGAGGTCCCCTATTGTTTTGACTCTGGGATGCCAGAGTCATGTTGTTCAGTGACCCCAACTTGGTCTTGGGTTCACTGTTTGCTACCCCACTGGTGCCCCAGAGTTCTTGGCATTTGGGGACACACCTTGGCAGAAATTCAGGCTCTGTGTTTTCAGTTTTGATATTGGTTGCCCTCTCACATGCCCTGGGATTTTCAGCATTGACATTCCATGTAGGATTGTGAGTTTTGTAGACATTGTTTGGGGGAATATTGATCTCATCTTTTTCTTTCTGAAGTTAGAAGTTATTTTTATAAAAGCCAGTTGCAGGCCCCTTTTTGTTTGCTTACTGCTGTCTTTCTCAAACCCCTCGTGGTCAAAGGCATTGGGAGTTTCCAGTTCCCTTGCCTGATGTATGGTTACCTACAGTGGTATACAAGTGGCCATCTGAATATTTTTATGGTATCTCTGCTATAGGGTAGATTCACTGGCAAGTATGTAGATTTGCTGGCAAGTATGGGCCTTTGAGATCTTCCCCTGGGCAACACTGTTTACTCTTGTCTTCCTCCCTTCTTCAGTCACATTTGTTTAGCCATGCTCTCTGCCCAACCCTTGCTCTCTGTGGAATTTAGGTTCAACATCCAATTGCCCATTAGTAGCTCATAGTCCACTTTCATGATGCCTTGCTGTGTATATTTTGTGGAAAGTGGGAATTTAAAAGGAAAAAGTAATGAAATATTTGCTAAAGAGAAGCTAACTAAAACCCCCTGTAGATCTTTACAGGTGATCTGTAAGAGATTCTTACTAGACATAGGACCGACAGCAACCATCCTGAAGAACTTGGCACTAGAGTGTTCTTTAGACAAATGGAGTAAATGCAAATTATTAGATAAGTTGAAAACGAAAAATCCCATTTACTATTTCAATAACGTTTGGGTTCAGTACAAAATTGCAATCCAACAGATTTGGCCTAGGCATGGTTCTTTATATTATAATGATATTGTACAATCATATTTGCTTTGTAGAAAGGAGATAAGATGGGAAGAACTTTATTATGTGCAGGCTTTTTGGCCCTCTATCGGGATCTTAACCTAAGGGCTCGCTGTAGAATGTGTCTGGCTTGTGATACTCTCAGACATCCAGAAGCTGCATTAGATATGCTACAGGACCTCCTAGTAGCTGCTCCCCTGGTATGTGTATGATCTTCCCTTCAGAGTCTCCTCAGTGCCCTAGTTCTGAGGGAGCACACTAGTTATTAAGTGCAGAATTTCACCACAAGGTCATAAGTCACTCCTTCACCTTATCCAACAAGCCCTGGCCTATATCCTCCACTGTCTAATGAAGTAAGCCCAACCAGTACTGCCAGGATTGAGGTCCCACATTAGTCCCCAAAATCAAACTTGTGTCTATTGTGGGAAGTAACTGATGGAGATAGATGAACAATAGAAGTATATGTGCTTTTTTTCATGTCTGATCTGGCTGTATGCAAGGAATAAATTGCTCAGTTTTCAGAGGATTTAGGGAATTTTGTAGAGGAGTTTGTGAAGTTGACAATATCCTCTATTTAATTGGCTTGGCATGCAAATATTATTATCCACTGGTACTGTAGATGAATAACAAAGAATTCCAGGTACTACTTATAAACATACATACAGAATGGCTGTGTGTATCCCAGGCCATGCCATTTATCATGTAGCAGGAGAGGCAGTTCCAGATCTAGACCTAAGTGGGATTACCAGTAAAGATTTCAAGATCTCAAATGCAGAAATCACATACTAACTTGTTTAGTTATAAGACAATGTGTGCGATTAATTCAGTTAATTATGATAAAGTAAGAAAAATAACTCAGGAAAAAGAGGAAAATCCCAGTCTAATTCAGGGCTTTTTGGTTGAGGCAGTCAGGAAATATACCAATATAGACCCTGACTCCCTGGAAGTGTGAGCTCTTCTGGGGGTGCATTTTATTACTCAGTCTGCCCCCTGACATTTGGATAAAGCAAGAAGTAGCAATTTGACCCTAACACCCCTGAGACACTCCTAGGCATTGCCTTTGGGTTTGCAAAAATAGGGATAGGGCAGAGGAAGAGGCAAAAATCAAAAGAACTGTCTAGACAGCACAACTGTTACTGGCAACTTTAGGCCCACTCCTGCCTCAGAGTTACCCTCCTCAAAGAAATGTGTGACATTGGCATCTAGGGTGCTCAGATGAGAGTCCCTCACTTACCAGCCTCTAGGTCAAAAACAGCACTTGTCTTCTGTTTGCAAGAAGGTCACTGGAAGGATTGCACCAGGATAAAAAGGGAGTTTGAGACATTCAGACTCATAATGGCCAAAAAAGTAGAGAACCTATAAGGCCTAACATTCTCTATATCTCCCACTGGACAACTTACCATCTCCACAGAGGAGCCTCAAGTAACCCTTGATATAGCAGACAAAAATATTGAGTTCTTATTGGACACAGGAGATGCCTACTCAGTTTTAACCCATTTCCCAGGGCTACTGTTTTCCCACTCCTGTACAGTAACAGGAACTGATGGCCAGCCAAGAATGAAGAGATTCACCCACCCACTTTGTTGCTTTGTAAAGGACCATATATTTTGCCATAGGTTTTTAATATTATACCTGAGTGTTTTATCCTATTATGAGAGACCTGTTTTCCAAGTTACACATCACAGCTCACTTTAAAGTGCTCTGTGAGAGGGCAACAGGCCAGAAGGAACAGTTCTCCTAGCTTCAAATACTTGCCTTTACACAGATATGGAGAAGAACTGCCTTCCATGACATATTGCTTCTCTAGTAGACCCCTCTGTTTGAGACATGGAAGTTTCTAGTACAACTGTTAATGTACCCCCAGTCCAGACTGTCCTAAAACCCAGTGTTAATTACCCGTGGGAAAAAACAAAACAAAACAAAACAAAACAAAACAGTATCCTTTGAATCCTGAGGCTCAGAGGGACATCCAGCCCTCAATAATGATAGCCTAAAGTTATGAATATAACAGCCCTGTAGTCTCCATGTAACACCCCATTCCACCTGTAAGGACATCAACTGAGGAATATAAATTTATTTTGACTCTAAGGGAATTAAATGGGACAGTAGTCCCGGTTCACCCATTAGTTCCTAATATTTGTACAATACTGACTGAAGTCCCTGAAGATGCTCATTGATTCACATTGTTAGATTTGAAGGATGCTTTCTTTTGTTTATCTTTATACCCGCACTCCCAGTATATTTTTTGCTTTTGAATGGACTGATCCAGACACTCATGCTGCATCTCAACTTACCTGAACAGTTCTCCAGAGTTTTAGATACATTCCCTATCTGTTTGGCAATGCATTGGCCAAGGAGTTAAGGAAACTGCAGTTAACTAATGGGCTCTCTTGCAATATGTAGATAACTTATGAATATCTAGATCTACCAGAAAATACTCTGCCATGACCACAATTCATCTCCTTAATTTTCTGGAAAAGCAAGAATATAATGTACCCCCACAAGGCCCAGATCTCTGTGAAAGGATTAAATATTTGGAATATGTATTCATTCTTGGGACAAGGACTTTGACCCCAAAGTGAAAACACCTTGGCTCAAAGTAACCCAAGTGAGACCCTCTTGGTCCCCCAACCCCCTCTGACTAAGAAACAGTTAAGAACCCTTTTGGGAATGGCAAGATTCTGTGAGATCTGGATTCCCTGGTTTGGTCTTAGAGCAAAGCCACTCCATGAAGCTCTAAAAGGGAGTGATCATGATCCTTTGAATTGGGATGAAAATTGCCAACAGGCATTCTTGACCCTAAAATAAAATCTAAAACATCTCCTGCTTTTGGACTCTGTAACTTCAAAAAACCTTTACCCTCTATGTGCCCAAAAAACAAAGAATGGTTTGAATGTCCAATCTCGAAGGCCCAGGAATAGCCCTAGACCAGTGGCTTACCTTTCTAAACAGTGAAACCAGATGGCAGCTGGAAGGCCAGGATCCTTGTGTTCTGTGGAAGCCACTGCTCTATTAGTAGAAGAAGCCAGTAAGTTTACCTTGGGATAATAATTAGATGTCATAACCCCCACCAAGTACAGGGGGTTTTAGAAGCAAAAGGTTATCAATGGCTAACAGGAGGTCACTTATTTAATAACAGGTTTTTCTCCTTGACACCCCAGATGTAACCCTTATAATATGTTGAGTATTAAACTCTGATATCCTGTTGCTACACTTCACATCCTAATAAACAGACCCCCAACTCACTTCCCTCCTGTGTGGAAATTATAGCAGGTCTGACCTGAAAGATTAGCCTCTGTCTATTCCTGATGAGTGGTTTACAGATGGGAGTAGCTTTATACATGAGAGAATAAGAAAGGCAGGTTTTGCGGTATTTAGCCAACAAGAGGTCACTGAGGCAAAAACTTTACTTCCCCAGGTTTCTGCTGAAGCAGAATTAATTGTTCTAATCAGAGCTCTCCAATTAGGAAAGACTTGAGCGTCAATATATTTACTGATTCCAAATATGGGTTTCTTATGCTCTATGCTCATGCTGTTATATGAAAAGAAACGAGAGAACTAACAGCTAAAGGATACCCAATACAACATCACTTAAATTTGATGATGTCCAGCTCCAAAAGGAGGTAGCAATTATTCACTGTAGAGGACATCAAAAGGGAAGTGCCTCTATTATTAAAGAGAATGCTCTTGCAGAAAGAGCAGCTAAGACTACAGCTAAAGAGACACCAGTGTAATAGGTCACTGACTAATGCCAGGTACTGCACCCATGTCATGAACACCACACTATATACCCCTGAGGAATTTAAATGGGCAGAACAGAAAGGTTTATACAAGGATTCATCAGGATGGTTACTAAAATGCAACTAACTCTTGTACCCTGAGGCTGACCAATGAAAAATAATTAAGCATTTTCATGATTCCTCACATTTGGAGTGGAGTCAATTGAATTTTCACTATTCAATTGAATTTTCCAAATCTTCTGTGGAAACAAACTAGTCTAAACTGTAAGGAGGGTCACCAGGGCCTGTGAACTTTGTTCCTGTCATGATCCAAGAAGCCACTCCATACCTCCACTTCTACTCAAATTTTAAAAACATTTAGGTACATGCCCTGGGACAACTGGCAAATAGGTTTTTCTCAGATACTACCTTATAGGGGATGATAATATTTGCTAGTATTTATAGGCACTTTCACCAAGTGGGTTGAGATTTACCCCACAAGGCATTAGAAGTGTCTAATTTTTACTTAAAGAGATCACTGCAAGGTTTGGATTATCTAAATGCCTGCAGAGTGATAATGGACCTTTCTTCACACCTATAGTGACCCAGCAGCTTTTCTTCATCCTTAAGCAGTACCTATCATCTTCACTCCTCCTGGAGTTCCCAATTCTCAGGTAAGGTAGAAAAGCTAATCATGTTTTAAAAGGACATTAGAAAAGCCATGTAAGGAGACCTCAGAGGCCTGGGTTTCCCTCCTAGCCATAGCCCTTTTACACATAAGGATGGGCCCAAAAGGAAACTCACTCGCTTATGTGATGAATTATATTTATTGATTTGCGTATGTTTAACTAGCCTTGCATCCTGGGGATGAAGCTGACTGATCATGGTGGTGAAGCTTTTGGATGTGCTGCTGAATTTGGTTCGCAGTGTTTTATTTGAGAATTTTGCATTGATGATCATCAGGCATATTGTCCTGAAGTTTTCTTTTTTGTTGTATGTCTGCCAGATTTTGGTATTATTGATGATACTTGACTCATAAAATGAGTTAGGGTGAAGTTCCTCCTTTTTAATTGTTTGAAATAATTTCAGAGAAAATGGTTCCAGCTCCTCTTTATAACTCTGGTAGAATTCAACTGCAAATCTTTCTGGTTCTGGGCTTTTTTAAGTTGGTAGGCTATTTATTAGTGCCTCAATTTCAGAAATTTTTATTGGTCTGCTCAGATATTCAACTTCTTTCTGGCACCCCTGATTATTATATGGCTAACTTTCATGGTCATGATACTATGAAATTACTTAAGCTCTGGAATAAAATTAGCAAAAATGACCCAAAATATTGCTGGCCATGATGGTGATCTTATGATATCACTAGGTGAATTTGTCTGCATGCTCAAATGGAATGGAAGATATTGAACCTTACAAATATAATGTCATTTTACAATTTGTACTTTGAGCTTTCTAAAAGAAACCAAGAATTGTTTCTAGCTTCTCTGAAAGAGAATAAATAAAAAAGAGAAAATGGAACATGCAAAAAATGTATGGAGTTGACTCTTCTTTCTTCTTTTGGACTACATCTTCTACCTGTTCTCTTTCTTAACTCCTTCCATCGAAGCTCTTCTTTCTCCTACAATACTTCCATCCCCCTTCTCAACTTCCATATACTCAGATCTGTCTCAAATACTCCTTTCCTCACCTCTGACTCACCAATATGGCCTTCTTAGTTTCCTTTATGATTATAGGAGGCAGTGGTAATGCTGCCAGGTCAGTTTGTTCCCTAGTGTTCCCTAGATAAAATTGGAGTTCTGGCTGTCACTAATACCTTTCTCAATTTCTTATTAAATTCTGTAGTACTTTGCCACTCATCAGTTCAATCTGTTAATTACCAACTACCAGCCTGAATATTCAGATCTCTAGTCTCCAAAATTACATAGAGAGGGTGGAGAAAGATGGTATTACGGAAGCCTATACCATTTTTCTCCCCCTAGGAACACCGAATTTTCACAACAATCTGTACTGTCACAAGAACAGAGCACTTTCACAGGAACCAAAATATTAGGCAAGCAACCACTGTACCTGGTTTTAACCTCATATTACTGAAAAATGCATTGAATAGGGTAAGAAAGACAGTCTTGTATCACTGACACCAGTCCTCCCCATGACCCAGTAGCAGTACAGAAAGAGTCTGCACACTTGGGGAAAAAAAAGAGCAGTGACTGGGGGACTTTATATTAAACTCAGTGCTACCTTGTCACAGTGGAGAGCAAAGCTATGCTGGGCTCAACCAGCACCAATAAAAGGAGAGAGGATTTGAACCAGACAGAGGTATTTTTCATTCTAGCAGTTAGAGCTTCAGTTTCTAGGAAAGGCTTGCCAGTGGGCAAAGGGTTCTGAGATCTTGGGTAAATTTGAAAGGCAGTCCAGGACACAGTGACTGCCATTCCTGGGCAACACATAAAGCTCTGAGTTGAGCTTAGAGCTAGCAGACTAGCTACATAAGCTAGAGAGACACTAGTTGAGGCAACTAAGGAAGAGCTTATGCCACCCCTTCCCCAACCTCAGGTACAGCAGCTTGCAGCAAGGAAAGGGACTTCTTTCTTCTGCCTAAGAAAAGGAGAGCAAAGAGTAAAGAGGAGTTTGTCTTGCACCTGTATACCAGCTCAGGCACAGTAGGATAGTACATGAAGCAGAGTCATGAATCACACATTGTAGGGGCAGGGTTCATCACCTGCTTACTAAAGAGCCCTTGGGCCTTGAATAACCAGCAGAGATACTCAAATAGTACACCATAAACCTTGGTCTCTGAAATGTACTGACTTCAGGTGTGACTCAGCACATTCCCAGCTCTAATGGCTATGGTGAAAGATTTCTTTATTTGAGAAAAGCAGAAAGAAAAATAAAGGGGATGTTGTCTTTCATCTTAGGTACCAGGTTGTTTGCAGTGGAGTAGAGAAATAAGTAGGCTCTTGGGGTCCCTGAGTGCAAGTGTAGGATTCCAGACAGCATTTCTGGACTTGCCTTGAGCCAGCGGGGAACCCACTTCTCTGAAGAATGAGTCCTAGTCCTGGAAGTGTTCTCCACAAGCTGACTAAAGAGCCCTTGGTCTGTAACTGAACATCTTCAGTAGCCTGGCAAAGCCCCCTATGGGCTTGTGGTGTTGGTGGTGCAAGAGAGAGGCTTCTGTGCTTATAAAAAGGAAATAAAAGAGCAGAGTGAACTTGATATTGTGGTTTCCATGCCAGCTTAGTTGACATATAATAAAATTTCTTAGGTTTTATACTCCAATGCCTGGATTGAAAGCATTACTGGACCAGCCTGAGGGAACTTATTACCGTAAAGGGAAGGACACAAACCAGGCTGACATAATCACCTGCTGATCATAGAGCCCTAGGGACTTGAGTAAACATAGGTGGTAGCCTGGTAGTGGTTACAGCAGACCTTGGGTAAGAGTCAGTGCTGTACTGGCTTCAAGTCTAACCCAGTGCTGTCACAGCGGTGGTGGCAACAGGAGTGCTTGTGTCATTACATCCACAATTGTACGGTGCTCAACAGTGAGAGAAAGCCATCAGTTTTTTGGTAGAAAGTGAGAGAAAAGAACAACC
This sequence comes from Homo sapiens, assembly GCF_000001405.40. Classification (NCBI taxonomy): domain Eukaryota; kingdom Metazoa; phylum Chordata; class Mammalia; order Primates; family Hominidae; genus Homo; species Homo sapiens. The sequence continues at coordinate 19,622,781 of NC_000024.10, forward strand.
TCTGCTGGATAATATAAAGAATTATTCCCAATTTTATTTAAAACCATTAAGATAGTACCCCTATGAATCTGCAAAAAACACAACATTATTGGGCTTGGGGCCCAAGTCCCTTTGAATACCTGAAAACTCTTCTCAAGAAGGAGGCACACAAATAAGCCCATACTGTGAAGACCACAATAAGTACCTAATTATTTAATGTCCAGAGACCAATGAATATCTACAAGCATCGAGACGAAGCATGAAAACATGACATCACCAAAGGAGTTAAAAGTTACCAGGGACAATCCTGGAGAAACAGAGATATGTGACCTTTTGGACAGAATTTGATAGCCTTTAGAGAAAAGTCAAAGAAATTTTAGATAACATAAAGAAAAAATTCAGAATTCTGTTGGATAAATTTAACAAAGAGATTGAAATAATTAAAAAGAATCAAGCAAAAATAAAAATAATAAAGTTGAAAGATGCAGTTGACATATTGATGAATTCCTCAGCCTTTTAGAGAAAAACTGATCAAGCAGAAGAATTAGTGAGCTTAAAGACAGCCTATTTAGAAACACACAGTCAGAAGAGATTTAAAAAAAAAAGAAGAAGAAACTATGCTTACAATAGTTAGAAAATATCATCAAAAGGGCAAATATGTGAGTTATTAGCCTTAAAAAAGAGGTAGAGCAAGAAGAATAGAAAGCTTATTCAAAGGAATAACAGAGAATGGTCCACATCTAGAGAAAGATATCAATATTAAAGAAAAATAAGATTATAGAACACCAAGAAATCTTAACTCAATCTACGTCAAGATATTTAAAAGGCAAAATCTCAAGGATCATGGATAAAAAGGATAAAGTATCCTAAAAGCAGCAAGATTAAAAAAAAACAACACACCAAATAACACACAATGGACCTTTAATATTTCTGATAGGTTTTGAGTGGAAACCTTACAGGACAGCAGGAAAGCCATTACATGTTTAACTTGTAACATATTTAGTGCTGAAGGAAAAAAAATAACATAAAATACCGTATCTGGTTAAAACAATCTTTCAAGCATGAAAGACAAATAAAGACTTCCAGACAAATGAAAGCTGAGGAATTTCATAAACAGCAGACAGATTCTAAAAGAAATATTAAAAGTAATTTTTTAATCTGAAAGAACAGGATGTTAATGAGCAAGAAACCAACAGAAGGAACAAAACTCACTGGTAGTAGCTAGCACACGTAGAATAGAATAGAAAGATGGAGAACATTAGAATACTGTAATTGTGCTATATAAGCTACTCTTATCTTAAATGGAAATAGTAAACAATGAACTAATAAAAAATAATACCTACAACTTTCCAAAATATAGACATTACAATAAGACAAAGACAAACAAAAACAAACAAAAAAGAAAAGTGAGGAGATAAAGTGTACAGCTATTGTTAGACTACTTTTTGCATGATTGTTTATGCAATGAATATTAAGTTGTCAGCTTAAAATAATTTTAACAATTTTAAGTTAAAATTTTAATTGCATAATATTAAATTAGAATTTTATTAATTTAATTTAATTATTTTGATTTTTATAAATTTTTTTATAAATTATACTTTAAGTTCTAGGGTACATGTGCACAACATGCAGGTTTGTTACCTATGTATACATGTGCCATGTTGGTGTGCTGCACCCATTAACTCGTCCTTTACATGGGGTATATCATGAACTCATCCTTTTTCATGGCTGCATAATATTCCATGGTGTATATGTGCCATATTTTCTTAACTCAGTGTGTCATTGATGGGCATTTGGGTTGGTTCCAAGTCTTTGCTACTGTGAATAGTGCCACAATCAACATACTTGTGCATGTGTCTTTATAGCAGCATGATTTATAATCCTCTGGATATATGCCCAGTAATGGGATAGCTGGATCAAATGGTATTTCTAGTTCTAGATCCTTGAGGAATCACCACACTGTCTTCCACAATGGTTGAACTAGTTTACAGTCCCATCAACAGTGTAAAAGCATTCCTATTTCTCCACATTCTCTCCAGCACCTGTTGTTTCCTGACTTTTTAATGATCGCCATTCTAACTGGTATGAGACAGTATCTCATTGTGGTTATGGTTTGCATTTCTCTAACAGCCAGTGATGATGAGCATTTTTTCACCTGTCTGTTGGCTGCATAAATGTCTTCTTTTGAGAAGTGTCTTTTCATATCCTTTGCCCACTTTTTGATGGGATTGTTTGATTTTTTCTTGTAAATTTGTTTAAAGTTCTTTGTAGATTCTGGATATTAGCCCTTTGTCAGATGGGTAGATTGTAAAAATTTTCTCCCATTCTGTAGGTTACCTGTCCACTCTGATGGTAGTTTCTCTTGCTGTATAGAAGCTCTTTAGTTTAATTAGATCCCATTTGTTAATTTTGGCTTCTGTTGCCATTGCTTTTGGTGTTTTAGTCAGGAAGTCCTTGCCCATGCCTATGGCCTGAATGGTATTGTCTAGGTTTTCTTCTAGGGTTTTTATGGTTTTAGGTCTAAAATTTAAGTCTTTAATCCACCTTGAATTAATTTTTGTATAAGATGTAAGGAAGGGATCCAGTTTCAGCTTTCTACATATGGCTAGTCAGTTTTCCCAGCACCATTTATTAAATAGGGAATCCTTTCCCCTTTTCTTGTTTTTGTCAGGTTTGTCAAAGATCAGATAGTTGTAGATGTGTTGTATTATCTCCAGGGGCTTTATTCTGTTCCATTGTTCTATATCTTTCTTTTGGTACCAGTACTGTGCTGTTTTGGTTACTGTAGTCTTGTAGTATAGTTTGAAGTCAGGTAGCATGATGCCTCCAGCGTTGTTGTTTTGGCTTAGGATTGTCTTGGCAATGAGGGCTGTTTTTTGGTTCTATATGAACTTTAAAGTAGATTTTTCCAATTCTGTGAAGAAAGTCATTGATAGCTTGATGGGGATGGCATTGAATCTATAAATTACCTTGGGCAGTATGGCCATTTTCATAATATTGAATCTTCATATCCATGAGCATGGAATGTTGTTCCATTTGTTTGTGTCCTCTTTTATTTCGTTGAGCAGTGGTTTGTAGTTCTCCTTGAAGATGTCCTTCACATCCCCTGTAAGTTGGATTCCTAGGTATTTTATTCTCTTTGAAGCAATTGTGAATGGGAGTTCACTCATGATTTGGCTGTCTGTTTTTCTGTTATTCATGTATAGAAAAGCTTGTGATTTTTGCATTTTTGTATCTTGAGACTTTGCTGAAGTTTCCTATCAGCTTAAGGAGATTTGGGGCTGAGACAATGGGGTTTTCTAATTATACAATCATCATCCTCAAACAGGGACAATTTGATTTCCTCTTCCCCTAATTGAATACCTGTTATTTCTTACTCTTGCCTGATTGCCCTGGCCAGAACTTCCAACACTATATTGAATGGGAGTGGTGAGAGAGGGCATACCTGTCTTGTGCTAGTTTTCAAAAGGAATATTTCCAGTTTTTCCAATTCAGTATGATATTGGCTGTGGGTTTGTCATAAGTAGCTCTTATTATTTTGAGATTTGTCCCATCAATACCTAGTTTACTGAGAGTTTTTAGCATGAAGGGCTGTTGAATTTTGTCCAAGGACTTTCCTACATCTATCGAGATAATCATGCAGTTTTTATCTTTGGTTCTGTTTATATGATGGATTATGTTTATTGATTTGCATATGTTGAACCAGCCTTGCATCTCAAGGATGGACCCAACTTGATCATGGTAGATAAGCTTTTTGATGTGCTGCTGGATTTGGTTTGCCAGTATTTTATTGAGATTTTTGCATTGATGTTCATTAGTGATATTGGTCTAAAATTCTCTCTTTTTTTTTTTTGTATCTCTGGCAAGCTTTGGTATCAGGATGATGTTGGCCCCATAAAATGAATTAGGGAGGATTCTCTCTTTTTCTATTGATTGAAATAGTTTCAGAAGTAATGGTACCAGCTCCTCTTTGTACCTCTGGTAGAATTCAGCTGTGAATCCATCTGGTCCTGGACTTTTTTTTGGTTGGTAGGCTGTTAATTATTGGCTTAATTTCAGAACATGTTATTGGTCTATTCAGGGATTCAACTTGTTCCTTTTTTAGTCTTGGGAGGGTATATGTGTCCAGGAATTTTTCCATTTCTTCTAGATTTTCTAGTTTATTTGCATGGAGGTGTTTATATTATTCTCTGATGGTAGTTTGTATTTCTGTGGGATTGGTGGTGGTATCCCCTTTATTATTTTTTTATTTCATCTAATTGATTCTTCTCTCTTTTCTTTTTCATTAGTCTTGCTAGTGGTCTATCAATTTTGTTGATCTTTTCAAAAAACATCTGGATTCATTGATTTTTTGAAGGGTTTTTTCTGTCTCTATCTCCTTCAGTTCTTCTCTAATCTTAGTTTTATCTTGACTTCTGATAGCTTTTGAATGTGTGTGCTCTTGTTTCTCTAGTTCTGTTAATTGTAATGGTAGAGTGTCAATTTTACATCTTTCCTGCTTTCTCTTGTGGGCATTGAGTGCTACAAATTTCTGTCTACATACTGCTTTAAATGTGTCCCACAGTTTCTGGTATGTTGTGTCTTTGTTCTCATTGGTTTCAAAGAACATCTTGATTTCTGCGTTCATTTTCGTATGTACCCAGTAGTCGTTCAGGAGCAAGTTGTTCAGTTTCCATGTAGTTGAGTGGTTTTGAGTGAGTTTCTTAATCCTGAGTTCTAGTTTGATTGCACTGTGGTCTGAGAGACAGTTTGTTATAATTTCTATTCTTTTACATTTGCTGAAGAGTGCTTTACTTCCAACTATATGGTCAATTTTAGAATAAGTGTTATGTGGTTCTGAGAAGAATGTATAGTCTGTTGATTTGGGGTGGAGAGTTCTGTAGATGTCTATTAGGTCCACTTGGTGCAGAGCTGAGTTCAATTCCTGGATATCTTTGTTGACTTTCTGTCTCATTGATCTGTTAAATGTTGACAGTGAGGTGTTAAAGTCTCCCATTATTATTGCGTGGGAGTCTTAAGTCTCTTTGTAGGTCTCTAAGGACTTGCTGAATGAATCTGGATGCTCCTGTATTGGGTGCATATATATTTAGGATAGTCAGCTCTTCTTGATGAATTGAGCCCCTTACCATTATGTAATGGCCTTCTTTGTCTCTTTTGAGCTTTGTTGGTTTAAAGTCTGTTTTGTCAGAGAATTGGATTGCAGCCCCTGCTTTTTTCTGTTTTCCGTTTGCTTGGTAGATCTTCCTCTGTCTCTTTATTGTGAGCCTATGTGTGTCTCTGCATGTGAGATGGGTCTCCTGAATACAGCACAGTGATGGGTCTTGACTCTTTATCCACTTTGCCAGACTGTGTCTTTTAATTGTCACATTTAGCCCATTTACATTTAAGGTTAATATTGTTATGTGTGAATTTGATCCTGTCATTATGATGTTAGCTGGTTATTTTATTTGTTAGTTGATGCAGTTTCTTCCTAGAATCAATAGTCTTTACAATGACATGTTTTGCAGTGGCTGGTACCTGTTGTTCCTTTCAATATTTATTGCTTCCTTCAGGAGCTCTTGTACGGCAGGCCTGGTGGTGACAAAATCTCCCAGCATTTGTTTTGTCTATAAAATATTTTATTTGTCCTTCACTTATGAAGCTTAGTTTGGCCGGATATGAAATTCTGGGTTGAAAATTCTTTTCTTTAATAATGTTGAATGTTGGCCCCCACTCTCTTCTGGCTTGTAGAGTTTCTGCTGAGAGAACTGCTGTTAGTCTGATTGGCTTCCTTTTGTGGGTAACCCGATCTTTCTCTCTGGCTGCCCTTAGCATTTTTTCCTTTATTTCAACTTTGGTGAATCTGACAATTATGTGTTTTGGAGTTGCTCTTCTCGAGGTGTGGCATTCTCTGTATTTCCTGAATTTGAATGTTGGCCTGCCTCACAAGGTTGCAGAAGTTCTCCTGGATAATATCCTGAAGAGTGTTTTCCAGCTTGGTTCCATTCTCCCCGTCACTTTCAGGTACACCAATCAGACATAGATTTGGTCTTTTCACATAGTCCCATATTTCTTGGAGGCTTTGTTCATATAGTACCATATTTCTTGGAGGCTTTGTTCATTTCTCTTTGCTCTTTTCTCTCTAAACTTCTCTTCTTGCTTCATTTCATTCATTTGATCTTCAATCACTCATACCCTTTCTTCCACTTGATCAAATCAGCTACTGAAGCTTGTGCATGTGTCATGTAGTTCTTGTGCCATGATTTTCAGTTCCAACAGTTCACTTAAGGGCTTCTCTACACTGTTTATTCTAGTTAGCCATTCATCTAATCTTGTTTCAAGGTCTTTAGCTTCTTTGTGATGGTTTTGAACACCCTTCTTTAGCTTGGAGAAGTTTGTTATTACCCATTGTCTGAAGCCTTCTCTCAACTCATCAAAGTCATTCTTTGTCCAGCTTTGTTCTGTTGCTGGCGAGTAGCTGCATTCCTCTGGAGGAGAAGAGACACTCGGATGTTTAGAATTTTCAGTTTTTCTGCTCTGGTTTCTCCCCCTCTTTTTGGTTTTATCTACCTTTGGTCTTTCATGATGGTGTACAGATGAGGTTTTGGTGCGGATGTCTTTTCTGTTTGTTAGTTTTCATTCTGACAGTCAGGACCCTCAGCTGCAGGTCTGTTGGAATTTGCTGGAGGTCCACTCCAGACCCTGTTTGCCAGGGTATCACCAGCAGAGGCTGCAGAACAGCAAATATTGCAGAATGGCAAGTGTTGCTGTCTGATCCTGCCTCTGGAAACTTCATCTCAGAGGAGCAGCCAGCTGTATGTCAGTTGGCTCCTACTGGCAGATGCCTCCCAGTTACGCTACTCAGAGGTCAGGGACACACTTGAGGAGACAGACTGTCCATTCTCAGATCTCAAACTCTGTGCTGGGAGAACCACTACTCTCTTCAAAGCGGCCAGACAAGGACGTTTAAGTCTGCAGAAGTTTCTGCTGCCTTATGTTCAGCTATGCCCTGCCTCTAGACATGAAGTCTACAGAGGCAGGCAGGTCTCCTTGTGTTCAGGTGGGCTCCACCCAGTTCAAGCTTCCTGGCCACTTTGTTTACCTACTCTAGCCTCAGCAATGGCAGACGCCCCTCCCCCAGCCTCACTGCTGCCAAGCAGTTGGATCTCAGACTGCTGTGCTAGCAGTCAGTGAGGCTCTGTGGGCATGGGACCTTCCTAGCCAGGCATGGGCTATAATCTCCTGTTGTGCTATTTGCTAAGGCCATTGGAAAAGCACAGTATTAGGGTGGGAATGTCCCGATTTTCCAGGTACTGTCTGTCATGCTTTCCCTTTGCTAGGAAAGGGAATTCCCTGACCCCTTGAGCTTCCCAGTTGAGGTGATGCCCTGCCCTGCTCGTGGGCTGCACCCACTGTCTCACAAGCCCAGGGAGATGAACCGGGTACCTTAGTTGGAAATGCACAAATCACTTGTGTCACTCACGCTGGGAGCTGCAGATTGGAGCTATTCCTATTTGGCCATCTTAGAACCTCCTCATAAATAAGTCTTATAAATAATTTGTATAAATTTTAATAAGATTAAGTTCATAAAAAATAAATTTGTTTACTTAGTGCAATTTAAATTAAATACACATTTTAAATTAAAAATTTTAACAATTTACTAGCCTCACCATAAGCTTAAATTGAAAAGCATACCATGGATACACAAAAAATTAAAAGCAAGAAATTACAGTATGCCACCAGAGAAAATCACTTTTACTAAAAGGAATGCAGAATGGAATGATAGAAGAGACCACAAAACAACCTGAAAACTCACAACAAAATTGCAAGAGTAAGTTCTTAATTATAATAATAACATTGAATGTAAATAGACCACATGCTGTAGTAGAAGACACAGAGTGACTGAATAGAAGAAAAAACAATATACAATAGTCTGTTGTCTTCAATAAACATTTACCTATAGTCATACACATACTTTGAAAATAAAGGAATAAAAAAGATATTTTATGGCAACAAAAAATAAAAAAGAGCAGGAATAGCTATACTTAGACCAAATATATTTTAAGACATAAACTCTAAGAAGAGACAATAAAAATCATTTTATACTGATAAATGGGTCAGTGCAGCAAGAGAATATTATAATTGCACCTATATTATACATGTATATGTAAGTATGTATGTATCCTACACCAGAACACACAGACATATAAAGCAAATATTATTATAGCTAAAGAGAGAGATAGATCTCAACCTGTATTAATTTATATTGCAGAGCTACAGAGAAAGAGAGATACACCTTAATTTGTACAATAACTAGAGTCTTCAACACCCCACGTTGCATTTGGACATATCTCCAAGAAAAATAATGAAGAAAAAAAATAGATCTGAATCTGCACTTTAGTACAAATTGTGGTAATAGATATTTATAAAACTTTTTGTCCAATGGCTGTAGAATATACATATCTTTTCTTCAGTGCATGGATTATTCTCAGTAATAAATTATATGTAGGGTCACAAAAAAGTCTTAAGACATTAAAGTAATAAAGAATTTTATCTGTCACAATGGAATAAAACTAGAATAACAAAAACATTTTTCAAACTATGCAAACACATGGAAATTAAACAACATACTTCTGAATGATAAGTGGGTCAATAAAGACAGCAAAGTAAATAGAGCAATAAACAGTACTAAGAAGGATATTTATAGCTCTAAGTGCTACATCAAAAAATAAGAAAATCTCAAATAAATAATCTAATAATTCATCTTGAAAAACTAGAAAAGCTGGAACAAACAGAATGCAAAATCAGTGGAAAAAAGGAATAATAGAGATCAGAGCAGAAATACATGAATTTGAAATGAAAAAATGCAAAAGATCAATGAAACAAAAAGTTGGTTGTGTTGAAAATATAAATGGAGTTGTCTAATCTTTAACCAGACTAGGAAAAAAAAGAGAGATCTTTGGTGATATCCCCTTTATCATTTTTTATTGTATCCATTTGATTCTTCTCTCTTTTCTTTTTTGTTAGTCTTGCTAACAGTGTGTCAATTCAATTTTGTTGATCTTTTCAAAAAACCAGCTCCTGGATTCATTGATTTTTTTGATGGTTTTTTTATGTCTCTATTTCCTTCAGTTCTGCTCTGATCTTAGTTATTTCTTGCCTTCTGCTAGCTTTTCAATGTGTTCACTCTTGTTTCTCTAGTTCTTTTAATTGTGATGTTAGGTTGTCAATTTTAGATCTTTCCTCCTTTCTCTTGTGGGCATTTTGTGCTATAAATTTCCCTCTACACACTGCTTTGAATGTGTCGAATGTGTCCCAGAGATTCTGGTATGCTGTGTCCTTGTTCTGTTGGTTGCAAAGAATATCTTGATTTCTGCCTTCATTTCATTATGTACCCAGTAGTCATTCAGGAGCAGGTTGTTCAGTTTCCATGTAGTTGAGCGGTTTTGAGTGAGTTTCTTAATCCTGAGTTCTAGTTTGATTGCACTGTGGTCTGAGAGACAGTTTGTTATAATTTCTGTTCTTTTACATTTGCTGAAGAGTGCTTTACTTCCAACTATGTGGAATAAGTGTGGTGTGGTGCTGAGAAGAATGTATACTCTGTTGATTTTGGGTGGAGAGTTCTGTAGATGTCTCTTAGGTCTGGTTGGCGCAGAGCTGAATTGAAATCCTGGATATCTTTGTTAACCTCTGTCTTGTCGATCTGTCTAATGTTGACAGTGGGTTTTAAAGCCTCCCATTATTATTGTATGGGAGTCCAAGTCTCTTTGTAGGTCTCTAAGGTCTTGCTTTATGAATCTGGGTGCTCCTGTATTGGGTGCATGTATATTTAGGATAGTTAGCTCTTCTTGCTGAATTGATCCCTTTACCATTACGTAATGGCCTTCTTTGTCTCTTTTGATTTTTGTTGGTTTAAAGTCTGTCTTATCAGAGACCAGGATTGCAACCCCTGCCTTTTTTTGTTTTCTGTTTTCTTGGTAGATCTTCTTCCATCCCTTTGTTTTGAGCCTATGTGTGTCTCTGCACGTGAGATGGGTTTCCCGAATACAGCACACTGATGGGTCTTGACTCTTTATCCAGTTTGCCAGTCTGTGTCTTTTAATTGGCACATTTAGCCCATTTACATTTAAGGTTAATATTGTTATGTGTGAATTTGTTCTTGTCATTATGATGTTACCTGGTTATTTTGCTCATTAGTTGATGCAGTTTCTTCCTAGCCTCGACGGTCTTCACAGTTTGGCATGTTTTTTCAGTGGCTGGTATTGTTTGTTCCTTTCCATGTTTAGTGCTTCCTTCAGGAGCTCTTTTAGGGCAGGCCTGGTGGTGACAAAATTTCTCAGCATTTGCTTGTCTGTAAAGGATTTTATTTTTCCTTCACTATGAAGCTTAGTTTGGCTGGATATGAAATTCTGGGTTGAAAATTCTTTTCTTTAAGAATGTTGAATATTGGCCTCCACTCTCTTCTGGCTTGTAGAGTTTCTGCTGAGAGATCAGTTGTTAGTCTGATGGGCTTCCCTTTGTGGGTAACCCAACCTTTCTCTCTGGCTACTGTAAACATTTTTTCATTCATTTCAACTTTGGTGAATCTGACAATTATGTGTCTTGGAATTGTTCTTCTCAAGGAGTATCTTTGTGGCATTGTCTGTATTTCCTCAATTTGAATGTTGGCCTGCCTTGCTAGATTGGGGAAGTTCTCCTGGACAATATCCTGCAGAATGTTTTCCAACTTGGTTCCATTCTCCCCATCACTTTCAGATACACCAGTCAGACATAGATTTGGTCTTTTCACATAGTCCCATATTTCTTGGAGGCTTTGTTTGTTTCTTTTTATTCTTTTTTCTCTAAACTTCTCTTCTTCCTTCATTTCATTCATTTGATCTTCCATCACTAATACCCTTTCTTCCGGTTGATCAAGTTGGCTACCGAGGCTTGTGCATTCATCACATAGTTCTCATGCTGTGGTTTCCAGTTCCATCAGGTCCTTTAAGGACTTCTCTGCATTGGTTATTCTAGTTAGCCATTCATGTAATTTTTTTTAAGGTTTTTAACTTCTTTGCCATGGGTTTGAACTTCCTCCTTTAGCTCAGAGTAGTTTTATTGTCTGAAGCCTTCTCTCAACTGGTCAAAGTCATTCTCCATCCAGCTTTGTTCCATTGCTGATGAGGAGCTGCATTCCTTTGGAGGAGGAGAGGTGCTCTGATTTTTAGAGTTTCCAGTTTTTCTGCTCTGTTTTTTCCCCATTTTTGTCGTTTTATTTACCTTTGATCTTTGATGATGGTCATGTACAGATGGAGTTTTTGTGTGGGTGTCTTTTTTGTTTGTTAGTTTTCCTTCTAACATTCAGGACCCTCAGCTGCAGGTCTGTTGGAGTTTGCTGAAGGTCCACTCCAGACCCTATTTTCCTGGGTATCAGCAGCAGAGTCTGCAGAACAGCAGATATTGGTGAGCAGCAAATGTTGCTGCCTGATCATTCCTCTGGAATTTTTGTATCAGAGCAGTACCCAGCCATGTGAGGTGTCAGTCTGCCCCTACTGGGGGGTGCCTCCCAGTTAGGCTACTCAGAGGTCAGGGACCCACTTGAGGAGGCAGTCTGTCCATTCTTGGATCTCCAGCTTGGTGCTGGGAGAACCACTGCTCTGTTCAAAGCTGTCACACAGGGACATTTAAGTCTGCACAGGATTCTGCTGCCTTTTGTTTGGCTATTCCCTGCCCCCATAGGTGGAGTCTACAGAGGCAGGCAGGCCTCCTTGAGCTGAGGTGGGCTCCAGGCAGTTTGAGCTTCCTCGCCATTTTGTTTACCTACTCAAGCCTCAGCAATGGTGGGCGCCCCTCTCCCAGCTTTGCTGCCACCTTGCAGTTTGATCTCAGACTGTTGTGCTAGCAATGAGTGAGGCTCCGTGGGCACAGGACCCTCTGAGCCATGTGCGGGATATAATCTCCTGGTGTGCCATTTGCTAAGACCCCTGGAAAAGTGCAGTATTACGGTGGGAGTGACCTGATTTTCCAGTTGCCATCTGTCACCACTTTCTTTGACTAGGAAAGGGAATTCCCTGACCCCTTGCACTTCCTGGGTGAGGCAATGCCTTGCCATGCTTCTGCTGACACTGGGTGCACTGCAGCCATGGTCCTGCACCCACTTTCTGACACTCCCCAGTGAGATGAGCACAGTACCTCAGTTGGAAATGCAGAAATCACCTGTCTTCTGCATCGCCCACACTGGGAGCTCTAGCCTGGAGCTGTTCCCTGTCGGCCATCTTGGCTCCACCAAAAGCCTGATCTTAATAGAACTTAGCTGTGAATCCATTTTGACATGTGCATTTATTGTTGTTGTTGGGTTTTCCTTTTTATTACTGATTCTAACTCACTGCTTATTATTGGTTTGTCTAGAATTTCTATTCCTAATTTAAGAATTTTGAATGTTTCCAGAAATTTATCAATTTTCTCTATTTTTGAGTTTGTGTGCAAATACATGTTTATAGTAGTCCCTAAAGATATTTTGTATTTCGTAGTGTTTGTTGTATTGTCACAGTTTTCATTGCTAATGAAGCTTGTTTGAATCTTTTTTTTGTTAGTCTAACTAGTAGCCTACTAATTCTATTCTTTTTTTTTTTCAAAAAAACCATTTTTTTATTTGTCTTTTGGTTTTTCTTTCTCTATTTTATTTAGTTCCACTCTGATCTTTGTCATTTCTTTTTTTTCTGCTAGCACTGGATTTGGTTTGTTGTTCTTTGCTTACTTTCATGAGGTGTGGTATTATGTTGTCAATTTGTGATATTTCAGACTTTTTGATGTAGGCATTTAGTGCTATAATCTTTCCTTTTAGCATTTCTTTTGCAGCATCCACAGGTTTTAGTAGCTTGTGTCACTGTTATTCTTCATTTTGAAAAAAAATTTAATTTTTATTTTGATTTTCTGGTTTATCCCAAAATCATATTTGAGTACATTGTTTAATTTTCAGGTTTTTGTGTAGTTTTAAGAGGTATTTCTTTTTTGGAATTGATTTTTTTTTCCAATGTGGTGTGAGAACTTGATCTGATCTCAATTTTCAAAATTTATTGAGACATTTACTAGCCTATCATATGGTCTATCTCAGAGAATGCTATGTGTACTAATGAGAAGAAAGTATATTTCTATTCTAGATTTTAAGTTAGGAAGGTTGTATGTTTCCAAAAATGTATCTATTTCCTCTGGATTTTTGAGTTTCTGTGCAAAGATAAGTTCACAGTAGCTTCTAATAATATTTTGTATTGTGTAATATTGGCTGTATGGCCTCTTTTAATTTCTAATTGCGCATGTTGAATCCTTTTTTTCTACTTCGGTGAATATTTTGTAAATACCTGTTACATCCATTTGTTGTACAGTGCAGTTTAAGGCCAGATATTTTTGTGTTAATTTTCTGGCTCAATGATCTGTCTAGTGCTGTCAGTGGAGCATTGAAGTCTTCCCATATTATAGTATTGCTGTCTGTCTATTTTAATTGGTCTATTACTAATTGTTTTATAAATTTGTGAGTTCCATAGTTCAGAGCATATTTATTTAGAACTGTAATATTGTCTCATTGGGTTGATTCTTTTATCATTATATGGTAACCTTCTTTGTCTTTTTACACTATTTCTTGAAAGTCTGTTTATCTAAGAATGGATTCTCCCACACATTTTTGGTTTCCATTTGCATAACGTATCTTTTGCCACACCTTTGCCTTGGGTCTATAAGAATTAGAATTTTTACGGGTTAAGTGTGTCTCCTGAAGACAGCAGATAGTTGGTTTGTAATTTTTTATGCAATCTGTAAATTCATATATTTTAAATTGAGAATTATTATAATTTACGTTCAACATCAATACTGTAATGCAAGGTACTGTTCCACTCATTGCATTGATTCTTACTTAGTGACTTTGTTTTATTCATAGCATTTTATTTTTTAAGCCTTTTGAATTTTATGCTTTGAGGTATTTCCACTCTGTTTCATACCAAAATTTGTTTTGGATTTAGAACTCATTTCAGCATTTCTAACAGGGCTTGCCTGATATTGACAAACTCCCTCAATATCCTCTCAACTTTTGCTGGTCAGAGAAGGACTGTTTCTCCTTCATTTATTATGCTTAGTTTTGGTGGATACAAATTCTTTGGCTGATTAGCTATTTTGTTTAAGAAGACTTGAGATAGGACCCCAATTTTTCCTTGCTTGTAATGTTTCCACTGAAAATTTTGCTGTTAGTCTGAAAAACTTTCCTTTTTATATTACCTAATGCTTTTATTTCACTGCTGTTAGAATTATTTTCTTCGTGTTGCATTTAAATAGTGTATTCAATACATGCTTTGTTAATGCCCTTTTTGCAATATATCTCCCAGAAGTTTTTTGAGCTGCTTGTATTTTTACGTTTAAATTTCTAGCAAAGCCAGAAAAGATTTTCTTAATTATTTTCTCAAGTGGGTTGCTCCAACTTTTTTCTTCTTCTTTTTCTTCAGGAATAGCTATATGTCTTAGATTTGCCATTTTACATAATTCTATATTTCTTAGAAATTTATTTTTTCTTCATTTAATCTGATTGGGCTAATTTAAAAGCCTTTTCTTTAAGATTTGAAATTCCTTCTTCTACTTGTTAAAAATTTCCAAAGCATTTTAAAATTTCCTAAATGTGTCTTTGATTTCTATAAGTTTTGATTGGTTTTTCTCTAAAATAGTTATACCTAGAAACTTTTTTACTAATATTCTGAATTCCTTTGAAATTCCTTTTGTTAGTTTTTATCTTTCCCTTGTAGCTCCTTATGTAACTTATAAATGAACTTTTGAATTATTTATCTGGTATTTCAAAGACTTCCTTTTGGTTTGTATTCATTGTGAAAGAACTAATATGTCCTATAATGGATGTTATTGAACTCTGTTTATTCATATTCCTAGAATGATTTTTTGTTTTCTTCTCATTTTTCTATAATTATTTTTGTATTCATTTTTTATTCAATGGTGTTTTTTTAAATTTCTTTTTTCCCATTGAGGCTGTGCCTTTAATGTTTTCCACTTACCATCACCTAGATTCAGCTCTGGGTGCTTTCAGTGGTAAAGACTCTATATGAGTTTCTTGGTTATAGATTATCTTTTTGTGATGGCTTTCTCAGATGCTGGTTATAGCAGTGATATGCTCAGTTTGTGGGCAGGTTTACTGTTTTCTCTGTGGCTGAAATAACAGAGGTCTCTTGAAGCTCCACAATAATTTTATTTTTTAATTTTTTTCCTTTTCCCCCCAGTGTTTCATTTACTGGGTGAAACAGTTTAGGCTTCAGGAAAGTAGAAAGTGTCCATGGGTAAGAATCGGCTGCATCTAAAGCAGGTGGGTAAATGCAATACCAAATGGTGGGCAGAAGTCCCAGTTGACAGAGGTAGCCAGAGGAGCTCTCAGTGAAACTCAATGGGGACTTCTCAGAAACAAAAAAGGAAGGCACCTCAACTCCCGTGTTGAGTCAGCAAGAATGCAGTCCACCTCCCAGTCACACTCCTAACCCAGTGTTCCAGCTTTTCAAATCAGACAGGTACTTCTTTTTATCTGCAGACATGTTAATTTTCCATGTCGAGAGGGATTGCGACTCACCTTCATGCAAGCCTGAATCTTTATAACACTCCTTTTATGGCAATGCAGTCACCCTAAAATGTTTCAGAAAGTCTGACTACAAGTGAATCCACGCCAAACTCCTATGGAAGAAGTTCCAGCTCTGTCTGCAGTGGCGGGTGACGGGGAAAAGTCTCCTTCTCCAAGACCTTTCACAAGCATCAGGACTGCCTGTTGGGATAAAGCCATAGACTTTCTTCACCGATCCCCGCACTGCACTTGTGCCTCTGCTGCAAGAAATTTCTAACAGCAGGGTGCAGTGGCTCACGCCTATAATCCCAGCACTTTGGTTCTGTGTTACTGTCCCTGCAGGTGTAATGGACTTTGCTGGTTGGCATCTGACCAGGAGATGGCCCTTGCGAAGCAGCACCAGCTGTGATAATCATGGTGGAATTTCTGTTTGTTATGTCACTCAGTGTATATACTTTGGTGTCTCAAGCAATAGATGGAGCCATAAAGTCTGTACTCTGGCTCCCTATGTGCAGGTGCAAGTACCAGTTCCACTAGGAATCAGAGGACAGTACAACTGACTGTGAGGGAAATGTTCCAATGTGAATCACAGATGCCTCTGCTGCACAAAAGAAGTCACACAAGGAAGTGGGGTAGCAGGTGGCAGTAAGCCAAAGTCAGCTGCAATGAAGTTGTCATGGCAGGTCTTAGACTCATAATGTTTCCATAGCAACAATTAGCTGAGCTCCATCCAGGCAATCTATCCTTAGAACTCAAAATTTCCCCAGACTATAAGTCACTCCAACTAAGACTAAAACCATAGCTTTTATGTCATGCCCTCCTGTTTCAGCCATGAAGCAGGGGTGTCCAGCATCTGTACCTGTGGCTGTAGCACACTATTTACTCAACCCCCTGGTTCTGCAAAGGGAGTTCATTCCTACTCAAGATTATATTATCAGTATTAGTTGAAGGCTTCGCTCAACTTGTGACCACTACCTGAGTTAGCCGGCAAACTTCCATTAGGCTCCCTGATAGTTAGGATCAGGAGTGGCTTCCCTCTGTGCTCATTGAAATCTGTGAGTGCACATAAAGCATGTGCTGATGCCACTCCTCACATATTCCCCACCACTCATTAAATAAGGTTCAGGACTAGGTAGTGTTAAGGCCTTCTCTCATGGTCTGGATTGCCAAGCTCACCAGTGGGAGTGTGTTATGGTGACAGTCCCTCTCCCTCTTATCCTCTGGAGACTCAAAGTTTTTTTCTTGGCTCATGATGTAGGCCCACCACTTTTTTCCCAAGGTTCTGTGGTGTTATTCAGTTTTTCTGTTAAATTCCTGTGTTAGTTCCAGAAAAAAAAAATTCAGCATGAATATCTATACACTATTTTGTCTTTCCATGTTGGAGAGGCATGCTAATAGAACGCTTTCAACGCACCGTCTTGGAAACCTAAAAATGTAGTTCATAGGATATTAGAAATGTTTCAAAATAAAAAGAAAATTCTGGTTCAAACTAAGTAAACATTAAGTAGGAAAATAAAAGCGATAAGGTTAAAAGACATACAAATTTTATGTGATCAATAGCTAACTGAGATTAAATTTGCTTATAAAGTTTTATTGAAATTACCTTTAATATATTAATAATGCACTAATATGGACATAAAATTTGTTTTTCTCTTTAGAATAAAATTATCCTAGAAAAAATTTTTGGTCCAAGTGTTGTGGCTCATGTGTATAATCCCAGCATGTTTGGAAGCTAAAGCAGAAGGAACCCTTGAACCTAGGAATTTAAAACCAGCCTAGGCAATACAGGAAGACCCCATCTCTACAAAAAATAAAAATAAGTAACTGGGTGTAGGGAGTGTGCCTGTATTCACAACTACTCAGGAGGCTCATATGGTAGGATTGCTTGAGCCCAGGAGCTCATGGCTGCAGTGATGCCTGATTGTACTGCATCACGCCAGCCTTTACACAGAGTCAGACCCTCTCTTTAGGAAATATTTTTTTAAAAACTTTTGAGTTAAATGAAAAAAAATGAGGAGAGATAGGAAGAGATAGATTTAGTCACTACACTTTATTAAATCTTTTGTTGAGAAACTGAACCTCTTAGTTATCAAAGTGTAAATGCCTATGCTTTTCAAAATCTTTAACTTATCATTTTGGTTAAATGACAATCATTTTACAGTTACCTGTGATACAATTTTTAGCAAGTGTTTTAAACCTTTGATATCTGACAAACTTTTCAAAATGAAATTTCAAATTATACATTTACGTTTGTGAACCTTAAATTAGCTTCTTATATATTAGGGCTCCTACAAGTCCAAAAGAGATACGTTAGTCTTACTTGGTATGTTAAAATCATATGGAAAGCCTTTTCAAATAAAAAAAAAAGTTTAACTTTTTGACTTATGTTTCTACAAATACGTCATTAGCATGTGTTCCAAAATTGTAAAAGATTCCTAAAATTACTTTGTCTTGTTATATGTTATCAATTATAATTATGATTATTATAAGTTTTTGTATGCCATACAGACAATTCTTTCTTGTCAATTTATTTTTAATTATTATTATACTTTAAGTTCTAGAGTACATGTGGACAATGTGCAGGTTTGTTACATACATATACATGTGCCATGTGGGTTTGTCATTTACATTAGGTATTTCTCCTAATGCTATCTATTCCCCATTCCCCCAACCCACGACAGGCCCCAGTGTGTGATGTTCCCTGCCCTGTGTCCAAGTGTTCTCATTATTCAATTCCCACCTGTGAGTGAGAATATGCGATGTTTGGTTTTCTGTCCTTGTTATAGTTTGCTCAGAATGATGGTTTCCAGCTTCATCTATATCCCTGCAAAGGACATGAACTCATCCTTTTTTATGGCTGCATAGTATTCCACAGTGTGTATGTGCCACATTTTCTTAACCCAGTCTATCATTGATGGACATTTGGGTTGGTTCCAAGTCTTTGCTATTGTGAATTAGTGCCTCAATAAACATATGTGTACATGTGTCTTTATAGTAGCATGATATATAATCCTTTGGGTATATACCCTGTAATGCGATCACTGGGTCAGATGGTATTTCTGGTTCTAGATCCTTGAGGAATCACCACACTGTGTTCCACAATGGTTGAACTAGTTTACAGGTCCCACCAACAATGTAAAAACCTTCCTTTTTCCCCACATCTGTTGTTTTCTCCAGCATCTGTT
The DNA here is from genome assembly GCF_000001405.40 of Homo sapiens. Classification (NCBI taxonomy): domain Eukaryota; kingdom Metazoa; phylum Chordata; class Mammalia; order Primates; family Hominidae; genus Homo; species Homo sapiens. The sequence continues at coordinate 19,641,498 of NC_000024.10, forward strand.
GTTTCCTGACTTTTTAGTGATTGCCATTCTAACTGGTGTGAGATGGTAGCTCTGTGGTTTTGATTTGCATTTCTCTGATGACCAGTGATGATGAATATTTTTTCATGCATCTGTTGGCTGTGTAAATGTCTTCTTTTGAGAAGTGTCTGTTCATATACTTTGCCCAATTTTGATGGGGTTGTTTGATTTTTTCTTGTAAATCTGTTTAATTTCTTTGTAGATTCTGGATATTAGCCCTTTGTCAGACGGGTACATTGCAAAAATTTTCTCTCATTCTGTAGGTTTACTGTTCACTCTGATGGTACTTTCTTTTGCTGTGCAGAAACTCTTTAGTTTAATTAAATCCTATTTATTAATTTTGGCTCCTGTTGCCATTTGTTTTGGTGTCTTAGTCATGAAGTCCTTGCCCAGGCCTATGACCTGAATGCTCTTATCTAGGTTTTATTCGAGGTTTTCATGGTTTTAGGTCTAACATTTAAGTCTTCAATCCATCTTGAATTAATTTTTGTATAAGGTGTAAGAAAGCAAACCTGTTTCAGCTTTCTACATATGGCTAGTCAGTTTTCCCAGCACCATTTATTAAATAGGGAATCATTTCCCCATTTCTTGTTTTTGTCAGGTTTGTCAAAGGTCAGATGGTTATAGATGTGTTGTTATTTCTGAGGCCTCTGTTCTGTTCCATTGGTCTATATCTCTGTTTTGGTACTGGTACCATATTGTTTTGGTTACTGTACACTTGTAGTATAGTTTGAAGTCAGGTAGCATGATGCCTCCAGCTTTGTTCTTTTTGCTTAGGATTGTCTTGGCAATGCAGGCTCTTTTTTGGTTCCATATGAATTTTAAAGTAGTTTTTTCCAATTTTGTGAAGAAAGTCATTGGTAGCTTGATGAGAATGGCATTGAATTGATAAATCTATAAATCAGTATGGCCATTTCCATGATATTGATTCTTCCTATCTATGAACATGGAATATTGTTCCATTTGTTTGTGTCCTCCTTTATTTTTGTTGAGCAATGATTTGTAGTTCTCCCTGAAGAGGTCCTTCACATGCTTTGTAAGTTGGATTCCTACATATTTTATTCTCTTTGTAGCAATTATGAATGAGAGTTCACCCATGATTTGGCTCTCTGTCTGTTATTTGTGCATAAGGATGCTTGTGATTTTTGCACATTGATTTTGTATCCTGAGACTTTGCTGATGTTGCTTATCAGCTTAAGGAGATTTTGGGCTGAGATGATGGGGTTTTCTAAATATACAATCATGTCATCTACAAAGAGGGACAATTTGACTTCCTCTTTTCCTAACTGAATACCCTTTATTTCTTTCCCTTGCCTGATTGCCCTGGCCAGAACTTCCAACACTATGTTGAATAGGAGTGGTGAGAGAGGGCATCCCTGTCTTGTGCCAGTTTTCAAAGGGAATGCTTCCAATTTTAACCCATTGAGTATGATACTGGCTGTGGGTTTTCCATAAATAGCTCTTATTATTTTGAGATACATTCCATCAATATCTAGTTTATTGAGAGTTTTTAGCATGAATGGCTGTTGAATTTTGTTGAAGGTCTTTTCTGCATCCATTGAGATAATCATGTGGTTTTTGTCTTTGGTTCTTTTTATGTGATGGATTGCATGTATTGATTTGCATATGTTGAACCAGCCATGAGGTTTTTGTCTTTGGTTCTTTTATGTGATGGATTGCATGTATGGATTTGCATATGTTGAACCAGCCTTGCATCCCAGGGATGAAGCTAGCTTGATCTTGCTGGATAAGCTCTTTGATGTGCTGCTGGATTTGGTTTGCCAGTATTTTATTGAGGATTTTCACATGGATGTTAATCAGGGATATTGATCTAAAATTCTCTGTTTGTTGTGTCTCTGCTAGTCTTTGGTATCAGGATGATGCTGGCCTCATAAAATGAGTTAGGGAATATTCCTTCTTTTTCTATTGATTGGAATAGTTTCAGAAGGAAAGGTACCAGCTCCTCTTTGTACCTCTAGTAGAATTTGGCTGTGAATCTGTCTGGTCCTGGAATTTTTTTTGGTTGGTAGGCTATGAATTATTGCCTCAATTTTAGAGTCTTTATTGGTCTATTCAGAGATTCAACTTCTTCCTGGTTTAGTCTTGGGAGGGTGTATGTGTCCAGGAATTTATCCATTTCTCCTAGATTCACTAGTTTATTTGCATAGAGGTGTTGATTATATTCTCTGATGGTAATTTGTATTTTTGTAGGATTGGTGGTGATATAGCCTTTATCATTTTTTATTGCATCTATTTGAGTCTTCTCTTTTCTTCTTTATTAGTCTTGCTAGCAGTCTATCAATTTTGTTGATCTTTTCAAAAAACCAGCTCCTGGATTCATTGATTTTTTTGCAGGTTTTTTTGTGTCTCTTATCTCCTTCAGTCCTGCTATGATCTTAGTTATTTCTTGCCTTCTGCTAGCTTTTGAATGTGTTTGCTCTTGCTCCTCTAGTTCTTTTAATTGTGATGTTAGCATGTCAATTTTATATCTTTCCTGCTTTCTCTTGTGGACATTTAGTGACATAAATTTCCCCTACACACTGCCTTAAATGTGTCTCAGAGATTCTGGTACTTTGTGTCTTTGTTCTCACTGGTTTCCAAGAACATCTTTATTTCTGCCTTCATTTCATTGTTTACCCAGTAGTCATTCAGGAGCAGGTTGTTCAGTTTCCATGCAGTTATGTGGTTTTGAGTGAGTTTCTTAATCCTGAGTTCTAATTTGATTGCACTGTGGTCTCAGAGACAGTTTGTTGTGATTTCTGTTCTTTTACATTTGCTGAGGAGTGCTTTACTTGTAAATATGTGGTCAATTTTGGAATGAGTGCAGTGCGGTGCTGAGAGGAATGTATATTCTGTTGATTTGGGGTGAAAAGTTCTGTAGATATCTATTAGGTTTATTTGTTTCTTTTTACTCTTTTTTCTCTAAACTTCTCTTCTTGCTTCATTTCATTATTTTGATCTTCAGTTGCTGATACCCTTTCTTCCACTTGATCAAATCAGCTACTGAAGCTTGTGCATCATCATGTAGTTCTCATGTCATGGTTTTCAGCTCCATTAGGTGTAGGGAAGACCTTAAATGTTAGCCATTTGTCTAATCTTTTTTGAAGGTTTTTTCTTCCTTGTGATGGGTTTGAACATCCTCTTTTAGCTCAGAGCAATTTATCATTACCGACTTTCTGAAGCCTATTTCTGTCAACTCACCAAAGTCATTCTCTGTCCTGCTTTGTTCCATTGCTGGTAAGGAGCTGTGATCCTTTGGCAGAGAAGGGGCACTCTAGTTTTAAGAATTTTCAGCTCTTCTTCCCTGGTTTCTCCCCATCTTTGTGGTTTTATCTACCTTTGGTCTCTGGTGATCTACAGATGGAGTTTTGGTGTGGATGTCCTTTTTGTTGATGTTGATGCTATTCCCTTATGTTTGTTAGTTTTCCTTCTAACAGTCAGGCCTCTCAGCTGCAGGTCTGTTGGAGTTAGCTCGAAGTCCGCTCCAGACCCTATTTGGCTGTGTATCACCAGTGGAGGCTGCAGAACAGCAAATATTGCAGAACAACAAATATTGCTGCTTGATCCTTCCTCTGGAAGCTTCATCTCAGAGAGGCAACTGGCTGTATGAGGTGTCAGTCAGCTTCTACTGGGAGTTTTCTCTAAGTTAGGCTACACAGGGGTCAGGGACCCACTTGAAGGGGCAGTCTGTCCAGTCTCAGAGCTCAAACACAGTGCTGGGAGAAACACTGCTCTCTTCAGAGCTGTCAGACAGGGACATTTAAGTCTGCAGAAGTTTCTGCTGCCTTTTGTTCAGCTATGCCTTGCCCCCGAGGTGGAATCTACAGAGGCAGGTGGGCCTAGTTGAGCTGCAGTGGGCTCCACCCAGTTTGAGTTTCCCAACTGCTTTGTTTACCTGCTCAAGCCTCAGCAATGGCAGACACCCCTCCCACAGTCAGGCTTGCTGCCTTGCAGTTTGATCTGAGACTAGCAATGAGCAAGTTTCCATGGACATGGGACCCACTGAGCCAGGCATGGGATATAATCTCCTGGTGTGCATAAGAAAATACATTCTTCAAAAAAGCCCAAATTGGAGATGTCACTTGATGATGTTATCATGTCAGTGGGGTTTTAAAATAACATTAGGACCACTGCTACTATAGTGCATGTTTCTTTCCAGTGTCTGTGGAATATTAGTGTAGCCAGGAACCACAGAGAAAGTAAGGCCCTGCCTCCTGAAGGGATGGTTCTCATAGTTGTAGTTTATGAGAGTTCCAGCTAGATTTAGTCTAGGCCTTATAAGGCTGCCTTCCCTACATCTAATGGGAATATCTTTAGGATAAAGATATTCATACTAATTGTAGTCATCCACAGTACCATTTAGAACTTTACATGCTGGATGGGAAGAGTTTTTTTTGACAAAAAGAGTTTCAAAAATTAGGGTCCTGGCAGTTATCTTAGACAACACATGTTACAGGCGCTATTGGTCCAGAAATTCCTTGTTTGTCTACAAATTTGCAGATAGCTGCCATTGTTAAATATTATACAAAGTTCTGGAATTCCATGTATGGGGATATTTGGGAAAGACCATGCATTATTTATTACCTGATAATGAAGTTGTCAAGTGGCAACATTTTTGCCCGGGTAGTTATTCCCATTGGGAATTCCACCCAGGAGGTCTGCCTAGATTGTTAAATTTTTTCCATGGTCTTTCCCAATGTTTGGTGTTAATCTTGTTCCTGTTTAGTCTCCAGATTTCTGTGCTTTTAACAATTATGAGCATAGTGTTACAATATTTAAGGTTTCCCAAGTATAGTCCTTTTCCTCTGCTGTTAAAGCAGATTAAAGCATTTGGTATCATTCTATTAAATTTACCTAGTTTAAGGGTGGGAGTTTTACCCTCAGGGAGTGTGTCTCTCTGGGTGAGGTTAAAAATGGACCCATACCATGTTCCATTTACACCTATTAAATCCTTAATGGTTACTTAATGGTTAAAGGTAAAGCTAGCAAAGGGAACACTAAATTAGTGAGTTCTGGGTCATCAAAGTGTCCTTTGATGTTATTAAACTGAGCAAATCATTTAGGGAAAACCCAGCAATCCATCTGGGCAATGGCTAATATTGTAAGGGAAAAATGATGGGTGGCATTGCTACATTTAACAGTGAATGTTAATAAACACAATAGTAACAAAACCGTCATTTTTATCTTTTATCTGTGACTATTATGCCTGTTATAAGAATAATAACTAAGCAAAAAATTATGACAATTGAGACGTTTTGCCGGATGTTTTACTCAGAAGGTGCCACAACATGTAGTCGTACTGCAAAGTGCGAAGTACCACAATTCCTACAAGTATGGTATAATCAAGTTTCATTTAAAATCTTACTAAAAGTATTAGTAAGATAAGCATGGGGTAGAGCTGAACAGATAGTTCTCATTCATTTACTTATCTTTGTAATTTTCAGTTTGAAACCACTGACATCTTCACACTGATATCTGGGATGCTCCTCTGAGCTGTCAACTCTTTCTCCCTCTGCATTTCAGGCCTTGCCATGAGTGTGATCAATCCAAGAGTGGAGTCCTGCAATCTTCACTGCCAAGGGGTTGGAGAGAAGGATGGTGTAAGGTCTCTAACACTTACGACCTCAAGAGGGGGAAAGAGAGGGAGGAGCCTTCACCAGTTCCAAGTCTCCTGGATTAAAGGGAGGTGATCCTAGTTATTGGGGTTGGAGTTTTAATAGCTGTTTTTAATTCCTGCTGGAAGTGGTCCAGGGAGGTTATATGATTAACCAATTCAGAAGTTTCCTGATCTATTATAAAATCATTACTAAGCAAAGGCCATCCATATATCATTCAAAAGGGCTCAACCTCAAATGTAAATGGGTCTTCCTCACACTCACTAAGGCTGTAAAGAGGAGGGTAGTCTATGGGACTGCTTCTTGAGACAACTTCTGGAGGTGCTTTTTAATGATATCATTTGTTTTCTCCACCTTCCCTGAAGATTGTGGTCTCCAAGCACAATGAAGATGGTATTGTATGTCCAGTGCTTTTGAGACCTTCTGGGTAACAGTCACCTTAAATGAAAGGCCATTGTCACTTTGGAGGTATTTAGGGAGTTAAAGTGAGGAATTATTTTATTGACTCATGCTTTCATCACCTTAGAGGCCTTTTCTATTCAACATGCAAATTCCTCTATTCAATTAGTGAAGATATCCACCTACACCAGGAGATACTAAATCTTTTTTCTCTTTGCCATATGGGTAAAATTAATTTGCCAGTCCTCCCCTGGGAAACTTCTCATTTTTTGACTTGGGTGGGGACAAGATGTCTGTTGAGGGGATTGTTTCCATGGCACGTCTCACAAGCATTAACAATCCATTTGTGTTTGGTAAATTGTTACCCAAAGATTTGTCGGCTAGTTGATTAGTTTTATTATTATTATTATTATTATTATTATTATTATTATTTTGAGACGGAGTCTCACTCTGTCACCCAGGCTGGAGTGCAGTGGCACAATCTCAGCTCACAGCACACTCTATCTCCCAGGTTCAGGCCATTCTCCTGCCTCAGCCTCCTGAGTAGCTGCGACTACAGGCCCCTGCCACCATGCTCGGCTAATTTTTTGTATTTTTAGTAGAGACAGCGTTTCACTGTGTTAGCCAGGATGGTCTTGATCTCCTGACCTCGTGATCTGCCTGCCTCGGCCTCCCAAATTGCTGGGATTACAGGTGTGAGCCACCGCGCCTGGCCCCAGTTTTATCCTTTTCTAAATGAAAAGATTGGTTAAAGATTTTATAACTTTCCACTGACTAGAGGCTGACAAATAAAGTTTGCCATTCTCTGATTGTAACCATCCTAAGAATTGAAAAGTGTTTCCTCAAGAGGCGGCCCAATCTATCTCTGCTGGGGAATACTGAGGACTTATTTTCCCTATAGAGACCTCCCAAATTAGAAGGACTTCAAATGCACTTGAACTTTGGGGTTATCTTTTTAATGACTTAGCTGTTTGGTCTGCTAACCTATATCCTTCAACTATTCCATCCATCCTCTTCTGGTGTCCTTAGCAATGTATTACTGCCACTTCCTATGGAAGTAAAACTAAGACAACAATCTATTTCCTGATGGTATTTAATGGGAGACCCATTAGCAGTCAGGAAATGGCTTTCTTTCTAAATAACGGCATGATTATGAAGAACCAGGAAAGCGTATGTAGAATCAGTAGGTATGTTAATGGCCTTTCCTTTGCTTAGTTCAAGATCCCTTGTGAGGATGATTATTTCAGCTAATTGAGCATTTGTATCTGATGAGAGAGGTGTGCTTTTAATGATGTCATCCAGGGTGATAACTGTATACCTTACCCTATGAGTTTCTTGTTCTACTAAGTAGTTCATTTGTAAAGAGAATCCAGTCTGCATTTTCTAGGGAAGTTTTCTTGAGGTCCTCTCTGGCTGCATAGGTTTGCACCACAATTTGTTCCAAATTATGTTTAGGTTTCCTCTTAGAGGAAAGTGGCTGGATTCAGGCAAGGACATGTCTTTTAGTAAACAGCACATTCCTCCATCAGCAATGCTTGATATTTGTGGAGGTGATTAACAGTCCTGCTATATTATGGGGGGCATAAATAGTCATGTTATTCCCCTTGGTTAATTTAGTGGCTTCTGGCACCAGTAAAGCCACCACTACAACTGCTTGGAGGCAAGCTGGCCATCCTGTAGCCACCAAATAAATCTCTTGCATAAGTAATTGACTGACTGTTAGGCTGAATCTTGCACTTGAATTAAAACCTCCAGGGCTCTTCCCTTCCTTTCTGTGACATAAAGATTTAATGCCTTTCCTATGGGAAGACTGGGGGCAGGTCTTTTAAGTAAGGCTTGCTTAGCTGATTAAAGACCTTCTGAGCCTCAGGTTCCCATGTGAATAAATGACTTTTAGCTTTTTATTTATAAGTGATATAAATGATGAACTATTTCACTGTACCCAGGAATCCACAGTCTGCAAAAACTGTAATGAGCCAAGATTCTCTTAGCTGTTTGAGGGTTTTGAGAAGGGGAAAGAAGGAAATAGGCTTATTTTTCTCATCTCCTAATGTTCTGCTCCCTTCTGACAAGACTAGATGTATGTGCTTTACTGAAGTTTTACAAAGCTTTGTTTTAGATTTGGAAATTTTATATCATCTACCTGCTAGTAAGTTAAGAAGTGCCTCAGAGTGTTTTTGAGAAACTCCCTCAGTTGGGAACAGAGGAGAATATCATTTACATATTGTAAAACTTCTACCTGAGGATGAGAAAACTCATAGAAGTCATTTGATGATATTTGCCCAAGCAAGTGGGGGCTGTCTCAGAATCCCTGAGGCAGTACTGCCCAAATCAACTGGATAGCATGGTTGGAGAGATCCTTGAAACCAAGTAAGTATTGAGAGTCAAAGTGCAATGGTATGCAAAAAAAGGCATTCCTTAGGTCCAAAAGTGAACTATTTATTTGCCTCGGGTATTTGAGTTAGCAAAGAATAAGAATTAGAAATGACCAGATGGATAGGAGCTACAGAGTCATTAATGAGATGAGGATCCTGAACTAGTCTCCTCCATTCCTTAACGGGTTTCTGTAACCCTAATATTGGACTGTTGAAAGGGCTGTTGCAAGATTTGTGAAGGTCCTGTGCTTTAAAATGATTAATAATGGCTTCTAGTTCTTTTCTAGCTTTGGCTTTGGGGGGTACTTCTTCTGGTTATGGAAGAATGTGGAATCCTTAAGGTAAATCTGGGACAGCTGCAGACTGGCCAATTTTACCTTGACTTGCACCTCTGGGTTAATATTGGTTTCCATTAAGGGAAGACAAAGAGTCTGTCCTGGAGCCATAAGGATGATGGCTAGAATATCCCATATAGGCTAGCTGGAATACTAACTAAAATATGTCTACCTGGTAAAGGAGTGAGATTCCCAGGCATAATTAAAAAAGCATGAGTGTGAGTAAACGGCAAGTTTCCCCAAGGAAACTAAACTAAAAGGTTAAGGACTTTCCCATCACCCATCATGGTCATGCTATTGGAGAGGAGAAAAGAGAAGCTGGTACCAGAGAAGTGGGGCATTGCTATAAAGGTGCTTGAAAATGTGAATGCAACGTGGAATCAGGGACCTGCCTAAAAAACCAGCTTGGCCACATTTTCACAGAACAGCTGTGCTGTGCTGATAAATCACCTCCATAACAGATAAACTTGGAGTCTCCAAAGCACAAAAGCTGGAATGGCTAAGTTGCCCAAACAGCAAAGATGGCAGCCAGACCATCTCTCTGAGAGCTGGGTCTCAGGGAAGTTTCAAATGTGCATAAGCTGAAGAACACTGGCAGGGATGACTGGAGGCCTGAATTGAGAGTCCTGCCCATTGAGGAGAAATGGAAGTTGAGACCCACTTAAAGAAGAAGTCTGGCTATATTTTTGTAGAGCAGCCATGCTGTGCTGCTCTACAAAATGGGTACCACTTCTGCTCCTGGCTGGCTTGGACTCTCTAATGCTTGATGGCTAATATGGCTAAGTCACCCCAACAACAACGAGGCAGCCCACCCCTCCTTCTGGGAGCTCTGTCCCAGGAAGTCTTCAAATTTTTATCAACTGCAGGATACCAGTGGGGGTGACTGAATGATCCAGTTGGGAGATCTCAACCAACGAGAAGGAACAGGAATGGGGGCCAACATTCAAAAACAGTCTTGCAGTTTTTGTAGAGCAGTTTTGCTGTACTGGCAGATCTCTTCTGCCTCTGGTTGACTTGACTCTCCAAAGCCTGAAGGCTGGAATGGCTGAGTCACCCGAAAAGTAAAGATGGTGGCCTACCCCTCCCTCTGGGAGCTCCATCCCAGGGAAGTTTCTAATCTCTGTCAGCTAGAGAACACTGGTGTGCATGGTTGGAGGCCCCATTTAGTAGGTCCCATCCAGTGAGGAGGAATAAGATTGGCTACCTACTTTAAAAAGCAGCCTTGCCATGTTTTCATAGAGCAGCCTTGCTGTACTAGGCAGTCCCTTCCACCATCAGTTGGCTTGAATTCTCCAAAACCTGAAGGCTGGAAAGACCCAAGGAGTAAAGACAGTGGCCTGCTTCTCCTGATAGGAGCTCCATCTTATGTGGCTACTGATGGCAGTCTGGAATTCCAAGCCAGAGTGCATTTTCCTTTGAGGTGCCATGGAAGTAATGTCTGCAAACTCACTGCTCAGCCCCCTGGATTCAGCCTCTTTCCTAGGTGTATGTGTCAGTGTCTAACCTCCCACTGTGCCAGAGTTGCAGCTACTTTGGCTGGGAAGCCAAGAGGACCTGAGTATCTAAGGCTCCTGGGTCTCCACGTGTGCATGAGCAGCTGCTCTACCAAGACTCCATGTAGCTCTGAAGGACCCGGTAAAGTGGACTCAAGGGGGTCCCCTGGCCTGAGGTTGCAAAGAACTTTGAAACATGTGTGAGTTTATTTACTGCTACTCTGGGTTGATGAGGTACCTTTGGCCCTGTGTTGCTCCCAAGTGTGTCATCATCCTGTCTTGCTTTTCTTTGTTCTCCATGAATCAAGTTCTTTCCTTGATTAGTCCCACCGTGAGTACCTGAATGTTTCAGTTCAAGGTGCACAATAGCTGCTTCTAGTCAGCCCTCTTGACTGCCTCTTACTTGACATTTTAAAAGGTGGTATTTGTATGAATATATTATTAATAATATTAATTATTCATTAATACAGATAATAATGTGTTAAAAAATTATTTGAGATTCTTCTAATTCTGACATCTTGGACTATGTTTTCAGTTATAATTGTGGTTCTTATTTAATTATAGTCCACAAAAATAACCAAAATTTTTGGACAATTTTATCTTTAATAATGACCACTATTATAAAGTCTTTTTTCTTTACATTTTTAATTTTTGTGAGTACACAGTAGGAATATACACTTACCGGGTACATGACATATTTTGATACAGACATGCAGTGCCTAATAATCACATCATGGCAAATGTGATATGCATCCTTTCAAAAATTTAGCCTTTGTGTTAAAAAACATCCAATTGTAGTTTTTAATTTTTACATGTACAAAGTTATTATTGACTATAGTTATCCTACTGTGCTATCAAACACTAGATCTTATTCATTCTTTGTAGCTATTTTTTAATGGTACCCATCAACCATCCCTACTTCCCCAATTTCTCCACTGCCTTCCCCAGTCTATGGTAACCATACTTTTATTATCACGATGAGTTCAATTGTTTTCATTTTTAGCTCCCACAAATAAGTGAGAGCATACAAAATTTGCCTTTCTTTGCCTGACTTATTTCACTTGACCGGCAGTTTCATTCATGTTGTTGTGAATGACAGGATCTCATTCTTGTTATGGCTGAATAGGAATCCATTGTGTATATGTATCTCATTTTCTTCATCCATTCCTCTCCTGATAGACCTTTAGATTGCTTCCAAATCTTGACGATTGTGAAGAGTACTGCAAGAAATGACAGTGCAGATATCTGTTCAATATTCTGATTGACATTCTTTGGAGTATATACCTGGCAGTGTGATTGTTGGATAGTATGGAAGCTCAATATTGAGTCTTTTTTTCTAGGAATCTCCAGACTCTTATCCATAGTGAATGTCTGAATGTACATAAACTTCAACAGCGTTGGCATGTTTCCTTTTCTTCACATCCTCTCTGCTATTTGTTATTGCCTATCTTTTGGATATAAGCAATTTTAACTGCAGCAAGATAATATCTCATTATACTTTTGATTTCCATTTGGCTGAAGATCAGTGATGTTGAGCACATTTACTTACACCTGTTTGTCATTTGTATGTCTTCCTTTGATGAATGTTTATTTAAATATGTGGCCAATTTTTAAATGGAATTATTAAATATTTTCTACAGATTTGTTTGGGTTACTTACATGTTCTGGTTGTTAATCCCTTGTCACATAGGTAGCTTACAAGTATTTTCTTTCGTTCTGTGGGTTGTCTCTTCACTACACTGTTTCATTTGCTGCGCAGAAGCTTTTTAACTTGATGTAATGCTACTTGTCCATTTTTGTTTTGGTTGCCTATGCCTGTGGGGCATTACTCCGTAATTTTTTTAACCCCAGCAACTGTCCTGGAGATTCCTCCAATTTTTTTCTTGCAGTAGCTTCATAGTTTGAAGTCTTAGAGTCTTTAATCTATTTTGATTTAATTCTTGTATATGGTGAGAGAGGGTTTCATTCTTCTGCATATGAAAATCCAGTTTTCCCGGAAGTATTAATTGAATAGACGGTCATTCCTCCAACGTATGGATTTGCATATGATGTATAGATTTGCTTCTAGTTTTAAAATTCTGTTCCACTAGTCTATGCATCTGTTTTCAAATCAGTACCACGCTGTTTGATTACTATAGCTAAGTAGTGTACTTTGAAGTCAGGTAATGTAATTCCTCCAATTTTGTTCTTTTTGCTCAGGGTAGCTTTGGCTATTCTGGGTCTTTGGTAGCTCCATACAAATTTTACAAATCTGTTTCTATTTCCATGGAGAATATCATTAGTGTTTTGGTAGGTATTGCAATTAATCTGTAGATTTCCCTGGGTAGTACGAACACTTTGATAATTTTTTTTTTTCAGTTCATGAACATGGAAGATTTTCCCATTTTTTTAGTGTCCTCCTCAATTTTTTAAACTTTTAGGTTCAGGAGTAAATGTGAAGGTTTATTATTTAGGTACTCTTATGTTTTGGGGGTTTGTTCTACAGATTATTTCATCGCCCAGGTATTATGGCTACTATCCGTTAGTAGTTTTTCCTGCTCCTCTCCCTCCTCTCATATTCCACCATCTCGTAGGCCTCGGGGTCTCCTTTTTTCTGTATGTCCATGCATTCTCATTGGTTAGCTCCCACTTAAAAATGAAAACATGCAGTATTTTGTTTTCCGTTTCTCCATTAATTTGCTCAGGATAATGGCCTTCGGCTTCATTCATGTTCATACAAAGAACATAATCTCATTTCTTTTTTATGTCTGCATAGTATTCCATGACAAATATATACCACATTTTCTTTACACAGTCTACCCTTGATGGGTATTTCAGTCATTCCATGTCTTTGCCGTTGTAAATAATGCTTCAGTGAACATATACATGCATTTATTTTTATAAAAGACTGATTTATACTCCTTAGGTTAGATACCCAGTAATGATCTTGCTGGGTTGAATGGTAGTTCTATCTTTAGGTCTTCAAGAAATTTCCACATTGTTTTTCACAATGGTTGAACAAATTTACACTCCCACTAAAAGTACACAATCATTTTTTTTTCTCCAAAACCTCACTAGCACCAGTTATTGTTTGACATTTTAATAGCCGTTCTGACTAGTATGAGATGTCATCTAATTGTAGCTTTGATTTGCATTTCTCTGATGATCAGTAAGATTGAGCTTCTTTTTATATGGCTTTTGGCTACATGCATATTCTATTTTGAAATATATCTGTTTCCCATGGGGTTGTTTGTCTTCGGCTTGTTAATGTGGGTAAGTTCCTTACAGATGTTGGATATTAGACTTTTGTGAGGTGCATAGTTTGCTAATATTTTCTTTTATTCTATAGGCTTTGTGTTGTTGATAGTTACTTTTACTATGCAGAAGTTCTTTATTTTAATAACATCTCTTTGGTCAATTTTTGGTTGCATTGCTATTGCTTTTGGTTTCCTCATCATAAAATCGTTTCCTATTTCTATGCCAGAATATTGTCTAGGTGATCATCCAGAGTTTCTACAGTTTTAGGTTTTCCATTCTAATCTTTAATCCATCTTGAGTTATTTTTTGTGCATGGAGTGAGAAAAGAGTGAAGTTTTAATCTTCTGCATATAGCTAGAGAGTTATCTCATCACTTATTGATGAGGGAGTTCTTTTCCCTTTGCGTATCTTTGACAACTTTGTTTAAGATCTGATGGTTGTATATACGCAGCTTTGTTTGTATTATCTAAACTCTCCTGTTGGTCTATATGTCTGTTTTCATACCAGTATTATGCTGTTACTATAACCTTGTAGTATATTTTGTATATACACTGTAGTGTAGTATATTTTATAGCCAGGTAGTGTGATGCCTCTTGCTTTTGCTTTGTTTTTGCACAGGAACTTTCTGTTTGGGCTGTTTTTCAGTTGCATGTAAATTTTATAATAGTTTTTTTTCCCCCAATTCTATAAAGAATGTCATTTGTAGTTTAATACAAATAACATTCAATCTGTAATTGCTTTGGGCAGTTTGGCCATCTTAATAATATTGATTCATCCTATTTGTGACCATAGCAAAATTTTCATTTTTTTATGTCACCAGTGAATTGTGTTTTGTATATCTTGGTACAGAGATCATTTATCTACCTGATTTAGTTGTATCCCTAGGTGGTTTATTCTTTTTGTAATTACTGTGCAAGAGATTATATTTTTGATTTGGCTTTCTGCTTGAACATTGTTGATTTTTAAAAATGATACTAATTTTGTACATTAATTTTCTCTTCTGAAACTTTGCTAAAATTGTTTTTCATGTCTAGGAGCTTTCTACCAGAGACTATAGGGTTTTCTAAGTGTAGACACATCATCCACAAAGAGAGATGGTTTGACTTTCTTTACCCTTATTTAAATGCTTCTATTTCTTTCTTTTGCCTGATTAATCTGGTTAGAACTTTCAGTATATGTTGAATAGGAGTCGTGTGTATAAACATCCTTTCTTCCCTACTCTTCCAGGTTTTGTTGTTGTTGTTGTTGTTGTTTATTTTTTTTTGGTTTTTGTGTTTTTTTTAACCATTTAGTATAACCCTGGCTGTGGGTTTGTCATAGATGGCTCTTATTATTGTGAGATGTTATTTTTCAATGCCTAGTTTATGGAGGTTTTAATAGAAAGAGATGCCAAATTTCTCTAAGAGCCTTTTCTGAATCTACCAAAATAATCTTCTTTAAAAAGTTTGGTTTATGTGGCTAATCACATTTACTAAATTGCAAGTTTTGAACCATCCTTGCACTACAAACATCAGTCTTTCTTGATCATGGCAGACTAACTTTCTCATGTGCTACCGGATTCAGTTTGCTAGTATTACATTTGAACTTGAGGTGCCACTATACCACCATGTTTCCAGATAATAGGAACGCTTGCTGTGTTTCTTACCATTTCTACCATCTGATCATTTTGTTCGAACAGCTGAACATAGTGTCACCATGGCACACAGTGTGAGAAGTGCAATTCAAGCTAAACATCCCCTTAGGGGATGAATCAATAATGATTCCATAGGAATGGTTGTGCAGCACCTCTGCCTGTTCTGCATTGCAGTCTTCCGAAACAAGTACATTTATTATTTCTGGCCAGGTTCAATTCTGTTTACAAATAGATTTTTGAGGGTGGTATGCTTCAATTATAGAAGCAGATTTATTATGATAAATACTGACACCAGAAAGCCTGTGTAACTGTGTCATGGAGTGATTACATCCAGGCATTATTGCCAGCCAAGGCTGATAAATATCCCCAATAAGTATAATTGTTCTCTGTGTCAGCCCTTGTTGAAGGAATACTCATGGCAGTGGTGATTACCGCTATCATAGCTATCATTAAATTAATCATTGTGATTGGAAGGCTCAATGTCCCTCTTTCCTCAGGTTTTCTTCTGCCATCTGTGACAGCTTCTTGATCTGTCCCCACATAGGTGGCTGTGTTCAACGGGTGTTGCTTGTGACAGTTGGGGTCCTTCTCAGCCTCAGTCTTGACATGGCTGCAACCGTGGGGTCCTCAGGATCCTCCTGGAATCTCTTCCTTGGCGTCTGGCTCATGATAAGGTTTCAGGTGTCTTGGTGGTATCCAAATTGGCTGCTGGTTCTGGCCTGGAGAAACACAAGAATAACCTCTAGCCTAAGTTATTATTTTATCTATTTCCCAACTATTTGTTATCAGATCTCTCCACTAAAGCAGTTGTTATGCTTCTGTCTTTGCAGCTGGTTTCTGTAGATGCTGTTCAGCTGCTGATAACATCTGGCCTTTATGCAGGCTCAAAAAATTTGGAGTTAATAAAGTTCAGTTATATATGTGATGTCCCTGTTTCCCCCTTTTTCTGTTTTTGTTAACTGCTGTTTCAGGGAGAGATTCATTCTTTCTACTATGGTTTGTCCTTGAGAATCATATGGGAGGCCAGTAATGTGTTTAATATTCCATATAGAGAAAATGTAGCTAGAGCTTGGCTGGGATAGTCTGGGACATTATCTGTTTTAATAGAAGCTGGAATGTCCATCACTGCAAAACACTGCAAAAGGTAATGTTTAACACAAGCAGAAGACTCTCCTGATTGGCAGGTAGCCCAGACAAAGTGAGAAAAAGTGTCCACACATACATGTACATAAACTAGTTTCCCAAATGAGGGAACATGTGTGACATCCATTTGCCAAAGAGCATTAGGTTTCAATCCTCGAGGATTAACTCCTTTTGTAAAAGATGAAGAATGTACCATTTGGCAAGATGTGCATCGCTGAATAATCACTTTAGCTTCTTTCCAGGTAATGCTGTATCTGCGTTTGAGACCAGAGGCATTTACATGGGTTAAGTTGTGAAAGTGTCTAGCATTAGACATTGCAGTAGCAACTAGATGATCAGCCATTTGATTCCCTGCAAAGGTCCTGGAAGTAGTGTATGAGCCCTAATGTGATTGATGTAAAAAGGGTGTATTCTACTCCTAACTGCTGTTTGCAATTGAATAAATAAAGTCATCAGTTGTTCATCTACATGAAATCATAACTGAGCATTTTCAATTAATTGTGTGGAATGAACCACACATAAAGAATCAGAAATCACATTAATAGGCATATCAAAGTAGTCAATACCTCAATTACAGCTACAAGCTTGGCTTTTTGAGCTGAAGTTTAGGGCATCTGGAAAACTCTACCTTTTGAGCCAGAATAAGAAGCTTTACCATTACTACACCCATCTGTGAAGACATTCTCAGCACCTTTAGTTGGTTTAAATTTAGTTATTTCAGAGAGAATCCAATTAGTTAATTTCAAAAATTGAAACAGTTTCATTTTAGGAAAATGATTATCAAGAATACTCACAAAGTCAGCTAAATGGGTTTGCCAAGTAAGACTATTTATAAAAGCTTGCTCTATTTGTGCCTTCTTGAGAGAGACAATAATTTCTTTAGGATCATATCCATGTAATTTAACAATCCAAGTTCTCCCATTTCCTGTCATAGTAGCACTTGGATCCAAATAAGGAGTTAGAGTTTGTGAATTAGTATGTGGAAGAAAAAGCCACTCTAAAAGATCTTTCTCTTGAACAATAACACCAGTAGGTGAATGATGAGTTGGAAAAATTAGCAAATCTAGAGTCTTCTCTGGATTTATTCTGTTTGTTTGAGCTTTATGGAATTGCTTTTGAATCAGCTATAATTCTGCCTCGGCCTCCTTTGTTAATTGTTATTACCCAATAAGCTGCTTTGCCTTGTTTATTTATGCTTCCAAATCCTCCTGTTCATTTAATTTCACTTTTTTCCATTCCCACATATGGCAAAATCAGAAGTTGTGCTATATGCTCTTCTGGCTCTGCTTTCCAGGGAACAGAAGTAGGTATAACAATTTGAATTTCCCCATTATAATCTGAATCAATGACTTCTGTATGTACTTGCACTCCTTTTTAATTTAAATATATCTACCTAGAAGTAATCCTACCATCCCCATTGGCAACATCTGACTGGAGACAGCAATATTCTTTAACAGTAACATAATAAAAGGAAAACCTGGTCCATATTGATTAATAGCTTGTTTAAATTCTTTGAGTAATTTAAAAGGGAAAGGTTCAAATGTAGCTATATTTCCCTGTTGATTTAGGGGGTGTATTCTAACAGGGAACTGCCATGCCTCTATATCACGCTCTCATCTAGCTTGCTGAATTCCTGCCTGAATAGAACTGAGAGTGGTCGCTTGAGGTGCTGCTTGAACAGTCACTGGGGAAACTACTTTTCACCCAGTGTCCTCTGGAAAAGAATGATATGGAGGTTCAGGCCATGCTTTTTCTTCAAAATAAGGATGATGTGAAGAAGGGTAGGGATGGACCTCTTCCTCCTTTGACACTTTAGCTGGCAAACAAATCTGCTGTTACCTCTTCTGTTACTTCATTTTACTTTTCTTCCTCCTCTTCATTAGTGTGAAAAGGTTCCAAGGGGGAACAAACCAGAGTACACAGTTGTCCCATTGTTACTCTGATGCTTCCGAGCTCCCCTTCTTACTCACCACAGGGACAGCTTAAGAGTAGTTGGGTGTCCTCCAGCTTAGTTCCACATTCTCAAATCATCACTCTGGTGACCCTTTGACCTGGGTTCAAGCCCCATGCATGGGCACCACTTGCCGAGAATAGCTTCATCATGGAGACCCTAACCCAGTGGCGCTAGAGGAATTAAAGATACACACATAGAGAGTGTGGAGTGGGATATCAAGGGACTTACAGCTTTCAGAGATTGGAGCCCCAAACAGAGTTTTACCCACATATTTATTGACAGCAAGCCAGTGATAAGCATTGTTTCTACAGATTAACTAAAAGTATTCCTTACAGGAAACAAAGGGATGGGCTCTGGCTAGTTATTTGCAGCAGCAATATATCCTTAAGGCACAGATCGCTCATGCCATTGTTTGTGGTTTAGGAGCACCTTTAAGTGGTTTTCCGCCCTTGGTGAGCCAGGTCTCCTTTGCCTTCATTCGGGTAAACACACAACTTTCAGCGTGGGTGTCATGGCCATCACAAGCATGTCACAGTGCTGCAGAGATTTTGTTTATGGCCAGTTTTGGGGCCAGTTTATGGCCAGATTTGGGGGCCTGTTCCCAACAGAAGTGAGGATGGCAAATTAGTATCAAAGATATAGTTACTTTAGCTTCCAAATTCCACCCATCTAATAAGGTTCTTATACTCTATTTGTCCGTTTTCATGCTGCTAATAAAGACACACCTGAGACTAGGCAATTTACAAAAGAAAGAGGTTTAATGGACTTACAGTTCCTTGTGGCTGGAGAAGCCTCACAATCATGGCAGAAGGCAGGGAGCAAGTCACATCTTATGTGGAAGGCAGCAGGCAAAGACAGAGCTTGTGCAGGGAAATGCCTCCTTGTAGGACTATCACATCTTGTAAGATTCATTCACTCTCACAAAAACAGCATGAGAAAGACCTGCCTCCATGATTCCCACTTGGGCCCTCCCACAAAACATGGGAATTCAAGATGACATTTGAGTTGGGATACAGCCAAGCCACATGACACTCTTGTGCACCCTCCTTTATGGTGATGGTCCCTGAGTCTCTGAGTTGGGTAGGAAACTGGGTGATATGTTTCATCAATTTGTTTTCTGCTTGTAAGCAGAGGTCACAGCAACACCATAGACAATAGCAGGTAAAAATACCAATGTCAAGTATTAGACAAAAAAATTAATAATACTTTATGCCACCAAAATCCCCAGGATCCAAATCAAAAGGAGAGCCATTGGGGGAAAGAAATTGTAGAGTCAGAACAAAACTGGACAGAGAAGGAGTTTGACGAATTGACAGAAGTATGGTTCAGAAGGTGGGTAAGAACAAACTCCTCCAAGCTAAAGGCACATATTCAAACCCAATGCAAGGAAGCTAAGAACCTTGAAAAAAGGTTTAAGGAATTGCTAATTAGAATAACCAGTTTAGAGAAGAACATAAATGACCTGATGGAGCTGAAAAACACAGCAGGAGAACTTCATGAAGCATACAAAAGTATGAATAACTGAATCATTCAAGTGAAAGAAAGGGTATCAGTGATTGAAGATCAACTTAATGAAATAAAGCATGAAGACATCATTAAAGAAAAATGAATAGAAAGGAATAAACCTTCAAGAAATATGAGACTATGTGAAAAGACCAGACCTATGTTTGGTTGGTGTACCTTAAAGTGATGTGGAAAATGGAACCAAGTTGGAAATCACTTCAAAATATTACCCAGGAGAGCTTCCCCAAACTAGCAAGACAGGCCAGCGTTCAAAATCAGGAAATACAGAGAACATCACAAAGATACTCCTTGAGAAGAGCAACCCCAAGACACATAGTCTTCAGATTCATCATGGTTGAAATGAAGGAAAAAATGTTAAGGGCAGCCAGAGAGGAAGGTTGAGTTACCCAGAAAGGGAAACACATCAGACCAACAGTGGATCTCTCTGCAGAAACCTACAAACCGGGGCGGGGGGCGGGGGGGGGGGGCAATATTCAACATTCTTACAGAAAAGAATTATCAACCCAGAATTTCATATCCAGTCAAACTTCATAAGCTTCATAAGCGACAATCCTAAGCAAAAAGAAGAAAACTGGAGGCATCACACTACCTGACTTCAAACTATACTACAAGGCTATAGTAACCAAAACAGCATGGTACTGGTACCAAAACTGATATATAGACAAAAAGAACAGAACAGAGGCCTCAGAAGTAACACCACACATCTACAATCATCTGATCTTTGATAAACCTGACACAAACAAGCAATGTGAAAAAGATTCCCTATTTATAAATGGTGTTGGGAAAACTGGCTAGCCATATGCAGAAACTGGACCCCTTCCTCACACCTTATGCAAAAATTAACTCAAGATGGATTAAAGACTTAAACGTAAGATGTACAACCATAAAAATCCTAAAAGAAAACCTGGGCAATACCATCAGGACATTGGCATGGGCAAAGTCTTCATATCTAAAACACCTTAAAAAATGACAACAAAAGCTAAAATAGACAAATGGGACCTAATTTAACTAAAGAGCTTCTGCACAGCCAAAGAAACTATCATCAGAGTGAACAGGCAACTTACAGAATGGGAGAAAATTTTTGCAATTTACCCATCTGACAAAAGGCTAATATCCAGCACCTTCAAATAACTTAAGCAACTTTACAAAAAAAAAAAAAAAAAAAAAAAAAAAAAACCATCAAAAATTGGCCAAAGGAAATGAAAAGACAACTCTCAATAAAAGACACTTGTGCAGCCAACAAACATATTTAAATAAGCTCATAATCATTGGTCATTAAAGAAATGCAAATCAAAACCACAATGAGATACCATCTCATGCCAGTTAGAATGAGGATCATTAAAAGGTCAGGAAACAACAGATACTGGAGAGAATGTGGAGAAATATGAACCCTTTTGCACTGTTGGTGGGAGTGTAAATTGGTTCAGCCATTATGGAAGACAGTGTCATGATCCCTCAAGGATCTAGAACTAGAGATACAATTTGACCCAGCAATGTCATTACTAGGTATATACCCAAAATATTATCATTCCACTATAAACACACATGCTCAAGTATGTTTATTGTGGCCCCGTTCGCAATAGCAAAGACTTGGAACCAACCCAAATGTCCATCAATGATAGATTGGATAAAGAAAATGTGGCACATATACACCACGTAATACTATGCAGCCATGAAAAAGGATGAGTTCTTGTACTTTGCAGGACATGAAGCTGGGAATCATCGTCCTCAGCAAACTGTCACAAAAACAGAAAGTCAAACACCACATGTTCTCACTCATAAGTGGTAGTTGAACAAGAAGAACACAAGGACATGGGTAGGGGAACATCACACACTGGGGCCTCTCAGGGTGTCGGGGGCTAGGGGAGGGATAGCATTAGGAGAAATACTTAATGTAGGTGATGGGTTGATTGGTGCAGCCAATGACCATGGCACGTGTGTGTAACAAAACTGCACGTTCTGCACACGTACATCAGGACTTAGCAACGACAAAAAAAAAAAAAAACTGCCAAAAAAAATACAGAAATAGTAGAGTCAGAGATTGCTATTATTTTTTCATCCATATGTTTGTAGGGTTATAGTTTTATTGCCACAACTGTCAGGAATGTGTACACAACTTCCACTCTTAATAATGGCACTAGTTGTCCCCTGTGCAGAAGTTAATGTATTTAATGTCACACAATTTTGTAGAATGTAGACATAAGGGACACTTCAAAGTTCATTAAAGAAATACCTCGGAAGCAGTCATTGAGAGCACATTGTAATTAAGGATTTCTACATGCCACATCATTCTTAATGCCTAGAGATGATACAAAGACAAATAATCATAACAATGAAAGTCAAGGTGTACTCTCAGAAAATGAAGGTTTCTTGAAAAGACTGTTCACTATTGTTCAGCTGCTTCTGCTGGGCTTTTGCTTTCCATTGGATTAATGTTCTTAATTATAAAATGAGAGCATGATCCTCCTCCAGCTTCAAGGTAACATCTATGTCATCATCGGACTCAATAGTTCATTCCCAATAATTCTAGGTCTTAATATCCCAATCCAGGTTAGTACTTTTGCTCAACAGGGTTACAAAACTCCCAGTAATACAAAATTGGCAGACTAGCTTCCAAATGTTCTTCTGGAGTTTTGAGCTTATTTAACAAGTTAGACACTAACAAAGACATGGAGGCCCTCATATCCTTGTCTAACTGTAATTCTTCCTCTAACTTTCACATCATCACCTCAGCTGCTAACTGTGCTTCTGTGATCACTCACAGCTCAAAAGAACAAGCCCAGTGTTGTCATTGTACAGCCATCTTCCTTTCTGTGTGCCATTTAGTTTTCTAATAACAAGTGCTCTACATTGCCTGGCATTTTTAGGACAACTCCATACTCATGCAGTGGTCCACTTGCATTTAGAAAATGGGCAACACCACCCTACCCAGATGATAACGACCCAGAGATTTCCCCTGCTGATCACTTTTTCCACTTGTCCATACATTGGTTCTTAGTTTCCTGCTGGCTACCTTGCCAGTTGTCTTGTGAAAAGGCTATATATGTAAAGTAATTCCTAAATGCAGAAGTGGCCTAAAAATGAAGAATCAGGCAGACAAATCCAGGTTGTCAATGGGAGTTGATTTTCTAGGGAACTAACAAACAGAACACGGTCTTGGGTGGTTACAAGTCTGGTACTTTGAGGTGCTGTTACCCCCAAACTCAAGTATCAAACACTATAGGGAAAGTGTCTATGTGCTCTATAAAATTTTGCAGAACGATTAAATATTCAGGAAAAGATAAGAATGCTATATAAAAAATATTCTGCAATTTTTGCAGTAATATCAGAGTTGTTTGACCTAAGGTCAGGATTTACATTAAGTACATGCAAAAGTAAGTACAGTAGAAATCTTAGACATTTCCTGAGCTGGTGTTAATCAGAAGTAGACATTGCAGACTAGCATTAAAGATGGAAGAATTTAAGCCTCCACAGTCAGTTTCCTTTTCCTGTGCATAAATGTTATCTCTCCATATAGCAGTCATGGGGTCACTATAAAACTACTAAAGTTCTGGGGACTACTCAATTAGCGAATTGTTCTCTCTTCAACTAAACTCTGTTTAGTTTAATTTGAGTAAAAGTTTTGTTTTATCAGTGTGGAGTCTGCATATTTTTCCCACATCTGTGTGAACTTTTTACAGGTATTTTTTTTTTCTTACCACATCTCAAAGATGTGTATTTTAGGTTAATTGTCACGTCTAAACTGTCCCAGTACATGTGTGTGTTTACTTTGTGTGAAAATGGCATCCTATATAGGCTTGGCTCCAACCTTGTGTTCTAAACTGCTGGAAGAAGCTCTAGCCACTTGCAACCCTGAAGTGAAACAAGTAGAATAAAAACAAATGAAGGAATAATGAGTACAAGTTATTGTAAATTAAAAATTTGTGAAGTATAGAATAATCTTCAAAATGCACAATAAACAATGAACAACGAGTATGTAAACAACAATGGGTATGTAAGCACTCAGCAAGACCACCACACTTGCTATTGTTTGTTTTTGAACTACACAGTAGTAGGAGGTGATCATTATAATGTTTACTTTGTGAACATTATTTCATTTATTTAATCTACCACTACTATAATTACTATCACCCGCTGGTTTACCAAAAGTCTGATAATAAGTATCTTGTAGGGAAGGGCCAGTATGGGCTGAAATGGATGAATTGAAAGAAGTAGGATTCAGAACATGGGAACTGACAAACTTTGCTGAACTAAAAGTTCTAACCCAATGCAAAGAAGCTAAGAACCATGATAAAAACATTCCAGGACCTGTTATCCAGAATAACCAGTTTAGACAGAAACATAAATGGGCTGATGAAGCTGAAAAACACAAGAAAAAAACTTTACAATGTAACCATAAGTATCAATAGCAGAATAGACAAAGTGGAGGAAAGAATTTCAGAACTTAAAGATTGCCTTGCTGAAATAAGGCAAGCAAGATTAGAGAACAAAGAATGCAAAAAAAAAAAAAAAAAAAAAGCTTTACAATGCACCATAAGTATCAATAGCAGAATAGAGAAAGTGGAGGAAAGAATTTCAGAACGTAAATATTATCTTGCTGAAATAAGCAAACAAGATTAGAGAATAAAGAATGAAAAGGAATGAACAAAACCTCTGAGAAATTTGGGATTATGTATTAATAAAAAGACAAAACTTATGACTGATTGGGGTATGCGAAAGAGACAGGAAGAATGGAACCAATTTGGAAAACATACTTCAGAATGCAATCCAGGAGAACTTCCCCAACCTAACAACACAGATCAACATTCAAATTTCAGAAATCCAGAGAACCCTAGTAGGATAATCCATAAGAAGATCCACCCCAACATGCATAATCATCAGATTCTCCAAGGTTGAAATGAAAGAAGAAATGTTAAGCGTAGCCAGAGAGAAAGGCCAGATTACCTTCAAAGGGAAGCCCATCAGACTAACAGCAGAACTCACAGCAGAAACCCTACAAGACAAAAGAGACTAGGGGAAAATATTCAACATTCTTACAAAAGAATTTCCAATCCAGAATTTCATACCTGGTCAAACCAAGTTTCAAAAGAGAGGGAGAAATAAGATTCTTTTAGACAAGAAATTGCTCAGGGAATCCATTACCAGACCTTCCTTGCAGAAGCTCCTGAAGGAAGCAATGAATATGGAAAGGAATAACCACTACCAGCCACTAATAAAACACATGAAAGTACACATATCAATGACACTATGAAGCAACTACATTAACAAGTCTATAAAATAACCAGCTAGGATCTTGATGACAGGATCAAATTCACGCATAATAATAATAACCTTAAATGTAAATGGGCTGAATGTCCCAAGTGTAAGATACAGAATGACAACCTGGATAAACTGTCAAGACACATCAGTGTGCTATATGAGACACCCATCTCACATGTAAAGACACACATTGATTTGCATTTCTCTGATGGCCAGTGATGATGAGCATTTTTTCATGTGTTTTTTGGCTGCATAAATGTCTTCTTTTGAGAAGTGTCTGTTCATGTCCTTCGCCCACTTTTTGATGGGGTTGTTTGTTTTTTTCTTGTAAATTTGTTTGAGTTCATTGTAGATTCTGGATATTAGCCCTTTGTCAGATGAGTAGGTTGTGAAAATTTTCTCCCATTTTGTGGGTTGCCTGTTCACTCTGATGGTAGTTTCTTTTGCTGTGCAGAAGCACTTTAGTTTTATTAGATCCCATTTGTCAATTTTGTCTTTTGTTGCCATTGCTTTTGGTGTTTTAGACATGAGGTCCTTGCCCATGCCTATGTCCTGAATGGTAATGCCTAGGTTTTCTTCTAGGGTTTTTATGGTTTTAGGTCTAACGTTTAAGTCTTTAATCCATCTTGAATTGATTTTTGTATAAGGTGTAAGGAAGGGATCCAGTTTCAGCTTTCTACATATGGCTAGCCAGTTTTCCCAACACCATTTATTAAATAGGTAATCCTTTCCCCATTGCTTGTTTTTCTCAGGTTTGTCAAAGATCAGATAGTTGTAGATATGTGGTGTTATTTCTGAGGGCTCTGTTCTGTTCCATTGATCTATATCTCTGTTTTGGTACCAGTACCATGCTGTTTTGGTTACTGTAGCCTTGTAGTATAGTTTGAAGTCAGGTAGTGTGATGCCTCCAGCTTTGTTCTTTTGGCTTAGGATTGACTTGGTGATGTGGGTTCTTTTTTGGTTCCATATGAACTTCAAAGTAGTTTTTTCCAATTCTGTGAATAAAGGCATTGTTAGCTTGATGGAGATGGCATTGAATCTGTAAATTACCTTGGGCAGTGCAACCACAATCAGATACCATCTCACACTAGTTAGAATGGCAATAATTAAAAAGTCAGGAAACAACAGGTGCTGGAGAGGATGTGGAGAAATAGGAACACTTTTACACTGTTGGTGGGACTGTAAACTAGTTCAACCATTGTGGAAGTCAGTGTGGCGATTCCTCAGGGATCTAGAACTGGAAATACCATTTGACTCAGCCATCCCATTACTGGGTATATACCCAAAGGACTATAAATCATGCTGCTATAAAGACACATGCACACGTATGTTTATTGCGGCACTATTCACAATAGCAAAGACTTGGAACCAACCCAAATGTCCAACAATGATAGACTGGATTAAGAAAATGTGGCACATATACACCATGGAATACTATGCAGCCATAAAAAATGATGAGTTCATGTCCTTTGTAGGGACATGGATGAAATTGGAAATCATCATTCTCAGTAAACTATCGCAAGAACAAAAAACCAAACACTGCATATTCTCACTCATAGGTGGGAACTGAACAATGAGATCACATGGACACAGGAAGGGGAATATCACACTCTGGGGACTGTTGTGGGGTGGGGGGAGGGTGGAGGGATAGCATTGGGAGATATACCTAATGCTAGATGACGAGTTAGTGGGTGCAGCGCACCAGCATGGCACATGTATACATATGTAACTAACCTGCACAATGTGCACATGTACCCTAAAATTTAAAGTATAATAATAAAAAAAAATTTTAAAAAAAAGTGACAGCAAGAAAAAAAACAGTAAAAAAAAAAAAGTCAAAAAAAAAAAAAAAAAAAAAAAAAGACACACATTGGCTCCAAACAAAGAGATGAAGAAAAATTTACTAAGCAAATGGAAAGCAGAAAAAAGCAAGGTTGAAATGATAGTTTCTGACAAAATGAACTTTAAAACAACAAAGATCAAAAAAGACAAAGGGCATTACTTAATAGTAAAAGGATTAATTCCATAAGAACAGTTCCGTACCCTAAATATATAGGTACCCAATACAGGAACACGTAGATTTATAAAACAAGTTCTTATGGACCTAAAAAAAGACTTAGACTCTCACACAATAATATTGGGAGATTTTAACACCACATTGTCAGTGTCAGACAGATCATTGAGAAGGAAATTAACAAGGATATTTAGGACTTGAACTTGGCTCTAGATCAAGTGGACCTGATACAAATCTACAGGACTCTCCACCCAAAAATAATAGAATGTACATTTTTCTTACTCCACATGGCACTTACTCTAAAATTGATCACATACTTAGAAGTAAAACACTCTTCAGCAAATGAAAAATAACTGAAATCATAAAAAACAGTCTTTCAGACCATGGCACAATAAAATAAGAACTCAGGGACTCACTCAAAAGCACACAACTACACGGAAATTAGACAACCTCCTTCTGAATATGATTCCTGGGTAAATAATGAAATTAAGGCAGTAATCAAGAAGTTATGTGAAACTAGTGAGAACAAAGAGACAATGTACTTGAATCTCTGGGACACAGCTAAAGCAGTGTTAAGAGGAAAACTTATAGGACTAAAATGCCCACATCAGAATGTTAGAAAGATCTCAAATTGACACCCTAACATCTCAACTAACAGAAGGAGTGAACAAACATCAAACAAATGCCAAAGCTAACAGAAGGCAAGAAATAAGGATCAGAGTGTAACTGAAGGACATAGAGACACAAAAAACCCTTTAATAAAATCAATGAATCCAGCAAGGTTTTTTTTTTGAAATCTTAATAAAATAGACAGACTGCTAGTTAGACTAATCAAGAGGAAATGAGAGAATAAAAAACATACAATAAAAATGATAAAAAAGATAATTACCACTGACCCCATAAAAAAACACAAAAACCATCAAAAATACCATAAATACCTCTATGCCAATGAACCAGAAAATCTGGAAGAAATTGATACATTCCTGGACACATACACCTTCCCAAGACTGAACCAGAAAGAGGCTGAATGCATGAATAGACCAACAAGAAATTCTGAAGTTGAGGCAGTAACAAATAGTCTACCAAAGAAAAAAAGTCTAGGACCAGGGGAATTTACAGATGAATTCTATAAGAGGTACAAGGAGGAGCTGGTACCATTTCTTTTGAGACTATTTCAAATAATTGAAAAGGAGAGACTCCTCCCTACATCATTTTATCAGGTCGGCATCATCCGGATAACAAAATGTGGCAGAGGTACAACATAAAAAGAAAACTTCATGCCAATATCCCTGATGAACATTAGTACAAAAATCCTCAATAAAATACCAGTGAACTAAATTCAGCAAGGACATCAAAAAGCTTATACACCACAATCAAATTGGCTTCATCCAGTGATACAAGGCTAGCTCAACATACACAAATCAATCAATGTAATTCATCATATAAACAGAACCAAAAACAAAAACCATGATTATCTTAATTGATGCAGAAAAAGCCTTTGATAAAATCAATGTACATTCATGTTAAAAACTCTGAATAAACTAGGTATTGAAATGTACCTGAAAATAATAAACCTCTTATGAGAAATCCACAGCCAATATCATATTGAACAGACAATAGCTAGAAGCATTCCCCTTGAAAACCAGCACAAGACAAGGATGCCCTCTCTTACCACTCTTTTTCAACATAGTACTGAAAGTGCTGGTGAGAGCAATCAGGCAAGAGAAGGACATAAACCATATTGCAATAGGAAGAGAGGAAGTCAAACTGTCTCTGTTTGCAGACGACATGATCCTTTATCTTGAAACCCCATTATCTCAGCCCAAAAGTTTCTTAAACTGATAATGAACTTTAGCAAATTCTCAGGATAGAAAATCAACGTGCAAAAATCACAAGCATTCCTATACACTAACAAAAGGCAAGCTGAAAGCCAAATCATTAATGAACTCCCATTCACAATTGCTACAAAGAGAATAAAATACCTAGGAATATAGTTAACAAGGAAAATAAAGGACCTCTTCAAAGAGAAGTATAAACCACTGCTCAAGGAAATCAGAGGACACAAACAAATGGAAAAACATTCCAGCTCATAAATAGTATCAATATCATGAAAATTGCCATACTGCCCAAAGTAATTTACAGATTCAATGTTATTCCCATAAAACTACTTGTGGTATTCTTCACAGAATTAAAACAAAAACTTTAAAATTCATATGGAACCAAAAAAGAGCCTTTAGAGCTAAGACAATCCTCAGCAAAAAGAACAAAGATGAAGGAATCCTGCCTTCTGCCTTCAAACAATATTACAGGATTACAGTAATGAAAACAGCATGATACTAATACAAAAAAAAGACACATAGACTTTGGAGCAAAATAGAGATCTCAGAAATAAGACCACACATCTTTAACCATCTGATCTTCGACAACCCTGACCAAAAAACAGCAATAAGGAATGGATACTCTATTTAATAATGCCTGGAAAACTGGTTAGCCATATGCAGAAAATTGAAACTGGACTCCTTCTTTACACCTCATACAAAAATTAACTCAAGATGCATTAAAGACTTCAATGTAAAATAAAAAATTATAAAATTCCTAGAAGAAAATCTAGGCAATACCATTCAGGACATAAGCATGGCCAAAGGTTTCATGAGGAAATCACCAAAAGCAATTGCCACAAAAGTAAAAATTGACAAATGGGATCTAATTATACTAAAGAGCTTCTGCACAGCAAAAGAAACTATCATCAGAGTGAACAGACAAACTACAGAATGGAAGAAAATGTTTACAATCTATCCATCTGACAAAGGTCTACTAACCAGAATCTGCAAAGAACTTAAGCAAATTTACAAGAAAAAAACAACCTGGTTAAAAAGAGGGCAAAGGACATGAACATACACTTTTCAAAAGAAGACATTCATGTGGCCAATAATGAAAATAAGCTCAAAATCACTGATTACTGGAGAAATGCAAATCAAAACCACAATGAGATACCACCTCACACCAGTCAGAATTGCGATGATTAAAGTCAAGAAACAACAGATGCCAGTGAGGCTGTGGATAAATAGGAATATATTTACACTGTTGGTGGGAATTTAAATAATTCCAACCATTGTGGAAGATAGTATAGCAATTTTAAAGACCTAGAACCAGAAATACTATTTGACCCAGCAATCTCATTCCTGGGTATATATGCAAAGGGATATAAATCTTTCTGTTATAAAGATACATGCAACTGTATGTTCAACGCGGAACTATTCACAATAGCAAAGACATATAACCAATCCAAATGCCCATCAATGATAGACTGGATAAAGATAATGTGGTACATATACACAAAGGAATACTATGCAGTCATAAAAAGGAATGAGATCATGTCTTTGCAGTGACATAGACAGAGCTTGAAGCCATTGTCCTTAGAAGACTAACACAGGAACAGAAATCCATTTAAATACTGCATGTTCTCATTTATAAGTGGGAGCTGAAAAATGAGATCATATGGACACAAGGAGGGGAAAAATGCACACTAGGTCCTGTCATGGATACTGGGGAAGGGAGAGCATCAGGAAAAAGAGCTAATGCATGCAGAGCTTAATACCTAGGTGATGGGTTAATATGTGCAGGAACCCCCATGGCACTCATTTACTTATGTAACAAACCTCCAGGTCCTGCACATGTATCCTAGAACTTAAAATTAAATTAAACATATATATATATGTGTGTGTGTGTGTATAAATATATATATATGTTGATTTTTAAAATTAATCTTAAATGTACACAAGAGCTCACATTTATTTGAGTTTTGTTTTGTTTTGTTTTGTTTGGAGATGGAGTCTCACTCTGTCGCCGAAGCTGGAGTACAGTGGTATGGTCTTGGCTCACTGCAACACCCGCCTCCCTTGTTCAAGTGATTCTCCTGCCTCAGTCTCCCAAGCATCTGGGATTACAGGCGCATGCCACCATGCCAGACTAATTGTTTGTATTTTCAGTAGAGACAGGGTTTCACCATGTTAGTCAGGATAGTCTAAATCTCCTGACCTCGTGATCTACCCACCTTGGCCTCCCAAAGTGCTGGGATCAG
The DNA here is from genome assembly GCF_000001405.40 of Homo sapiens. NCBI lineage: Eukaryota > Metazoa > Chordata > Mammalia > Primates > Hominidae > Homo > Homo sapiens. Next base: position 19,672,578 of record NC_000024.10, read on the forward strand.
AGGCATGAGCTACTATTTTAGTTTTTAATAGCAGAAGTATTCCGCATTTTTTGTTTGAATATTGGTGATGTTTCTGTGACTAGGACAATTCCATGGAATCCTGTCTTGTTTATATCAGTTAGGCTATGGTAAAACTGGTTAAATTATACTTCCTTTTCTTTAAAGTTACATTTTTGAAATCTATTGATAAATTAAGTGAAGACTTAGTGTATGTAAATCTTTTTAAAATATAAAGGACTGTCTTGTAAGCTTTTCAAGCAACGAATGTTCTTCTCAAGGACCTGAGACACAGCTCTTTAAAATAACATCATCAAGGAAGACAAAACCCCTATCTTTCAACTTTGCAAAACCTTATTTCCAGTAGGTACCTCACTTTGAGAATATCTTAAAGATATATATATTTTTTTCTCTATATAAAGTCAGTAAGCAAACACAGATGGCGACCCTCATTCCAAGGAGAATTTATAATATATTATGTGTGACAAAAGCTTCTCTCAAGTTCTTATTTAAAATCAGTAATTATCTCAAAAATCAGTATATAACAGGTTTTCTGTGACTGGTTATTTGAAAGAATGCATTTTCTTCTACCAAATCTCATAAATGGATTGCCTCTGATGTGTATCACATTAGAATTGAATGCATATTAAAATATAAAACCTTTTTCCTTCTCTACTTTCGTAAAGAGATTTCTGGGTTGGCAGGATATTTTATGTTTAATTACCTTTTACCGAAACCAACTGCTCTTCAAAAGAAGCTACTTTCTAGATGAAGAGAAGGCTTATCTGACCTGAAGTCCCCTGCAAGGGAGACATAGATCTAGCACCATCAGGTGTCAGGGAAGACAGAAACATACAACAGGCTAAACTGTGTTTCCTGCAAATCCTTATGTCAGATGCCTCACATCTAGAACCTCAAAATGTGCCTTTTTTTTTTTTGTAGACTGTGCCTTTACTCAGAGAATTAAGGTAAAATGATGATGGCAGATGGATGTCTCCTAACCTAGTATAACTGATGTCTTTAGGAATACAGAAGAATGCGACTCTAACAACAAATAAAAAGAAGGATGTTCATATGAAGAGCCAGAAAGAAGGATGTCATCTAAAATTTGAGAAACTAAATCTGCCATCTTGTTTTTTGGGTTTCTGGCCTCCAGAACTGTAAGAGAGTATATGTTATTTAAGTCATCCCGAAGGTGATATTTTGTTATGGAAGTCTAGATAGAGTAATACAATCATATACTAGTTTTTTTTAAGAGGCTTACTATGTTTTTATACATAGATCCCACAGGAAAGGAAGCTGAGAAAGAACTATGCTTAGTTTGACAAGTCACACCATTCCCTGATGATTTCCAAGAAACTTCTCTATACCCTCCAATCACTGACTGACCTGTAGCTCCCTGATGTTTCAGAGGCAACATAAATACATTCCAAGAAAGCAATATGGAATACTGAGTATCACTTTGTCTCTTTATTTAAAAAACAGTAGCAGAAGAGAGACACTTAAGAAAAAATTACCTCAGGATCAGAAAACTTAACTCTCTTCCAGTCTTAGCAAAATCTGTTCCTAAAGTCCTAATAAATAATCAGGTATTGCCATAGGAATTGCTGGTCATTGCTTCAAAAATGTTACAAAGCTATACTGTCTTATCAGCCACCTACTCTCCTAAACTTGGACATTTGGCTGGAGTGCCCATGAGGCATCCTAAAGCAGTGGTCCCCAACCAATTTTGTGGAAGACAATTTTTCCATGAACAGATGGTGCAAGGGGGTGACTGGTTTCCAGATGAAACTGTTTCACCCCCAGGCCCTGGCAACCACTATTCTACTCTTGGTTTTTATGAGTTTTGACTTTTTTAGATCTCTCATATATATGAGATCATGCAGTATTTGTCTTTTTCTGCCTGGCTTATTTCCCTTAGCATAATGTCCTCCAAGGTTCATTTATGTTGTGGCAAATGACAGAATTTCTTTCCTTTTTAAGGCTGAATAATATTTGATTGTATGTATATACTACATTTAAAAAGTCCATTCATTTGTCAGTAGACACTTGGGTTGATTCCATATTTTTGCTATTGCAAATAATGTTGCAATGAACATGGAGGTGCAGATATCTCTTCAAAATACTGACTTCATTTCCTTTGGTTATACAGGAAGGAGTAGGATTGCTGGGTTATATATATAATAGTTCTATTTTAAATTTTTTGAGGAAACTCTATACTGTTTTCTATAATGGCTGCACAGTTTACATCCCTACCAACAGCGTATGAGGGTTCTCCTTTTTTTTTTTTTTTATGTGTTAGAGTCCCATAAAGGGCTTAGAATGCAGATCCCTGACATGTGCAATTAATAGGGTTTATGCTCCTTTGAGAATCAAATGCCGCTGCTGATCCCACAAAATGCAGAGCTCTGGGAGCAATGCAGGAAGGTCACTTATTTTTGTGCAGCCTGATTTCTAACAGGCCATAAACTGGTGGTTGGGAACCCCTGTCCTAGAGGACCACAAGCCCTCCCAAGCCATTTGAATCACCTTTGCATCTCAATCAGTTTGTCAAGAGACTTAGAGTCACCTTATTCATAGAATCTGTAATCTGTGGCCATTACTGCCATCACTAAACATCTGGTCTTCTATGAAGCCCTAAAGACCACAATTCTAGTGTGCAAGCCACAAGTATAAAAAAAGCCAAACACCAACTCAGCACAAAAGAGGCTCCAATATCTGCTGAAGTGCATGATTATCAACCTTGATCAGGTCCTTTTCAAAGAGCAACCACAGCCCAAGAAAAACTCACAATCAATGACTGTGACTGCAGCAATGTCAGGGAAATGTCTCCAATCTCAACCAACAACACAGACTTGAACTCCAGTGTCAACTCAAGAAATAAGACCTCCCAGTCTTAACACCTGGCTAACCCTAAAAGTCAGGCTTTCTACTGTTGCATCTCAGATCGACAATACTCATCTATAAATGTTTGAAGCCACTAGGGTAAGGCATAGAAAATCTTGAAGAAGAGTCAAACCAAAAGCAAAGCCACATTAACAGGCTTTGGTGTCAAAACTAGACAGAAAATGTCTATTTTCCAAATGACCCAGAGGAGTGTATTAAATATCTAAGTACACTGGACCAGATGGACAAAGCAGTGAAGGTACCCTCTGTGGTATGGAACAAAGAGTTTTCAGTGCAAACTGGTCTATCTCCTCCAACAGTCACCCAACACACAGTTCTATTCAAACAGCAGACGGTCCAGAGTATGAATGACAGTCATACTCTGCTGGAGCAGGAGCAGGAGGACATGGTCTGCAATAACAAAAATGGAAAAAAAAAACATACCTTCAGGACAAAAGGCAGAATGTCATACAAGTTAGTGATAAAAATGGGAGAGGATGAAGAAGAGAATCAGGAAGAGAATACACAACCAAAATTTCCCTTTTTTGGATGGTAGAAGCTGCCTCTGAACCACCTGCAGGTCATGGAGATATATATCAATATATAATAAACTATTATCTTGCCTTAATCAGCCTTTACCACATGAATATCTCAGGGTTCTAGAGTACACTAACTGCAGTGTTATTGCTTAGATATTCAGGAAAACCATTTTGTGTGGGAAATAACTGGTTTCCACACTCAGCACAGCTACTAGAGTGAGATACAGGATCTAAGTTATTTCTAGGCTGTTCTAAACTTATTTTAATTATGAAATCATATAACCCTACCTCTCATAGACTATCACTTTATTCTTTGCAGACACATCTATAATTATACAATGGGAGAACATTAGCTTGGTAGTCAGGAAATATAATTCTGACATTTTGTATTATTACTTTTTTCCTTCAACCTGCACAAATACTGCATGGAGCTGAGTGGCTTCCTCCATCTAAACAATTGTCTATTCCACAGCACTGTTTCTTCCATAGCCGGAGGGGAATGAGAAAGTACAATGTCAACAAAACACAGAAGTTTAGGGATGATGAGATTCTAATGGAGTTGGAAAGAAGGCTTTGGAAAAGTAAAAATGGAAACTGACTTGGTATTGACCTAGCAGGGGTGGAGGAGTTCTGATGAGAGATTAGCAACCCATGGTTTTATTTTTTACAGACATAAAGTGTTGCCATTTTATTTCCCAGTTTTGAGTAAGCCTCCACTTTCCCTCATCTGGAACATACTTTCAAATAATGAGCTGGCTTGATCCTAAATCAAAACCACATTTGACCCTCTCCCACATTGTACTATAAATTTGGTTATACTTTCTTTCTCCCAGTGGCCCCTCCTTGTTATTTATCATAAAAAAACTATTTTCTGGCTCATTTTCTCTAGCACCTGTACATCATTTATAGCATAGGCTATCTACTTATCTTCCTGACATTTTTTTTTTTCCCAAATAGCCACATAGGCCTTGTCTCAGAGGAAAAATGGTTAGAACTTTCCTGACCTGTTACCAATCACACTCTAGTAAGAAACAAAGATGCTGGAAGTATGGACAATTTTCATCAGCATTACTTGATGTCACTCAGAAAAAAAAAAAAAAAAAAAACTCTCAATCTTCCTAGGAACTACCTGGCAAGGTGCAATAACCTGGTAGGTATGGGGATTAAATGAGCTCCATGTCTGTTAGAAACTAAGATATAAACCACATATTGCTTAGGCCTACATTGAATCATCAATATCACTATTTACACTCTCTACATCTTTTCCAGTGGAAAGGTATTCATTGCAGTAACACTCATAGAACTGTTATCACATGTAACACTGCCTCCTTCTGAAACCACCTGGAGGACTTCTCTGAAGCTGTCTTCCAGTTTATGCTTAGCAGCACAGTGTGTTTTTACATTAATGTTATGTGAAAAATAAATTGCTACCTCACAATAAGTATGATGTCACTAGGCAACAAAATTTTTTCAGTTCCATTATAGTCATATGAAATTACCATGGTATATGCTGTCAGCCATTGACCTATATTTAGCCATTTGACACACGACTGTATTTCAAAGTATTAACTTCATAGGATCAGAAGGTGTTAGGCAACCACTGTGTAAGGGGTCTTGAAAAAACTTACCACTCCTGCACCACTACCAGCCCTCTGACCCAGAAGGCTCAAAGACTTATTCAAAAGTTTCCTTGAGACCCTCGTTAGCTTCTAACAGCCCAGATGTAGCATTAGGGGAAAGCTGCAGGCAAGCCAACCAGCAATAACCTGCTAGTCACAGTGGGGCCAAAATGCTTCCACTACTCCCTCTCATGGAGAACCTGAGGTAGATATGTATTCACACGGATCATACAACTAGCCCTCCCTACTGCTTATCAGATTCTGCAAAATTAGTGGCTTTGGCCTGAGAACCTAACACCTAAACTCAGGACCCTCACAGTCTTCTGTCATAGGTAGAGCTCAGCTCAACACTAGGCCAAACCTCCTGCCCAACCCTAACATTTCAAAATGCACTGATACTCTACACACAGGTCACTGGCCCAGCAATCTTTTTTCTTTTTTTTTTTTTTTTTAATTTTTTTAAATTTTTTTTTTTTATTATACTCTAAGTTTTAGGGTACATGTGCACATTGTGCAGGTTAGTTACATATGTATACATGTGCCATGCTGGTGCGCTGCACCCACTAACGTGTCATCTAGCATTAGGTATATCTCCCAATGCTCTCCCTCCCCCCTCCCCCGACCCCACCACAGTCCCCAGAGTGTGATATTCCCCTTCCTGTGTCCATGTGATCTCATTGTTCAATTCCCACCTATGAGTGAGAATATGCGGTGTTTGGTTTTTTGTTCTTGCGATAGTTTACTGAGAATGATGATTTCCAATTTCATCCATGTCCCTACAAAGGACATGAACTCATCATTTTTTATGGCTGCATAGTATTCCATGGTGTATATGTGCCACATTTTCTTAATCCAGTCTATCATTGTTGGACATTTGGGTTGGTTCCAAGTCTTTGCTATTGTGAATAGTGCCGCAATAAACATACGTGTGCATGTGTCTTTATAGCAGCATGATTTATAGTCCTTTGGGTATATACCCAGTAATGGGATGGCTGAGTCAAATGGTATTTCTAGTTCTAGATCCCTGAGGAATCGCCACACTGACTTCCACAATGGTTGAACTAGTTTACAGTCCCACCAACAGTGTAAAAGTGTTCCTATTTCTCCACATCCTCTCCAGCACCTGTTGTTTCCTGACTTTTTAATGATTGCCATTCTAACTGGTGTGAGATGATATCTCATAGTGGTTTTGATTTGCATTTCTCTGATGGCCAGTGATGATGAGCATTTCTTCATGTGTTTTTTGGCTGCATAAATGTCTTCTTTTGAGAAGTGTCTGTTCATGTCCTTCGCCCACTTTTTGATGGGGTTGTTTGTTTTTTTCTTGTAAATTTGTTTGAGTTCATTGTAGATTCTGGATATTAGCCCTTTGTCAGATGAGTAGGTTGAGAAAATTTTCTCCCATGTTGTAGGTTGCCTGTTCACTCTGATGGTAGTTTCTTTTGCTGTGCAGAAGCTCTTGAGTTTAATTAGATCCCATTTGTCAATTTTGGCTTTTGTTGCCATTGCTTTTCCAGCAACCTTTTTTCAGAACAAAGGTCACTGGCCCAGGAACATTTTTTCAGAACCACTCCACACCATCTACCAGTATCAAAGTCTTACCTGTGAGTGCCAGTAGTTGGAAAAATAAAAGCACTCCTGATAAAAACAACTTAGTAAGAAGCATGGCTGTGCCTATACTAGGCCAGGACAAAAAGTCATTTGCCTTGGGTTGGCAGTCGCCCTCGAAACCAAAGAACAGCAGTGATGCCTCTGCATGCAGGCATTTTCTTTCCTCTTCCTTGGTGGTTCTGATAAACATGGTACAATTATTTCTTGGGATGTAATTATTTCTTTACTTTGCTATTGCTCTTTCTACATAAAGTTCACAACTAATGAATAAGCATTATCCTTTGTTGAGAGTAGTGGCAATGATCATGCGAAATGGAACTTTGGCAGAGTTTCTGCAGTAAGCAGTGCATACTGAAGGGAACAATGGGGTGCCGGTACAAATTCCAGGGCTCTTCCCTTAGTGTAAAAAAAACTGTCATTCCTTTCTGAAAAGTAGCTGAGAACTTGTATAGAGCACTACTCTGCCTTAAGTTGGGGCAGGAAGTTCCTGTTTTTGACCTTCGTGGCTGGCTGTCAACTCCCAGTGTCCAGTATGTATGACAAAGAGACCTAAAACTAGGGAGCCCACACTTATGGAGTCTCAGTTATGCCCACCCTTGGTTGGCCCTGGGTACTGGGAAGTAGCGGTTGTGCAAGTTTGAAGGGCTCGAGTGCTGCCAACTGACTGCTACAGTGGGCTTCAGATAACCACTTGTTGGAAACCTTGGTGGGTACTAGCACAAGTCAGCAAGTATTTGGAGGCATCTCTGCTTCAGCAGATAGCTATTGTGATGCTAGCTGAAGGCAAAATATGCAGTGTTACCAGATGATTTCCCATCTAAGTCATGGCTGGATAGATGAGACTCTGCTCTTGATTTGATTAGGTATACATGGGCAATACCTACTGAAATATTAGTTATTCTGACTGAGAGCCTCAAGACCCTGACCTGCTATGTCCCACTGCTATTGCCCCGGCAGTCCTGCAGTACAGAGCATCTCCACTAGCTGCCTATCACCTGGTACAGTCTGCCTGGCACTTCTATTAGGCCACTTCTAATGAGAGCAGTGTGCTGCCACAAGGCTGGCCACTCCATGCTTAGATAGATGCACTGTTCCTTATACCTTGCTAGTGTACACCCTGACTAAAGCAATGAAGTGGAATAGCATGAGGACTCAGTCCTAGCAGTGCCTTTCTGCCCACTCAGGGGAAACACTCCAGCATTTAGGTTACAGCTGTCTCCCATTATAATTTTTTGAAGCCTCTGGAAGCTTGGCTTCAGTGATCCCAGATTACGTATGCAGCTCAGCGCTCCCCTGGCTGTGGCTTTACTTTCTGCCCAGCTCCAATCTGCTGCACTCACCAGGAGACACTAGAGGGGCTAAGGAATACTGGTTCATCCTTTCACCCTTCCTCAGAAGCACCCCGAGTACCACAAACTGAGACCAAGACCCTTCCTCGGTGCCTCTCTCTCTTTGGGAGATAGACTCTGCTGAAGAGGGCAGATCTCAAAGAAGGGTTGTCCTGCTTGGGGCTTGGCCAGCACATGAAAGTTCTGACCTGGGGCTGAAAGTAACCTGAGTGGACCTGGGGAGTGGAAACAGATTATTCAGCAAAGACCTCTGGAGGCCTTTGGACCTATTTATGTCAATAAGTATCATAAATATGAGTGTCTTCTGAGATAGTTCTTGTTTCTTTTTGTTTTCTTTTGTGTTTTCTGCCTCTGTGAGGATACTACATACTTGCTGAAAGTGCTTTGACCTTCTCTGAGAGACCTAGAGATTAGTTTGCCACCAGGGACAGGCTCTATTTAGTGACCTGGAGTCTTGAGTGTTTACACACTTTGTAGGATTGGGTACAGAAACAAAGAGAAGATTGTTAACCAGGTGATTCCCTATGGTGGGTAGAGAATGTCATTTACTGAAAAAGCAGTCAATATCAGGTAGAAACAAAGGTCACACTGGGGGACATTGGGGCCAGCAGTGTCTCATTTGGTCGTTTAGCAAGGGTGCATATTGCCAAGATGTGGTACGCAGGAGAGCTGCATGCGAAGAAGTTCTTATCAGCAAACAAAGGAGACCTTGTCGGCTGACTAGGATCTTCCTCCAGACAATGATGGAAAAAAGAAAAGAAAAACATGTCAGGAAGATATTTTGGAAGTGCCACATTATGCAGAGAAGGGTTCTACAGCTGGAAGCCACATGGCGAAATTCCAAACACCTAGGACGTCAAGGTGGTGGGATTCTGCTTATCTTCTGAGGCCAGAAGATACAACAGAACCAATATATTCAGGGTGTTAAGGCCATAGACATCCACAGTCCCATTCCATATGCAAGTGCCTATGATATGTGACCCTGCAATCCCCAGAACAGTGGACCTGAGCTAGGGAATTCTTATCCAGAAGACTTCACTCCAGACTGGCCTAAAAAAACAGGTCAGAACACAGCACCAAACAGCTGGCATGTCACCTGCATGGCACTTTCACTGTGTATCCATGGAGAAGTTGGCTGGAAGGTATCCCAGACAGAGTCCTATATCTGAAACCAAAAGCATTTGACATCAGAGACTCCAGGCTGTTTCCTATACAGGCATTGATTAAATGCATTTTTGCTTGACTTCCAAAATCCCACAATTTAAAAAATGCTCAGAGTTTGGGGCCCACGGTCCTTGAAGCTTTCTGGAACCCTGGAGAGATCCCAGGTCAGCACTTGCCCATCACTCTTCTAGGTATCATATTGATTTTCTCGCAGCTGCCAGTGCCCTAGAGGGTCTCTATGCGGTTCTGTTGCCCTTCTTCAGAACTCCACAGAACTCCTACCTCATCAAACACTGCCCTACAGCACTTCTCATGGAAAGTTCTGATGGAAAAGAAAAACTCAACATATGGTTATGCTTGGGCTGGGCCTTGTTAAGGATGGTAATTCTGCTTCTACCTGTGCTTAAGCAGGGAAGACACTGACTTCCTGGTGGGGACTGTTAAGCAAGGGAAAAGGATGGAGGGGCAGAAGCCTGAAGCAAAACATGGTTGACTGGGGTAGCTTCTTTATGGACATGGCCAAAGCACTGCTCCTTCTGACTTGATCCAAATGCTCTCCCATCACTACCCCTACCTTCTTCCTTGTTCTCCTCCCTCTTGGGCCAAGGCCAGTCCCAGAAGTGCCATGCAAATTCCAGGAATAAGACTGCTCTAGCAGACTGTGATCACTACTATGTCTAATCCAGAGACTCACTAAGTCAGCTGAGGATTGGTTTCTGAGATCCTAAGGCAGATGCCACACTCATGTATTTGTGGCAGGGGGTTCCAAACACCAGCGGCCAACACCATAGCCCAGTTAAGCTCCTGGATGTTGTTTCTCTCTGACCCCAACTTGATCCACCCACCCAGAAAGGAGAGTCCTCCTACAGTCTTTGTTCTGCTAACCCCTCCCTGTTTTTCTTGCTCAATTTTCCCAGTGATAACATCAAGGGATATGACTTTGCGGTGGGCATCCCCGGTGGAAGAAGACAGAGCTACTGAGGGAGAAACTGGTGAAGAGGGCAGCTCTCATATCACAATGGTCAGCTTTGGTCTCGTTGCTCCTTTCCTTTGTATCTTCTCTCTACCTCTTCTCTCAGAAGAGGGATCATCATCCTGAAGGGGAGGAGGGCAAGGGAACTCCCATGGAAAGGAGTATCCAAGAAGAGAATTATATCTAGGTGATGCCACTTAGCAACATATTATCAACAGCCAGCAGATGCTGGGTAAAGCTTGTGGGGTATCAAAAGCAGAAGTATAATGCTTAAGACCTGTTGTTTACACATTAAAAAAAAACGTGTAAATATCTGAATTTGGCAATGTATCTGTGACGGGTAAAAAAGAATCATTTTGGGGGATTAAGGATCTGGAAGCTGGTCAGAGAAAAAGATATTTTGGGAGGCAGTAACAGTCTCTATTATGCAGGGTAGCATGAAAGGAGACATTCATAGTAGGAAACTGTACACAGGATTAAGGTGCAGAGATTACTATTCAGATGCGGAAAAGTAGAAGGTGATTTCTGGGGGATAGGAGGTTCAAACAGGAAGAATGTATACATGAGTTGCTCAACAGGCCTACCAGGAATTCAGTTCCAAAAGCTCTGTGTTAAGTGCTGGTTTGGGGTCTTATAAGCAAAAGTTATATTTTATCTACAGCAGATGCTGAGCAAAGTTTTTCAGTTGCACACTAGGAAAATATAATGACTAGATTTTGTTTATTTGTGCTATCTTAAATATATAACTTGTATTAAAATTGGACTCTTGTGCTAGTGGGGTTTGAACAACCAGCTCACAATTTGCATTAAAAAATTAATGACAACTTAGGGCCAGTACACAAAGACTATTTTAACTCATTTACATATCAATTATTTATAAGTAAGATTTTAGCAATAACAGCAGAACCACAGGATGCTGTTCAGGACTGGGAGGAAAAAACAAAGGCAACACTAGATAGGGCTGGCACTCAGAAAAACAAAAACAAACAAACAAAAACCAAAAAAAAACAGTAGTTATGGCTTGGATGGGGATAAGATGCAATTTTACCATATGTATTTAATTCAGAGGTAGCAAAAGCATATGCTTAACAGATGTGGAAAGCTTTAGACAAGAGGTAAAATTATTTGTGGGGGGAACCACTGAAAGGCAAGGAAAACTTGCATTTACCTTGCAGATAATTATCACCACCAAAGAAAACTGCGAGAGAAACAATGCCCACAGTTTCTAAAGGAAAAAGGAAACAAATTTCCAAATGAAATACAAACTTTGTTAGGTCTTCTTAAGAAATCTGCTGTCATGACAAAGACGGTTTGCGATATTTAGTTATATTCTTTGACTGATCTCTTAGACAAGGAGTCACAAAATGTTGGCCTGCTGCCACTTCTCCCACCAGCTATTTTTAATGCCTAAGAAATAAAGAATATTTTCTAGTTTAAAATGGTTGGGGGGAAAAAAAAGCAAAAAAATTCATTTCCAACACATAATCATTTATTTTCATTACATTCAAATTACATGGTCATAAATAAAATTATATTGGAATCATATTGGATTATATATCTCCAATTATATATGGAGAGTTGAGTAGTCCCCACAGTTATAACTCAAAAGTCTTTCAAAGGTCATATGTATTCAAAGTCCTATGTATCACATAGGGCTTCATTTAATCTCTTCCTTCTAAATACTGTACAGCAATCACACACTCACACATACACAAACACACACACTGGATGAAAAATGTCAAATGTGCTGCAGAGGGAGTTATTTTGTTATTAGATGGCAAATCTATATGTTTATTGTGTAATTCCATGACATAATAGTATTTATATTATTTATATTCTTTTTTTTCTTTCTTTTTTTTTTTTTTTTTTTTTTTTTTAGACGGAGTCTCACTCTGTCATCAGTCTGAAGGGCAGCGGCAGCAATCTGGGCTTATTGCAACTTCTGCCTCCCTTATTGGTGTATAAGAATGCTTGTGATTTTTGCACATTGATTTTGTATCCTGAGGCTTTGGAAGTTGCTTATCAGCTTAGGGAGATTTTGGGCTGAGATGATGGGGTCTTCTAAATATACAATCATGTCATCTGCAAACAAAGACAATTTGACTTTTTTTCTATGTGAATATGCTTTATTTCTTTGTCTTGTCGGATTGCCCTGATTTCAAGCAATTCTCCTGCCTCAGCCTCCCAAGCATCTGGGATGACAAGCACCCAAGGAAAATTTTTTTATTTTTAATTTTTATACTAAGTTCTGGGGTACATGTGCAGAATGTGCAGTTTTGTTACATAGGTATACACGTGCCATGGTCATCTGCTGCACCCATCAATTTGTCATCTACATTAGGTTTTTCTCCTAATGCTCTCCCTCCCCCAGCCCACCATGTCCTGACAGGCCTGGTGTGTGATGTTCCCCTCCCTGTGTCCATGTATTCTCATTGTTCAAATCCCAGTTATGCCTGAGAACATTAAGTGTTTGGTTATCTGTTCTTGTGTTAGTTTGCTGAGAATGATGGTTTCCAGCTTCATCCATGTCCCTGCAAAGGACATGAACTCATCCTTTTTTATGGATGCATAGTATTCCATGGTGTAAATCAACTATCATTGATGGGCATTTGGGTTGATTCCCCATCTTTGCTATTGTGAACAGTGCCACAATAAACAAACATGTGCATGTTTCTTTTTATAGTAGAATGATTTATAATACTTTGGATATATACCCAGTAATGGGATTGCTGGGTCAAATGTTATTTCTGGTTCTGGATCCTTAGGGAATCACCATAGTCTTCCACAATGGTTGAACTAATTTACACTCCCACCAACAGTGTAAAAGTGTCCTTATTTCTCCATATCCTCTCCAGCTCCTGTTGTTTCCTGGCTTTTCAATGACTGTGATTCTAACTGACATGAGATGGTATCTCATTGTGGTATTGATTTGAATTTCTCTACTGACCAGTGATGAGCTTTTTTTCATGTTTGTTGGCTGCATAAATGTTTTCTTTTGATAAGTGTCTGTTTATATCCTTCACCAACTCGATAGAGTTTTTCTGTTTTGTAAATGTGGGTAAGTTCTTTGTAGATTCTGGATATTAGACCTTTGTCAGATGGATAGATTGCAAAAATTTTCTCCCATTGTGTAGTGTGCCTTTTCACTCTGATGATAGTTTATTTTGCTATGCAGAAGATCTTCAGTTTAATTAGATCCCATCTGTCAATTTTGGCTTTTGTTGCCATTGCTTTTGGTGTTCTAATCATGAAGTCTTTGCCCATGCCAATGTCCTGAATGGTACTGCTTAGGTTTTCTTCTAGGATTTTTATGGTTTCAGGTCTTATGTAAGTCTTTAATCCATCTTGAATTAATTTTTTATAAGGTGTAAGAAAGGGGTCCAGTTTCACTTTTCTGCATATAGCTAACCAGTTTTCCCAACGACATTTATTAAATAGGAAATTCGTTCCCCATTGCTTGTTTTTGTCAAGTTTTTCAAATATCAGATGGCTGTAGATGTGTGGCATTATTTCTGAGGCCTCTGTTCTGTTACATTGTTCTATGTATGTTTTGGTACCAGTACCATGCTGTTTTTGATACTGTAACCTTGTAGTGTAGTTTGAGGTCAGGTAGTGTCATGACTCCAGCTTTGTTTTTTTTGCTTAGGATTGTTTTGGCCATATGGGCTCTTTTTTTGGTTCCATATGAATTTTAAAGTAGCTTTTTCTAATTATGTGAAAAAAAAGTTAATGGTAGCTTGATGGAATAGCATTGAATCTATAAATTACTTTGGAAAGTATGGCCATTTTCATGATATTGATTCTTCCAATCCATGAGCAGGGGATGTTTTTCCATTTATTTGTGTCCTCCCTTATTTCATTGAGCAGTGGTGTGTAGTCCTCCTTGAATAGGTCATTCACATCACTTGAAAGTTGTATTCCTAGGTATTTTATTCTCTTTGTAGCAACTGTAAATGGGAGTTCACTCATGATTTGGCTATTATTGGTGTATACGAATGCTTGTGATTTTTGCACATTGATTTTGTATCCTGACACTTTGATAAAGTTGCTTATCAGCTTAAGGAGATTTTGGGCTGAGATGATGGGGTTTTCTAAATATACAATCATGTCATCTGCAAGCAGAGACAATTTGACTTCCTCTCTTACAATTTTAATATCCTTTCTTTCTTTCTCTTGCCTGACTGCACTGGCCAGAACTTCCAATACTATGTTGTCTTATGCTTTGTCTTATGCCAGTTTTCAAAGGGAATGCTTCCAGTTATTGTCCATTCTGTATAATATTGGCTGTAAGTTTGTCATAAAATAGCCCTTATTATTTTGAGATACTTTCCATCAATACTTAGTTTATTGAGAGTTTTTAGCATGAAGGGGCATTGAATTTTATTGGACAGTTCTGCATCTATGGAGATAAACATGTGGCTTTTGTCATTGATTCTGTTTATGTGATGGATTACATTTATTGATTTCTGTATGTTTGAACTAGCTTTGCATCCAGATATGAAGCTGACTCGATCATGTTGGGTAGCTTTTTGATGTCCTGTTGGATTCAGTTTGCCAGTATTTTATTGAGAATTTTTGCATCGATGTTCATCAGGGATACTGGCTTAAACTTTTCTTTTTGTGTCTCTGCCAAGTTTTTGTATCATGATGATGCTGGCCTCATAAAATGAGTTAGAGGGGAGTCCCTCTTTTTCTATTGTTTGGAATAATTTCAGAAGGACTGGTACCAGCTCCTCTTGTACCTCTGGTAGAATTCAACTGTTAATTTATCTTGTCCTGGACTTTTTTTGGTTGGGAGGCTATTAATTACTGCCTCAATTTCAGAACTCATTACTGGACTATTCAGGGATTCAACTTCTTCCTGGTTCAGACTCAGGGTGTATGTGTCCCAGAATTTGTCAATTTCTTCTAGATTTTTTAGTTTATTGGCATAGAGGTATTTATAGTATTCTCTCATGGTAGTTTGTATTTCTGTGGGATCAGTGATGATATCCCCTATATCATTTTTTATTGCATCTATTTGATTCTTTTCTCTTTTCTTCTTTATTAGTCTGGCCACAGGTCTATCTATTTTGTTGATCTTTTCAAAAAACAAGCTCTTGGATTCCCAGAGATACTGGTATATTGTGTCCTTGTTGTCATTAGTTTCAAAGAACATGTTTATTTCTGCCTTCATTTTGTTACTTACACAGTAATCATTTAGGAGCAGGTTGTTCAGTTTCCAGGTAGTTGTGCAGTTTTGAATGAGTTTCTTAATCCTGAGTTCTAATTTGATTGCACTGTGGTCTGAGAGACTGTTTGTTATGAATTCAGTTCTTTTGCATTTGCTGAGGAGTGCTTTACTTCCAATTACGTGGCCAATTTTAGAGTAAGTACGATGTGGTGCTGAGAAGAATGTACATTGTTGATACGGGGTGGGGAGTTCTGTAGACGTCTATTAGGTCCACTTGGTCCAGAGCTGAGTTCAAGACCTGAATAATCTTGTTAATTTTCTGTCTTGCTGATGTGTCTAATATTGACAGTGGGGTGTTAAAATCTTGCACTATTATTGTGTGGGAATCATTTTTGTAGGTCTCTAAGAACTTGCTTTATGAATCTGGGTGCTCCTGTATTGGGTGCATATATATTTAAGATAGTTATTCTTGTTGCATTGATCCCTTTACCATTATGGAATGTCTTTGTCTCTTTTAATCTTTGTTGGTTTAATGTCTGTTTTGTCAGACTAGGATTTTTTTGGCTTTCCATTTCTTGATAAATATTCTTCCATCTCTTTATTTTGAGCCTATGTGTGTCTCTGCGTGCTTTATTCTCCTGAATAAAGCACAACGATGCATCTTGACTCCTTATCCAATTTGCCAGTTGGTGTCTATTAATTGGGACATTCAGCGGTTTACATTTAAGGTTTATACTGTTATGTGTGAATTTGATTCTGTCATTATGATGCTAGATGGCTATTTTGACCATTAGTTGACACAGTTTCTTCATAGTGTTGATGGGCTTTACAATTTGGTCTGTTTTTGCACTGGCTGGTACCAGTTGTTCCTTTCCATGTTTAGTGTTTCCTTCTGGAGATCTTGTAGGGCAGGCCTGGTAGTGACAAAATCTCGCATTTACTTGTCTGTAAGGGATTTTATGTCTCCTTTGCTTACGAAGATTAGTTTGGTGGGATATGACACTCTGGGTTGAAAATTATTTTCTTTACGAACGTTGAATATTGGCCCCCACTCTTTTCTGGCTTGTAGGGTTTCTGCAGAGAGATCCACTGTTAGTTTGAAGTGTTTCCCTTTGCGGAGTATCTTTGTGGTGTTCTCTATATTTTCTGAATTTGAATGTTGGCCTGTCTTGCTAGTCTGGGGAAGTTCTCCTAGATAATATATTGAAGAGTGTTTTCCAACTTTGTTCCATTTTTCCTGTCACTTACAGGTACACCAATCAAACGTAGTTTGGGTCTTTTCAGATAGTCCCATATTTCTTGGAGGCTTTGTTCATTCCTTTTTTCTTTTTTCTCTAGTATTTTCTTCACACTATTTCATTAAGTTGATCTTAAATCTCTGATATCCTTTCTTCCACTTGATCTATTCGGCTATTTATACTTCTGTATGCTTCGTGAACTTCTCCTACTGTGTTTTTCAGCTTCATCAGGTCATTTATGTTCTTCTCTAAACTGGATATTCTAGTTAGCAATTCCTCTTTTTTCAAGGTTCTTAGCTTCCTTGCACTGGGTTAGAACATGCTCCTTTAGCTTGGAGGAGTTTGTTCTCACCCACCTTCTGAAGCCTTCTTCTGTCAATTCATCAGACTTGTACTCTATCCAGTTTTGTCCCCTTGCTGGTGAGGAGTTGTGATCCTTTGGAGGACAAGAGGTGTTCCAGTTTTTGGAATTTTCAGACTTTTTTTCCTGGTTTCTCCTCATCTTCATGGATTTATCTACCTTTGGCCTTTGATGTTGGTGGCCTTTGAATGGGGCTTCTGAGTGAATGTCCTTTTTGTTGATGTTGATGCTATTCCTGTTTCTTAGTTTTCATTCCAACAATCAGGCCACTCTGCTGCAGGTCTGCTGGAGTTTGTTAGAGGTCTACTGCATACCCTGTTTGCATGGCTATCACTAGCAGAGGCTGCAGAACAGCATAGATTGCTGCCTGTTCCTTCCTCTGGAAGCTTCCTCCCAGAGGGGCACCCACCAGATGCCAGCCAGAGCTCTCCTGCATGAGGGGTCTGTCGACCTCTGCTGGGAGGTGTCTCCCAGTCAGGAAACATGGGATTCATGGACCCACTTGAGAAGGCAGTCTTACCCTTGGCAGAGCTCAAATGCTGTGCTGAGAGATCTGTTGCTTTCTTCAGATCTTCTGCTGAAGCTGTGCCCACAGTTGCCCCTTCCCCCGGGTGCTTGTCTCATGAGATGGGAGTTTTATCTCTAAGACCCTGACTGGCACTGCTGCCTTTTTTTTTTTCAGAGATGCCCTGCCCAGAGAGGAATGTATAGAGGCAGTCTGGCTATAGTGGCTTTGCTGAGTTGTAGAGGGCTCTGCTTAGTTGAAACTTACCCATGGCTTTGTTTACACTGTGAGGGGAAAACCACCTACTCAAGCCTTAGTAATGGCGGATACCCCTCCCGCTCCAAGCTTAAGCATCCCAGGTCCACTTCATACTGCTGTGCTAGCAAGAAGAATTTGAAGCCAGTAAAGCATAGCTTTTTAGGCTCAGTGGGGATGCGATCCACTGAGCTAGACCACTTGGCTCCCTGTCTTCAGCTGCCTTTCTAGGAGAGTGAAAGGTTCTGACTTGCTGGCATTCCAGGAGCCACTGGGGTATGACAAAAAACTCCTGCAGCTAGCTCAGTGCCTACCCAAATTGCCGCCCAGTTTTGTGCTGGAATCCCAGGGGCACAGTGTTCAAGGCACAATCCCTCATGTTTTCCCTTGGTTAGCGGAGGGAGATCCCTGACCCATTTTGCTTCCTGGGTGAAGTGATGCCCCACCCTGCTTTGGCTTGCCCTCCATGGGCTACACCCACTGCCTAACCAGTGCCAGTGAGATGAGCTGGATACTTCAGTTGGAAATGCAGAAATCACTCACCTTCTAGGTTGATCTTGTGGGGAGCTGCAGACCAAAGCTGTTCCTATTCGGCCATCTTGTCAGCCTCAGTCTAATTTTATATTTTTAGTAGAGACGGGGTTTCACCCTGTTGGCCAGGTTGGTCTCAAACTCCTGACCATCTGATCCAACCACCTTGGCCTCCCAAAGTCCTGGGATTACAAGTGTGAGTCATGGTGATAGAGGGTGACAGTAGTCAGATAAAAGGTCACCCACTCATATCCCATCACAACAAAATGAATTCTGCTCTCATTTACAGTCTCTTGTCTCTCTGTGGGAATCATGGGATTCCAGTACGAGGCTGTAAAATGCTGGTAGTGTCCAAGATAGGCCTGGCAAAGTCAGTTTCTTTGGACCCAGTATCAGCTAGAAGAACTATGTCAAACCAACTCAACTGTGATCTCAGAGGCAAAATTATCAGCTCATAGACCTAACAAAAGAAGACTTTAACCAAAATCACTGTGTGAGATTCAGTGTTGTTTTGCTCCTCCAAATGCACAAACAACAACACAAGCTATACAGGTACAAATGGTACCAACAAAGCAAATCAGTAACTGACATAATCAATAACTGACATAAAATAATGGAGATCTATGAAATTCCTGAGAAAGAATTCAAAACGAGTCTTAAAAAGCTCCACGCATGAGAAAAAATACAAATAGACAATAAAAGGTTATTAGGGGCCGGGAGTGATGGCTTACACCTCTAATGCCAGTACTTTGGGATGTTAAGGCAGGCAGATCACCAGAGGTCAGGAATTCGAGACCAGCCTGGCCAACATGGTGAAATCCCATCTCTACTCAGAAGAAACAAACAAAAAAGCCCAAAAAATTAGCCAGGAATGGTGGCAAACATCTGTAGTCCCAGCTACTCGGGAGGCTGAGGCAGGAGAATCACTTGAACCTAGGAGGTGGAGGTTGCAGCGATGCAGTCAGCCGAGGTTGCACCACTGCATTACAGCATGGACGACAGAGACACGTCTCAAAAAAAAAAAAAAAAAAAAAAAAAAAAAAAAAAAAAAAAAAAGTGTATTAAGGAAAGAATGCGTGAGTACAATTTAAAAATTAAGAAACAGATTTTTTTTAAAAAAAAAAACCAGGACCCCTACAGCTACATAAATGCAAAGAAATAATTTTAAATATTTACAATTTAATATTAGATTTAAAATTTCAATAGTTACAACAGCATAGCTGATCATGCAGAAGAAAGAACTGACAAGCTCAAATAGCAGTCAGATGAAAATTAGCCAATTAGAGGAACAACAACAACAAATGATTGGGAAAAAAAAAAAGAGGAAAAGGTTAAAAGTGATCTGTGGCACCACATCCATGCATAAATATAACAATTATGAGTGTACCCAAAAGAGGAGAGAAAGAAGACCAGGAAGCTTATTTAAATATGTACTGTACAAACACTTCCCGAATTCTAGGCGGGATATGAACTCAAGAAATTCAAAATGCCACAATTAGGATCAATTTAAAAGAGAATACTCCAAGACACATTAATCAAATTGTAAATATCAAAGATGAAAAGAATCTTGAAAGCAGCAAGAGGATAAACTCAAAGGGGTCTTCTAGGTAAGGCTATCAGGAAACTTCTTAACAAAATACTTGCAAGTGAGTAGAAAGTGGGATGACATGTTGAAAGTGCTAAAATAAAATTTAAAAAAGCTTATTAAAAATACTCTAAACTGCAAAGCTGTATTTCAGCAATAAAAAAACAGGTAAGTACATTTTAACACAAACAAAATTTGAGAATTTGTCACCATCAGACAAGACTTAACAAGAAATGTCTAAAGAGTTTTTCCATGTGAAACAAGAGCATGATAAATAATAATAACAAAACATATGGCTCTCCAGTAAAGTTAAATGAACAGTCAATACAGTATTCTCTCCTACTCTAAAAGTAATGTTTAAATTACTATTAAAATTAGTATACAAATATAAATAAGAGATGTATTAATAACAACTATACTATACAGAACTCCTTAGTGGATACCCAATACAAATAGTTGCATAGTATAATATTAATAACATAAAAGGTGGGAAATGAAAAGGTAGAGTCTTCATATAGTAATTAACGTACTATCAGCTTAAATTAGAATACAAGATGTTTTACATAAGAACCATGCTAGGTAATAGAAAAAAAATCTCTAGTAGTTACACAAGAGACAAAAATATACCACTGATAAAACACAACTAATCAAAAACAAAGACTGAAAGTGTAGAAGAGAACAAAACAGTCAGTCAAAAATTAACAAAATGCAAGTAGTAAGTTGTTAACTACATGGATTCTTCAATCAAAAGACACAGAAAGTCAAGTTAGATTAAAAAAAAAAGAACAAAAAATATTAAACAATATGGCGCCACTAACGAGACACTCACATTAGACTTAACAACACACAGAGACTGAGAGTAAAGAGATTAAAAAAGCTATTCCAAGCAAATGTTGATTTGCTTGGAATCAACATTAAAATTAAATGTTTAAAAAAGCTATTTTTTAAAAAAGCTGATTAAAAAAGCTATTCCAAGCAAAAGAGGAGATGTTGCTATGCTCATATCAGAAAAAAAGGCTTCCAGTCAAAACCTGTAAAGAGCGTGGGGGAATATTATTATGATAATAGGGTCAGTTAATTAAAATTCTGTACCAATTGTAAAAATGCACACTCCCTTCATCAGCATACCTATATATATAACGATGTAATAGATTGGAAAGATTCTACGAACTTCCATTTAGTAACAATGGGACATTTCAATAGAACCAACAGTTCTATTGAATTAGTGAATTAGAACAACACTTTAGACTAGATATACCTACCAGATAATAGAATTTTCCCTTCAACAGCAGAACATATAAAATATGAAACAAATGAAGAGTCTTCATGAGGTAATAAAATTAAGGTACTATCAGCTTAAATTAGAACATTTTAACTGTAAAAGGTAAGTCTTATGAGATGAATACTATAAAACCACATCAGAATTTAAAGAATGAAGAAAAAGCAGTTCCAAGAGGGAAGTTTATAGCAATAAATACCTACATCCAAAAAGATATCAAATAGATAAGTTACTGTTACATCTCAAGAATATAAAAAAGAAAAACCAAAACAACCGAAAATCAGTAGAAGGAAGAAAGTAAGAAAGCACAGAAATACACAAATAGGGAGCAGAAAGACAACAGAAAAGATCAATGCAACTAAGCAACTAAGCATTGGTTCACTGAGATGACAAAACAGCGTACGTTAGCCAGACTAACTTAAAAAGAAGAAAAAAGATGTCTCGAACACAATTCAAAAGAGAAGACATTACAATTGATACCACAAAAACACAAAGAATCGTAAGAGACTACTATGAACAATTATATGCTCCTACATTGGAAAATCCTCAAGAAATGGGTAATTGCATAGACAAGCAAAATCTACCAACTAAATCAGAAAAAAATAGAAAATCTGAACAGATCATATATACATAAGGAGACAGAATTAGCAATACAAGTCTTCCACTAAAGCAAAGCCTGGTGACTTCATGAGTAAATTTTACCAAACATTTAATGAGGACCTAACGTTATCAGTAGGTCTTTGTTCTTAGAGCTCCCAAGATGGAGGTGGGCCACGCCCAAGATGGAGGCAAGGTTTTTGTTCTCTCATCTGGGGTTCTTGGCCTCACAGATTCCAAGGAATGGAACTTGGGCCATGCGGTGGGTGTTATAGCTCTATTAGAAGCTGTGGGTCACGGAAGAGAATCGTGGGACCCTGCGACTAGTGTTCAGTTTGAGTAGGACGAACCCGGGCACTTAGCCATGCAGGAACAATGGTGAGCCTTTAGCCTAATCAGGAGCAGCAATGGGTGCCTCACAGCAGAAACCCTGCTGGATCTGGAGGGGTGGGAGTCAACGGTGGGTCACAGCATCCAGCAGTGCTGGACTGGATGGTAAGTGAAAGCTAAGCTTGAGCCTGAACAAACACCGACCAGAAGAGTGTGCAGTTACAAGATTTAATAAGAGTGAAAACAGAGCTCTCACACAATGGGAGGGGACCCAAAAGGGGTCGCCCATTGGATATAAACCAATGCCTGGGTTTATATCCCAATCACTGTCCCTCCCCCTGTGCTCTCAGGTGATATATGATTTGACTATTTCTTTGTCTCCTGCTTTTAGCCTAATTTGTATTTTAGTGAGCCCTCTTTACTACCTGACTGGTTGGGTGTGAGCTGAGTTACAAGCCCCATGTTTAAAGGTAGGTGCAGTCAACTTCCCCAGCTAGGCTTAGGAATTCTTAGTCAGCCTAGGAAATCCAGCTAGTCTGGTCTCTCACTAAGACCAATCTTTTTCAAGGTTTTCCAAAAAAACTGAAGGAAGACTTCCTCACTGATTTTATAAGGCTAGATACCAGTCTGATATAAAGGGCAAAGAAGGACACTACAAGAAAAGAAAATTGTAGGCCAGTATCTCTGATAAAGTTTGATGTAAACATCCTCAAGAACACACTAGAAAACTGAATTCAACAGCACACCGATAGGGTCATTCACCATGATCAAGTAGGATTCATCTCTGGGATGCAAACAGTGGTTCAACATATGCAAAGAAAAAATCTGATACGCCATTTTAACATAATGAAGAACAAAAAAACCATACAGTCATTTCATTATAGGTAAAGAAAGCATTTCAACAAATACCTCATACTTTCAAAATATAAATTCTCAATAAATGAGGAACAAAAGAATACAAAACCCACAGCTTACTCATCATAATACTCAACAGTGAAACAAGGTTTTTTTTCTGGAAGATCAACAACAAAACAAAGATACCCACTCTCATCACTTGTATTCTAATGTATTGAATAGAAGTGGTGGTACTGTGTTGAACACCTTACTGGAAGATCTAATCACAGCAATTGGACACTTACTATAACCACCACCAACAAAAGTAAGGAATAGAAGACATTCAGGTAGAAAAGGAAAAATTAAAATAGTCTCTGTCAATGACATAATCTGGTGTACAGAAATCCCTAAGGCCTCCACTAAACAACTGTTGGAACTGATAAGTGAATGCAGTAAAGTTGCAGCGTTCAAAATCTATACATAAAAATCAGCAGCATTTTTGCACAGTAATAATTATTTTTTTAAAAAGAAACAACTTGAATAATAGCATCATCTTAAAAAATACCTAGCAGTACATTTAACCAAGAAGGTGAAAAATCTGCATACTGAAAACTATAAAACATTGAAGAGACGTGGTAGATGATACAAATATACAACATACCCCTTTTGTGGTCAGGAAAAAGTATGTTAAAATGTCCATACTATCAGCTAGGCGCAGTGGCTCACACTTGTAATCCCAGCACTTTGGGAAGCTGAGGTGGGCAGATCACAAGGTCAGGAGTTCAAGACCAGCTTGGCCAACATGATGAAACTCCATCTCTACTAAAAATACAAAAATTACGTATGGTGGCAGGCACCTTTAATCCCTACTTGGGACGCTAAGGCAGGAGAATGGCAAAGGCAGAGGTTGCAGTGAGCCGTGATTGCATCACAGCACTCTAGACTGGGCAACAAGAGCGAACTCCATGATAAAAAAAAAAAAAAGAAAAAAGAAAAATTTCTATACTATCCCGAGAGGTCTTCAGACACAATGCTACCCCTATCAAAATTCCAAATGTCTTTATTCACAGAAATAGAATAAAATGAACCCCAAATTTGTATGTAATAAAAGACCTCAAATAGTAAAAACGATCATGAGCAAAAACAACAAAGCTGGAGGAATCACACCACCTGATTTCAAAAATGATTACAAAGGAACGGTTAACTAAACCTCATGGTATTAGTATGACACAGACACATGTAGAGCCCAGAAATAAACCCATGCATTTGTGATGGAGTGATTTTTGACAGATGTCAAGACCATAAAATGAGAAAAGCACAGTCTCTTTAAGAAACTGTGTTGGAAGAACTTGATACCCACGGGCAGACGACTAGCACTGGACTCTTAACTCATACCATATAGGAAAATCAATGGAACATGGATTAAAGACTTTTAAAGTTAAGACATGAAACCGTGAAAGCACTGAAGGAAAACAGAGAAGAAATGCTCCACAACAATTGGTCTGGGAAAGCATTTCTTGGACATGACCTCAAAGCACAGAGAACAAAAGCAAAAATAAACAAAATGGCTTCTGCACAGTAAAGAAAACAACAGGCTAAAGAGACCACCCAACAACTGAAAGAAAATGTTTCCAAGCCATACATCTGATATGAGGCTAGTATCCAAAATGTATAAAAAACTGAAACATCTTTAATGCCAAGAAAATAAGCCAATCAACATATGGGCAAAGGACAAAAAGGGACACTTCTCCAAAAAGCCATAGGAAAGGCAACTGGTATATGACAAAATGCTCATTGTAACTAATTGTTACAAAAATGCAAGTCAGAACTACAGTGAGTTATTACTGTTCATACCGGATAGAATGGTTATTATAAAAAAGACAAAGGATAAGAAGTGTTGGTGAAAGTGTGGAGCAAAGGGAACTCTTGTGTGCTATTTGTGGGAATGGAAGTTAATACAGTCACTACGAAAAACAGCATTAAATTTCCTAAAAATTAAAAATAGAATTACCAAATATTTCAGCAATGCCATTTCTGGGTACATGTGAAAACAATGAAATTGGTTATGTTGGAGATATATCTGTACTCCCATATTCATTGCTGCACTATTCACAGTAGCTAAGATATGGAGGCTCCCATAAGTGTCCACCGTTAGAAAATGATTCATGTGATGGTGGACATTTATGTATTCCTAACAATAATGGAATAATATTATATACTAGTATTTGCAATGAAATTATTAGTTATCCTTAAAACAGGGGGCAGATTCAGATTCTCTCATTTGGGACAAGAATAAACCTGGAGGATATTATGTTAAGTGAAATAAGCCAGACACAGAAAAACAAATATCACAGTATCTCACTTATACATGAAATCTAAAGTTCAACTCATATAAGTAAAGAGCTGATGGTTACCAGAAGGCAAAGCGTGGGTGGAGGGGGAGTATGAAAAAAGAAATACGTTGATCAATGTGGGATAAAGTTTTAAACAGGTGCAGTTAGTTTTAGTAACCTATTGTGCAAAATGGGAATTGTAATAAATAAGACATTGTAAATAAAGGAATGCAAGTATAGTAGGTAGGGCAAACAAAAGAAAAACGGAAAGAAATAAAAGAGAAGCACTGAAAATAAAAAAGGAGACCACCAATTAAGCACTCATATTTTCAATTCATAGGAAAGCTGTCGTTAGAAAAAGCAGAAAATTTGTATCTCATCAAAGCAGAATTTATGCACAAAAATAAAAAATGAGTATCAGCATGGAACTAAAGTATGTTTACAAATAGCCGATTTGGTGGCCAAGGAGGCATGGCAATTTACCAATATTGAATCTATTACAGTGTGTTTGATTAAAGCAGCTTCAGAACTGTGTCCCAAGAAAATAATGACAATTAATGTTTTGGAAAAAACAGCTGATTGAAGAGTTGAAAACATTGAGAAATGCAATGAAAATAAAATAAATAATGGCAAATTAATTTCCTTCACTTTTAAGTTGACAGACATTACTAATATTGCTCATTTTTGCATTTGGGAAGCCATTTTAAAGCTGGAAGTAACTATGGAATTAGCCTTGTATGCTTTGTATGAAACAGTAATAGGCAACATGCTACACCATTTGGGCTGTTATAAAAACTTAACCTTAGACTAGGTGGCCTATAAGCAAAAGATATTTATTTCTCACAGTTCTGGATGCTGCATTTATTTCTCATAGCTCCAACTGTTGACAACTGCAAAGAGGTGATAAACTTGGTATCTGTGGAGTGTGAACCTCCTGGTTCACAGTGGATGTCACTGTGTTCTCACACAGTGGAAGGGACAGGGAACTCTCTGGGGTGTCTTTATAAGGGTGCAAATTCCATTCACAAGGGCTCTGCCCTTATGACCTCACCACCTCCCAATAGTCCCACCACCAGATGCCATCAAATTAAGCATTAGCCTTCAACATATGAATTTTGGGGGTACATATTTAATTTATAGCAGCTGATAATATTTTTAAAGAAGCTGAGAGAACACAAATTCAGTACTGCACTATTCACAGTAGCTAAAATATGGAGGCTCCCATAAGTGTCCACCGTTAGAATCTGAAGTCGTATATGCTAAGATGAGCTAGAAATTGTAGCAAAAAACAAAAACAAAAACAAAAACAAAACACAAAAAACAATCAAAACAAAATAGTTTACAAGCCATGTGAAAATATGTGGTGTTTAAAGCCAATAGTTGTTCACTGTATTTCAGTTATCTGCAGGCACTATGCAGAAAATATTTAAGCTTAACATCTGTTTCTGTAACAACAGCATTAATTGTGTACTCACTTTTATCAACTTAAACATCATCCATTCCATAAATTTTCATCAAAATACCGGTTGAAATAGCCTACTTATCTACCATACAGTTTGACAGGATTTGATTTGAATATTTTTGTCCCTTCCAAAATTCATTTTGAGACTGGAAACTCAGTATGACAATATTAAATGGTAGATGACCAGGTTATCAAGGTGGAGCCTTCATAAAAGGCTTGTATAAGCACCCTTATACAAGGGGTGAAGGAACAACCTAGCTAGTCCTCTTGTATGTCCTCTTGTGAAGGGGTGGGTTGCCCCTCCACACCTGTGGGTGTTTCTCGTTAGGTGGAACGAGAGACTTGGAAAAGAAAAAGACACAGAGACAAAGTATAGAGAAAGAAATAAGGACCCAGGGAACCAGCGTTCAGCATATGGAGGATCCCGCCAGCCTCTGAGTTCCATTAGTATTTATTGATCATTTTTGGGTGTTTCTCAGAGAGGAGGATGTGGCAGGGTCATAGGATAATAGTGGAGAGAAGGTCAGCAGATAAACACGTGAACAAAGGTCTCTGCATCATAGACAAGGTAAAGAATTAAGTGCTGTGCTTTAGATATGCATACACATAAACATCTCAATGCCTTACAGAGCAGTATTGTTGCCCGCATGTCCCACCGCCAGCCCTAAGGCAGTTTTCCCCTATCTCAGTAGATGGAACATACAATCGGGTTTTATATGGAGATATTCCATTGCCCAGGGACGGGCAGGAGACAGATGCCTTCCTCTTGTCTCAACTGCAAAGAGGCATGCCTTCCTCTTATACTAATCCTCCTCAGCACAGACCCTTTATGGGTGTCGGGCTGGGGGATGGTCAGGTCTTTCCCTTCCCACGAGGCCATATTTCAGACTATCACATGGGGGAGAAACCTTGGACAATACCTGGCTTTCCTAGGCAGAGGTCCCTGCAGCCTTCTGCAGTGTCTGTGTCCCTGGGTACTTGAGATTAGGGAACGGTGATGACTCTTAACGAGCATGCTGCCCTCAAGCATCTGTTTAACAAAGCACATCTTGCACCGCCCTTAATCCATTTAACCCTGAGTTGACACAGCACATGTTTCAGAGAGCACGGGGTTGGGGGTAAGGTTATAGATTAACAGAATCTCAAGGCAGAAGAATTTGTCTTAGTACAGAACAAAATGGAGTCTCTTATGTCTACTTCTTTCTACACAGACACAGTAACAATCTGATCTCTCTTTCTTTTCCCCACACTCTTGCCTGTCCACGTGCCAGGTGAGGACACAGCATTCAGCGCACTGTTGTGAAAGGAGAGAGCACCGTTCACCAGACCAACAAGCTGCTGTGCTTGGACTTTCCAGTCTCAGCTGTCACTATTAAATTTATGCTGTTTATAGATGACTCTATGTAAGGCAATTTGTTATAGCAGCAGGAAGAGACTCAGGCAGATATTGGTAAGCAGAGTGGAGTGTTGCTATATGAAAATATGGAAATATCTTCAAAAGGAGTTATGGGGAAGAGGCAGGAAAAATATAAAGGAACATGTTGCAGAAAGCCTATTTTGCCATGAACAGACCATGAGGATGATTCTCATAAGGACACAAAAAAAAAAAGAGAGCTGTAGACACAGCCTCAGTCTTCTTAGACATTATCTAAATGGTTATGACCAGAAGTCTGCTAGAAATACAGCCAGTGCCAGCATCATCCTGGTACCAAATCCTGTCAGAGGTACAACAAAAAAACTTCAGGCCAACATCCTTGATGAATATCGACACACAAATCCTCAATAAAATACTGGTAAACCAAATCCAGCAGCATACCAAAACGCTCATCCACCACTACCAAGTCAGCTTCATTCCCAGGATCCAGGTTGATTCAACATACGCAAATCAATAGATGTAGTTCATCACTTGAACAGAACCAAAGGCAAAAAACACAGGATTACCTCGACACAGAAAAGGTCTTCAATAAAATTCAACATCCTTTCATATTAAAAACTCAATAAACTAGGTATTGAAGAAACAGACCTCAAAACAGTAAGAACCATTTAAGACAATCCCACAGCCAGTATTATACCGTTTGAAAACCTGCACAAGGAGAGGATGCCCTCTCTCACCACTCCTATTTAACACAGTGTGGGAAGTTCTGGCCAGGGCAATCAAGCAAGAGCAACAAATGAAGGGTGTTCAAATAGTAAGAGAGGAAGTCAAATTGTCTCATAGTCTCAGCCCAAAAGCTACTTAAACTGATAAGCAACTTCAGCAAAGTCTCAGGATACAAAATCAATGTGAAAAACACAAGCATTCCTATACATCAACAACAAGCAAGCCTAGAGTCAAATTATTAATGAACTCCTATTAGCAAATGCTACAAAGAGAATAAAATATCCAGGAAAATGGCTAACAAGGGAAGTGAAGGACCTCTTCAGGGAGAACACAAGCCACTGCTCAAGGAAATCAGAGGGGACAGAAACAAATGCAAAAACATTCCATGCTCATGGATTGAAGAGTCAGTATTATGATTCTTACTGGGCATACACCCCAAGGAATATAAATTATTCTTTTATACAGATACATGCACATGTATGTTCACTGCAGCACTGTTCACAACAGCAAAGACATAGTATCAACCCAAATGCCCATAAATGATAGACTAAATAAAATGCGGTACATATACACCGTGGAATGCTATACAGCCATAAAAAGTACAAGATCACATCCTTTATAGGGACACGGATGGACTTGGAAGCCGTTTTCCTCAGCAAACTAATGCAGGAACAGGAAACCAAACACTGCATATTCTCACAAGTGGCGGGTGAATGGTAAGAACACATGGGTGGGGACAGGGGAATAACACACATGGGGACCTGTCAGTGCAAGGGGTTCCGGCATCAGGGAGGGAGAGCATCAGGAGGAATTAATGCATGCAGGCCTTAATACCCAGGTGATGGAACGATGTGTGCTGCAAACCGCCATGGCACATGTTTACCTATGTAACAAACGTGCACATCCTGTACATGTACCCCAGAACTTAAAAGTTGAAGGAAAAAAGCAAGGTTATATGCAGAGAAATAAATATTTTAAAAAAAGAACACCAGTTAATAGGGTGCACAATACTTGAAATTACAAGGCAGTACAATCACATTATATTCCTCTGATAAGAAAAAAATAATAGTTTTAAGACATACTATGCCTTTGAATATCTTAAAAAAACTGTCATTGTTTTCCAAATGCTACTACAGTCCCTCTGATGTTTTTTGATGCTTTCCCATTTTCCTAAATCCCATTTTCTTTGAGAGAAAATAGAGAGAAAAATAGTGTCTTTCATGTATATAATGGCATTAAAAGTTGATAAAACTTAAGTACTTGCATATGTATTATTTCATCTGATTTGCCAACATTTTCCACAGCACTGTAAGCTTTTGGAGGGCAGAAATACTTTCCTATTCTTCGAGAGGCTTACAGAGAGCAGACCTCTGGCAATGCACCCTGTGAAGTAGGCAGAGTAGAATTAATTCCATTGAGTGAATCCTGTGTTACAGGGAAAACAGACACCATTTTTCTTACTGGCTTATGAGAATCATAGCATCTGCGAGCTGAACATCATTATCTTGAGGATGAATGAAAACAGGTAGGAGAATGTTCTTGTTCTTAGGAGATAATTAAGAAGTTAGGAGTGAATTACATGGTTTTTGGAACTTCCTTACAAATGGTTCATCAAAAAATGTGTGTGTGTGTTATGTGTGTGTGTTCATGCATGTAAGAGGGAGAGAGAAAGAGAGTGAGAGAGAGAGAGAAGTGAGTCCATGGGCACAGAATATTAACTGGTACATCTATGTGAAGGACAGAGATGTTCATTGTCCTGTTCAAATTATGAAATCTTGAAACTTTTCAAAATAAAAAACTGGGTGAAGAAAAAAATCTGATGGCATGTTAGATGAATAAAGATTATCTTATTGGAAACTGGAGAAAGGCCATCCTGGTTAGAAAGTGGCAATGAACTTGGCAGAGTTTTGTGTCCTAGTGTTTCTGAAGGGCAGAAATGAACAGTGATGAAACTAACACATGTGGAAGAAGTAACTAAGCAAAGGGTTAAGGGTGTGGCATGGTTCTCATGATTGCTTACAGTAAAATGTGAGGAGAAATAAATTAAAGATCAAATTTGTAACTGAAAAAGAAGCAGAACTTAAAGATTTGGAAAGTTCTCAGCTGGGCCATGTTAAGAATGAAAAAGCGTGTTCAGGAGAAAATAGGCGTGTGTCCATGGGAACATTTTGTTAAGATTAGCAGACATAAGGGAGTCAGATGGTATTCATCCTAACAAGAATTACCATAAAATATTTTGGAGTTCTTTGATGTCATACCCATCACAGGCCCAGAGTGTTAGTTAGGGTCTTGAAAGTTGACAGTTTTAAAGGGGAGGCCCAAAGTGCCCTTGGACGTGGGGCTCACTGCACAGTACCACCCTAAACCTTGATTTCCGAAATTCTGGTGCAGCACTCCTTGGCTCTATTAGCTGTGGCTGAAATGGGCCCAGGTATGGCGCAGGTCCCTCCAGAAGTTTATGCTGTGTATGTTTACAACGTGAACTGTGAGCAATATATTTAAGTTTATAAATTGCCCAGTCTGATATATTTTTTTCTCACAGCAGAAGAGACCAAGACAGCTGGCTTACCAGTGGTAAAGTTTTATTACAATTTTTTTAAACCAAGATTCAATTTTTTTCTGAATTAGAATTATCGCAGAGAACACTGAATGGCCTATGAAATTCAATTTTTGCTGCAGATTTCGTCATGTTTCTTAATGAACATATAACTAACTTCTAATCACAAGATAAATTCTTGCCTATGTGCAAAAACTTAGTGCTGCATCCTTGTGTATGGTTTTAAAAAGTGTCAAAACTGGCCCCTCATGTCAAATACAGCCCCAATTAGGGGAGGCAACCTAAGAAAGGTGTACAACTGTCCTGACATTGGATTGCCTGCTTACTGTGAAGTATGTGAACAATTTGTGACTCAGAACTTTAGTGAGATTTTTATAGGCAGAAGTTCTCATCATGCCTCATCAGAATTTTCCGTTAACAAGTGTCAGAGAATCTGTAATGGCTTGAGAATCATGACTTTCCTCCTATTTATGGAAGAGGAGAAAAAAGAAATTTCGAAGACAATTCTCAGATTTAGATAAATTATCTCAGGATTTTCTATATATTTTACCTGGTCCCTATGGTGTGGTAAGGTAAAGTACACTGTACTTGGACAGGTGAAGCAATTTCTACTCTACTAGGTCATCACCAAGCATAGCTTTGTTACTGGGAAAGCTAATTATAGTTCCCTATGACAGTATCAAAGAAAGAAAGAGGTGAAAAGAGTAGACAATAAGGAAGGTAGGTATGATTATAGGCATGAGAAATGCTATGGGTAATAACGTGTTCTACACTGACTCAAGTCAGCAAGGAGTAGGTGGAAAAGCGAGAGATTCAATCCAGGATGACAGAATGCGTTCACCTTTAAAGGGATTAAAAGAAGTATAATACAGTCTGTATTATTAGATCACCCAGAGACACACAAAACAAGAACCGTGAATTGAATTAGTGGTATACTAATAGAGTGGTTTTACCTGAAATATTTACACATCAATCCTACTGAATTCTTACAACAAATGATTTAGATTAGCTATTGTATTCACCAGTTGAAAGAACAGAAAATATTGAGGGAGATAACTTGTGTCAGTGCAACTTAATCAGATTTAGGACACAAAAGCTACTACATAATGAAAAAGAGAGCTGGTGACTTAACTTGCTAAAACAATCTGAAAAACAAAAAAGTGAGATGAATCTGTCTACCCTGATGTAAGACTTATTATAAAGCGACTGTAACCAAGACATTGTGATCTGGCCACAGGGGACAGACACATAGTTAAATGATGCAATGCAACAAGTTAACTCAGATATTGGCACATGCAAGTCCAGCCAACAGATTTTCAATAAAAAGCACAAAGCAATTAAGTGTAGGACAGGTAAGTTTTCTATTGCTGGTGCTGGGTCAACTGGACATCCTTTGAGAAAACATTAACCTTGGCCTAAGTCTCATGTATGTTTTCTAAGTAAAATTTACCCTTCCCCACTGCCCCGAAAAAGACTATTAAAAATTACGTTGACCCATGCTACTGTTGTTTCCTAACCTCAGTCCTTCACTCGTACAATTTAAGAAGTTCAAATCATATTCATAGTATCCAAACATACTCATTGTTTTATTTTTAACAAAAGAAATGAAATTAAAGATAGACCACAGGTAGAGTCATGAAATTCTTGTTTTTCCCTATTCTTTTTGGTAATTACAACGTACATTGTCTTCTTTTATAATAAGACCCAAGGGGAGAAAAGAAAAGGATGTACAATGAAGGTACAAGTTTTGAAGCACCAAAATATTTTATGACAGGGACAAAAAAACAAAAAACAAACAAAAATTGAAGTACAGAAAGAGGGTGGTGGGGGCAAAAATAAAGGTACGCACTTGGGCTTCCTCAAGATTTGTTTGTCCCTATTCAGACTAGAATGAAACTGGTTTAGGAAATCACTCCTGTATGCTAGCAGGAATGTTGCTGGCAAGACACTTCTGAGCATCGGGGTGTGGACTTTACGAACCAACCTTTTAACAGTAACTCTAGGAGAGAGGATATCAAAAATTGGCAGTGAAAAATTATAGATAAGCAAAAAGCTCCTTCTGAGGTCCAGGCCAGGAGATAGTAGGATTTAAGAAACAAACAAACAAAAACAACCACAAATGACCTTTGGTGCCACTGTCACAACTGTTGCTCATCAGAGTAGGAGAGTTGTAGCAAAGGCATTAAAGAAGGACAAGCAGCTGAAGAGCCTGAATCCTTGTGTTGTAAGCTATTTTGGTTTCCTTTCAAGAAAGGGCTGTGGTCTGTGGAAGGTGTCAGGAACATATTTTCACGGTCTGCTTTCTCCTGATAATGTTCTTCTTCTCGGCCCACCTGAGACATAATCCCTGAGCTCCGAGCCCTTTTTGACTGAAGCTCCTGTTGAACAAGATTCTCAACGTTTCTACCCTGATCCACCTTCTGCCGCCGCCGTCGCCTCTCCAGAGCCCGGCTCCTTGTCCGACTCCCTTGATGTTCAAATTTTTCCAGCTGCAATCATACCCACACAAGGCGAAAAACGTCAGTACTGGGATCCCTGCCTGCTGGACCTGATCTCCTGCCCTGCCTGTGACCCCGCTTCCTACCTCCAGAAGTGTGCGAATTCTGTCCAGGTCTGGAGGCTGTCCAGCCTGCAGCAGCTGCCAGATGCTGTGGTTCTCATCCAGGGTCACCTCAAGCAGGTCCCCTTCCATCATGAGCTCCTCCAGGGGAGCCCGGATTGCCTCAGGCAGCTCCAACACAGGGCCAGTCAACTGCGGCAACAGTGAGGACAGTAGCTCCAGGTCTGGGCGGAAGGTGGTGCGGTGAAAGGTGCAGGGACAGACTGGGTTAGAGGCCACTCTTGGTCTTATCCTCCATGGCCACAACAGAGGTGACAAATACATGGGTCACTCAGTTATGTTTAGCCAACAGCCTACCCAAACCACACCTGTCTTACCAGAGCCCTTTCCTGGAGCCATGTTCTCAGGACTGGTCACACTGTCTCCATTCTCCAGCAGCCCTTGGACCTATCGGAAAAAAAGAATGGGTAACAATAATTGAGCTGATGAACCAGGTCCTATCTTTCCTCCCACAACTCCAAAACTTGGGAGCCTCTATCTCCTGAAGCAGAGTAGACACAGGCTTCCAACAGGGATCAGAGTTTAGGGATCTGGATAGGTATAGAATGGAGCAAAGGGACTAGGCCAAAGGAGATTGAAAACTGGGGAACAGGGACAAGACTGGAGCTACAAGAAGGACAGGGGCTAGAAGACAGAAATATGAGGACAATGGCTGGCCTGGAAAGCTCACCTTAGAAATATTGTTGCCACTGCCTTCTCTGATAGGGTCACAGGCAGTGGCTGAAGTGTAGACTGAGGCCTCCTCTGGTCTGGGTTTGGCCTGTAGCTGTTGGCGAAGCTCAGCCAGCTGTCGCAACAGAGCAGTCACATCTTCAGAGGCCAGAGCCTTTCTGGCACGGTCTTGCCAGCCAATGGCCCTCTCTGTGAGACACTGAAGGGCCTCACCCTCAGGCAGCCGCACGGGCAGCCTCTGCAGGGCAACCAGCAAGGCTAGGATTGTCTCTAGGCGTGGCCGTCGTGAGCGCATACACAGTGGACACAGGAATTTTGTGTCCCATTCCCACCAGGCTAGCAGTGGAGATGAAGTGAGACTGGGCTTTGGAGAGGTGAGGAGATGGGGCACTGACACACACTGCCCATGGAACCAGTCCTGACACAGGTCACACTGCAGAACTCCCACCCCAGCTGGCACCTGCCCACACACACAGATAGAAGTCGGAGAAGAGGCCATGAGGGATGGTGCCAGTGGACTGGGCTTGGCTGAGTTGGTGCGACGCAGCTGCAGGATACCCTCCTTCTCCTTCTGTTCCCCTTCCTTGAAGGCCACAATCTGCCATATCCAGAAGAGGGGGAAAGTAGGTCAGCAGTCCACCCTCGCCCTTGTCTGGCATCCTAATGCCCAGCTCCCAAACCAGGAGACCTGTAACAGGGCTCAGACACCCTATCATCAGCAGCTCTCCTCTTTTCAGAGAGAAACCCAGAACCCATCTTTTCCCCATCTGGGCCATGCTCCTTACCACAGAGCCTGGGTCTCTGAGGTCCTGTGCAGACAGCCCCAGCAGCTCTGTGTCACACTGGTACAACCCCAGCGCCTTCTCCATCCACCGGCTACGCTTGGTGCTGTCTGAGCCAGCGTCTGCACACGGGCAAAGCACCTGAGGCAGGCAGGCAGACATACAGGAAATGACCAGGCTTCCCTCACCAACTACACCCTCTCCTTCCTACCCAGGTGCCCACTAAAAAAATCTATGTTCTCATTATATGCGCCATCTCACAGCAGCCAGGCCAGATGAAGAAGAGGCTGTGGGTCAGGGTCTCAGACCTCACCTCAAGCAGTGTGTAGCAAGAATTCTTCTTGAGAAAGGTCTTGGAGGCCTTCTCTCTCCAGGAATGTGCTGTCAATACCTGCAGCTCTAGCTGTCTCAGCTCTTCCAGCCCCACAGGCAGGTCCCGGCCCACAGCCACCAGGCCCTCCAAGTCATCTAGACAGGGGTAGTGGTCACCATTCTGGAATAGGGGAAAGAAACTTTATTTAAATTATGTCAACAATATTGTGTCTAAATTTGTCCTAAGTAATACTGGGTATTATACTGCATAATCCCAGGGCTGAAAATCTGGAGATGTTTTCTGCAACAGAAAAATGTGATAGAAACTCTTTTCTCTCAGAACTCCTACTTTAATTGGCTCAGACCAAAAATTCCACATATGCAAGTTACTCTGTTGTAACCTGCTTCCTCTGTACACTTCTATATATCAATAGTCTCTGCTTAGGTATACACCCATATTCATGCTTCTCTTCCCTTGGTTCCTATTCTGACACGCTCAGGTACCTCAAGGAATCCTCCAACTTCCCACCTTCACTTTCTAGCACAACCCAACCGAGTAAAAACTATAAAGTATATCTATCTCTCTTCTAACTGCTGGCCTGACGCAGTAAAGCAGAAATACTGATCCTCACTTGGATCTCATCCACATCAGCAATCCAAGCTTGTGCCTTAGTCAGAGCTTCTTTGAGAGCCTGGATGTTAGGCAGGTGAACAGGGATGTTTTCTGTCTCACGAATTATGGCTTCCAATGTGGCTGGTGGATGCTTCTGCCTAAATTTTTTTTGAAAAAGAGAAATCTATCATTACATGTTACAGGTATACATGCCCCTTTTCTAAGTCCTAGGTTTCCTTGCTAAAAACATAAGCAATAAAAAGTGTTGCATGACAAAGTAAGGAAGCCACACTGAGGAACTCTCTAACATTGCAGGGGGCTATATAGATCTCTTGTAAGTCACATGCTGCATCCATTCACCTGAGAACTAAGTCATCCAAGAACATTTCCCCAATTGTTGCCTTTACAACAGTGAAACATCAACATGACATGTCATATAGATGGGAGTACATGATATGTCATGCCAATCCTTTAGAGTTTAGTAGATGCCCAACTGGGAGTCTGTTGCCCAAGGGTCACCATAGAAATACTTAGGGTCACCCCAAAACTTTGAGGATTATAGTCAAGATACAGACAGGGAGAGACTACGCCCCACCTGGCCTCCAGGCAGAAATGAGCCTTTTCTTCCCAGCGCTCTGCAATGGTCAGTAGTTCTTGCAGCTCAGCCCGGGCCTTGTCCACAGAAGGGCTGGAGGCTATCTTGGCACCCATAACCAAAAGCCCCTGCATGATGACCAGAGAGCCCCTGTGAGCAGAAGGGGCCAGGGCCTGCTTCACTTCATCTAGCCATTGCGCCTGCTCCACCTGCTGCTGAAGCTGATGGGCTTCAGGCACCTCTACACCCAGCTGCTGCCCCCTCTCCAACAGGGACCGCAATAGCCCTGGACTAGAGGGCAGTGTGGCCAGAGCCTCACGAGCCTCAGCTTGATAGGCCTCCACCTGTTCCAGGACATCCTGCAAGGACATAGGATAAAATGCAGATTCTTTAGCCACATAAATACTCAACCACCTAGATTTGCTCCACTTCTCATCTTCTCTTATAGGCATTTCCTATTGCTTAATACTTATTCTCAACCACATCCTAAAACATGATCTATCTGATAATAACAAAGGCCCTCTGTTTACCTAGAATGACATTTTTCTCCTTTAATTACCTAAATTTCTTTTTCCAAACCCACTTTAATACAATCTTATCCATCTAGTAAGCTTTCTAAGACTCTGGTGTCTGGAGGGAAATCAACCAACCAACCAATCAGTCCTCTCCACCCCATTCCCAAGAGCCAGTGTCTTATGTAGGCCCAGTTTAGAGTTTTTAATTATTTCAGTCTGGAAGGATATTTCCTTGCATGCTGTACACACAGAGATGGTATGGGAACACATATCTCCGCCACTTCCAGGAAAGAACCTGTTATTATGAGAAGGTTGTTTAGAATAATTAGGTTCTCAAGTTTTCCTGACATGTCAGACTTCCTGAGTATTTGCTGTTAACAAGAATTCCACCTTTCCAGGCCCCTCCTTACCTTGACATCCCCAATCTGATGCATGGCACAGGGCAGGCTGCCCATCTGCTCAAGAAGGACCCGGAGTTCAGTCAAGGTCAGCTGTGGAGTGTCCATCCTATAGGAGCCAGAAGGAACACCTCGTAATGTCACATTTCAAACAATTTGAGACTTTTAATATACTTCCTTCCCTTTCATATTTCAGTAATACCCACAAAGGTTTTTTTCTAAGTTCAGCGATACTGACAAGTTAAGATTTGAAAAAACACCCGTAGGCGTTTGACAGCAGTTAATAGAGACTACAGATATCAAAGTCAGAGAGTCCAGCTTCCTGAGAAAACGTTAACAGTATTAATCTGCTACCACTATGGCTACTAATACCATGCCACCACGGTACTACCTGGCTAGTACCATTCCACAGAAGAACAGAAATAAATACAAATAGGTGGGGCAAGAGAAAAGAAACATGTGAAAAGGCCCCTGGATGGTTTAAGTTATATTTTCATCAGTCATCCAGTTAAGAGTTAAAGAATGAGGAAGAGATGTAAAAACAGCCATTAGGATTCAGAAGTAGTAGCTTTCACAGTGAGACAAAACATCTATTAAGCCAGAAACTGAAGTACAAATGCAATGGGAGGATTACGAAGAAAGGAGGGCTAAGTGATGATAAGTATGGTCAGAATAATAAATTTATTCTAGACAAGAAATGAGAGTTCATTATGTCAGAAGCAAAATAGTACTACAGGATGACAACTTCTGAGATTTACTCTTTGGTTCCAACTGCCTACAAGACAAAGAAAACTGAAGAGGCCAGGAAGTTAAATGCATGAGGAAAACTTGAGGCAGATTAAAATGGAAATGCAGGGCATGTTATTTGGGTATCATGGGTTCAATCTGGAAAAGCCTTATTTCTCCTGAACCACAGTAGGGAAAGGAGTTATCCAGAAAAGTGAAATTTATTCTAAAATTTTAAGTTTCCATGTTTTAAAGAGAGGCAGCAATGAGAAAAAAGGTTAAGAACAAGTAGGAAATACTGAAATAATGGGCCAGGCACGGTGGCTCATGCTTGTAATCCCAGCACTTTGGGAGGCCAAGGCAGGCAGATCACAAGGTGAGGAGATTGAAACCATCCTGGCTAACATGGTGAAACCCCATCTCTACTAAAAATACAAAAAAATTAGCCAGGTGTGGTGGCACACACCTGTAGACCCAGCTACTTGGGAGGCTGAGGCAGGATAATGGCCTGAACCCGGGAGGTGGAGCTTGCAATGAGCTGAGATCGTGCCACTGCACTCCAGCCAGGGTGACAGAGTGAGACCCCGTCTCAAAAAAAAAAAAAAGAATATTTGAAATAATGTGTCTCTAAAATATGACAGACATGAGAATGAAGACAAAACATAAGAAACTAAGCTAAGTAAGCATGGGTCATTGAATATCTAGGTGGCACAGAAAAGCCAAAAAGGCAATCTAGCATCTCAATTATAGCTCAGGCTAATAATTATGTGATGGACTATTTAAAAAGCTTCCTTATCAGTTTATTTAATTTAAATCAGACCATGCCACATCCTGTGGGACCCATCCTCCAAATAGGCCCAAAATAATAAATTTCAAATATCCATTCTGCTATGTACTTCTCCACTTCAAAATCTTTCTATGTTTTCTTAAAGTTTTTTGAAAAAATTACTTATATTCTCAAGTAGAAACTGGTTCAAATGTATACCCTTGCTTTAGAGTCTTGATACCTTTATTCTGACCCTTAAACCTAATGACAAAAAAATCCCTTCTTTATCTAAAATTCCTTCCTACTAACACAGCTTTATTTTTTTTAAATAGAGTAGTTTATCTAAAATTCCTTCCTACTAACACAGCTTTATTATTTTTTATATAGAGTTTCTACAAATACATGATTTAACATTGTCATGCACCACATGACATTTCAATGACAAATCACATGTATGATAGTGGGCCTGTAAGATTATAACAGTACTGAAACATTCCTATCACCTGCTGACATCGTAGCAGTTGTAAAGTAGCAACACATTCCTCATGTGTCTGTGGTGATGCTGATATAAACAACCCAATGCACTGTCCATCATGTAAGAATCTGTCTAGCACATGCATCACATAATACCTGATAACAAACAGCCATATACTGGTTAATGCTTGACACCACATTTTTCTAAACTATTATTTTAGAATATACTCCTACTATAAACAAAAGTTAACTGTCAGGCAGCCTCAAAAGTATTTCAGGAAGTATTCCAGGAAGTGGCATGGTTATCTTAACAGATCCCTTTCTACGTGTGTCAGTGCCCTGAAGACCTTCCACTAAAATAAGATATAGATGGGGGAAGATGGTAACATTCAGAATCTGACTCTGTGTAGGCCTAGGCCAATGTGTGTCTTTACATCTTAGATTTTAACAAAAATGTTTAAAATGGAAAACAAACTTAAAAATTGTTTACACAGAAAAGTTTACAGAATGACAATATGAGGAAAGAAAATATTTTTGTACAACTCTATGATGCATTTGTGTTTTAAGCTAACCATTATTAGAAAAGAGTAAAACATTCAAATAGAAATTAAATGTTTACAAAAACAGTTTACAAAAACAGACTCATAGACCAATGAAACATGATAGAAAGCCCAGAAATGAGGATGCGTACCTACAACCATCTGATCTTTGACAAAGCTGACAAAAACAAGCAATGGGGAAAGGACTCCCTAATTAGTATATCCTGTTGAGAAATCTGGCTGAGCCATATGCAGAAAACTGAAACAGGACCCCTGCCATGTACCTTATACAAACATCAGTTCAAGATGGATTAAAGACATAAATTTAAAACCTGAAACCATAAATGCCCTGGAAGACAACTGGACACAGGCATGGGCAAAGATTTCACAATGGAGACGCCAAAAGCAACTGCGGCAAAAGCAAAAATTGACACGAGTCCTAATTAAAGAGCTCCTGTACAAAGAAACTGTCTACACACAGGGTAAACAGACAACCTACAGAATGGGAGAAAGCTTCTGCAAATTATACATCTGACAAGGGTCTAATATCCAGCATCTATAAAGGAACCTAATCAAATTTACAAGAAGAAAACAACCCCATTACAAAGTGGGCAAAGGACATAAACAGACACTTTTCAAACGGAGACATACATGCAGCCAACAGATATATGAAAAAAAGCTCAGCATCAGTGATCATTAGAGAAATGCAAAACAAAACCACAGTGAGGTACCACCTGATAACACCTGTCAGAATGGCAATTATGAAAGTCAGGAAATAGCAGGTGTTGGTGAGGTGGCGGAGAAAAAGTAACTGCTATACAGGGTTGGCGGGAGTGTAAAATTAGTTCAACCATTGTGGAAGACAGTGTGGCAATTCCTCAAAGATCTAGAGGCAGAAATACCGTTTGACCCAGCTAACCCATTACTGGGTATATACCCAAAGGTATATAAATTGTTCTATCATGAAGACATATGCACGTGTTATGTTCACTGTAGCACCATTCACAAAAGCAAAGACATGAAATCAACCTAAATGACCATTAATGATAGACTGGATAAAGAAAAACTGGTACATATACACCATGGAATTACAATGCAGATATTACAAGAACAGGATCATGCCCTTTGAAGAAACATGGATGGAGCTGGAGGCCATTATCCTTAGCAAACTAACACAGGAAGAGAAAATCAAATACCACATGTTCTCACTAATATGTGTAAGATAAATGATGAGAACACATGGACGCACGCATAGAGGGAACAGCACATACTGGGGACTATCACCGAGTAGAAGGTGGGAGGAGAGAGAGGATCAGGAGAAATAACTAAGGGGTACTGAATGTAATACCTGGGTGATAAAACCCCTATGTACATGGGGTTAACAAACCCCCATGACACAAATGTACCTATATAACAAACCTGCACATGTACCCTGAAAAAAAGTTTTAAAAATTTACAGTAGCTGAGGCTAATTTACTATCTCTTTTTAAGATACCGTTATATAAATTTAACAAAGCCAAAGTGTAAAGCGTTTATTAGGTCTACAGTAGTGTACAGTCATGTCCAAGGTCTTCACATTCTCTTACCAGTCGGTTCCTCACCCAGAGAAACTTCCTGTCTTGCAAGTTTCATTCATGGTAAGTGCCCCATATTTTATGTCTTCCACAATTCTTTTATTGTAGTAATTCTACATTTGCGTATTTTGATACACAAATACTCACCAGTGTTACAACTGACAACAATATTCAGTACAGTATCACGCTGTGCAGGTTTGCAGGCTAGGAACAACAGGCTCTATCACACAGCCTAGGTGTGTAGGAGGTCACAGCATCCAGGTTTATGTAAGTAGACGGTGCGTATGCAGCAATGACAAAACCGCCTAATGACGCTTTTCTCCTAACAC
This sequence comes from Homo sapiens, assembly GCF_000001405.40. Lineage (NCBI taxonomy): Eukaryota > Metazoa > Chordata > Mammalia > Primates > Hominidae > Homo > Homo sapiens. The sequence goes on from NC_000024.10 coordinate 19,714,772, forward strand.
ATCTCCATCATTAAGTGATGCCTGACTGTACATAATCACTTACTTTTCAATCTAAAAACTATATGTATCTATTGTCTTACACATTTGGAAACTAACAGTTAAATAAATTTCTAGGATTATTTTAACCTCTGAAGTTTTACCTAACTACACAGCCAAAAGTAAAGTTTGTGGAAATTCCGATGTCTGCATAACGCTATGAGATTTCCTAAGAAGTAGGAAAAAACTGCAATTTTGCTAGTATATATTTATATCTTATTGCCACATTATTTTGTTAGAAACTTTAGTTCAGTAATTTCTAGTTTCTATTATACTGCTTTTTGTCCATGTGTTATCTACTCTTTCTCAGTAAAATCTGAGTCTGTGCTTCTTTTTTTTTGCTGTTGTTTTGAGATGGAGTTTTGCTCTTGCTGCCCAGGCTGGAGTGCAATGATGCCATCTCGGCTCACTGCAACCTCTGTCTCCTGGGTTCAAACAATTCTCCTGCCTCAGCCTCAAACAGGATTGTGTGTTTATAGTCTATCCATTTTTGTTATTCATTTTCACACACTGACACCCTTCTTTGCCTTCTCCTCTCACGTACCTGGCCACCTGACCACTGACCAGCCCCAGGACTTGAGCAATACAAGCCTCCACCTCACTCAGGCAGTTCTTCAGTCGCTGAAGCAGCTCACTATTAGGAAACCTCCTCTCACGAGCCTCAGACTCCAGTGCCCTTAGCTCTTCAAAGCCTGGAGAGTGTAAGTTGCAACAGGTAGGCAGTGTTAGCAGAAAAGGAAGGTTGAGAATACCCAAAAGAAAGAAATAAGGCTTACACAAGGGTTCCTTCCATTTCCTGTCACTCACTGCGTTTACGGCCATCCTCCACCTCCAAGGCCACTCGCACTTTGTTGGCCCAGGTGTCAAAAGACTCAGCCCGAATCTTCAGTTTATGCAGCATGGTGGGGAGCTCATCCAAGGTGTACCGATACCTAGAGGAAGAAAGCCGGGAAGGGTACACATCTGGCCCAGCTCTAAAACCTCCTTCACGTCCCCACAGTGTTCCCATGCTCACCGGAGGTACTGTCGGCTACTAGAGCACTTGCAGAGGTCATTGATGTGGGAAAGGCATACAAGGCCATCTGGGCAGTCGTAGCAGGCCAGGGCTGACAAGAAGCACGTGGTCTTGCACTTGATGCACTGGCGTTCATCATCTGGGAGCAGCTCAAAAGCCTCTCGCTCAGCCTCCGTGACGCCCTGGGGGTGTTCAACCCACATATACTGTAAAGACTAGGAGTAGGGTTGTGGACACCCCACCTCAGCCAACACTGAGCCCTGATGTGGACTCAACCTTGTAAGGAAAGCTGTAGAGAAATTGGAAGAAAAAATATAAACACATACAGACTCTGTCTTTACATTTCAAAATGCATGACTTAAAGATCAGGCACACAGTGGTTACTCAATGTTGGTCTGTGTCTCTGTAACGTAATATATGTGACTAAATCCCTAAGCTCTGCTCTTGACCACCCACCTTCTCCAAAAGGGCCTTTCGTAGACGTCGCTCCTCCTGAACCATAATGAACATCTCCTTGTGCACAGCTACTGCTAGATTGAGATCCAACGTCTCTGGGAAGGCAGCCATCTTGCAGATGAGCTCCTCGTGGGAGAAGACACAATAGCGCCGGAGCCGGCGGTAGTGTTCAATGCACTGGCGTCCAGCAGGTAGCTGCAAGTGCGTTCAAGATTGTGTGTGGCTATCTGGAGACCACAATGCATAGCTTCTCCACAATAATCCTTACCCATATTCTTTATACTTTCTACCTGCAGGCCCACTGCATGCTCACTCACCCAGTCAGCAGTACAAAAGTTGACAGCTTCAGCAAAATTGTAGCCTTGGTTAAAACCACTGTGGTAAGCACGAGGAAAAGTGATGACAAACTCCCCTGCACACTGGTTTGTGCGGACAACCTAAAAAGGAGAAAAAAGCAGAAAGAGGTGTGGGTCAGAACTAATGGGCCAGATGTGAACTCAAAGATGTCTCTAGATGCTGTAACAGATGTAGGAAGAGTGGAAAGGCTCTATCTTCAAGTACGTGTCCTAAAAGAAAAATGAGATTGTGAATTTAAAAGTGGTATTCATAGAAAAGTACTCAAAATATGTGTAATTCAAAAAACAAATATAGAGGGGTCCACGAACAAGTGAAAAGACTCTTTGCTTCTATAATCAAAGAAATGCAAATTTTTAAAGTCATAGAATTAAGTCACCAAAAATGATGAAGTTGGAAACTCCACAACTTTGTCCCTCTACTCAAACAATGATCTAGTGCTGAAATGTTCAGAGCAGTGCAATAAAATAAAATAAAATAAAAAACCCAAATCAGGAGAACACTTAATGGATTTTTAAAAGCTTTTACATTGTGGTACAAGAGTGCTATAATGCACTAAGTTCCCTGCATACACACACTTGCCCCAATTCCTATGTAAGCAGCTACTGTGGGAAAGCAACCTGAGATGCTGGTGCAGCTGATTGGTGCCAGGAACCATGATGTGAACCTTTTTCCCGAAGAACTAAGGTGGTGTGTTTTGACTTGTCTGGTGGCTTCCTGGAGGACTACCTCAAGGGCCTGATTTTCTTTCACCTGCCTGACAGTTCGCTTAGAAGACAGGAGACTTCCCAGGCTGTGTTTTTGGAAAGTATAAAAAAGCAAACGTATTAGTCACAGCCACCTCCAGCTTTAAAATGGGGTGGTGGGGGTGGGGAGGAGAGAGAGAGAGAGAAAGAGAGAGACTAGAAAAACAACAGATAATTTTAAGTGCCTGGGAGGCAAATCCTAGAGAAAGAGATATTTTGGGAAAAAGGGATTCTAAAAAAGCTTCCACGTAGTATTTGAGAACTGAGAAAGCCACATTAAACATCCAGGGCAAGATACATGCTCAGAAAAGATCTAAGACCCTAACGTCACCTCTATCTGACTTTCATGCTCTTCCGAAGCAGAAGGTGGAGTCTAAAATAGTTTTTAAAGTAGCCCCGAAAAAGTTTCACCAATCAGACACAATCTGCAAAGACTGGGTAGTTAATACTATTATTAGTTATTATCATTATTGTTTTGGCTTAAGAAAGAGTTTGTTAGGTTGGTAGATGACCAACAGGCTAACAGAAAGCAGAAAAAGAACATAAAACTAAAAGATTACTCACGTATACAAAGAATTGCTCACTATCTTTAGTTGTTAGGAAAATGCAAATCAAAACCACAAGATACTATTTCTTGCCACACAAGATACTATTTCTTGCCATACAAAAAGAGGTAGAAAATAACAGTGTTGGCAAGAATGCAGACATATTAGAACCCTTGAGCATGGCTGGTAAGAATGCAAAATGGCTATGACACTGCTATGGAAAGCAGTAAGTTCCTCAAAAAGTTGAAACAGAGAACTACCATATGACTGTCCAATACCACTTCTGGGTATATACCCAAAACTCTGAAAGGAAGAACTTGAACAAATATTTGCACACAGATGTTCACAGTAGAAATATTCACAATAGCTTAGTGGTGGAAACAACACAAATGTGCTTTAACAGACCCATGGATAAGTAGAATGTGATCTGTCCATACAATGCAATATTATTCAGCCATGGAAAAGGAATAAAACTCTGACTCATGCCATAGCACAGATGAACTTTGAGAAGTCAGATACAAAAGATCACATATTGTATGATTCCATTTATAAGAAATACGCAGAATAAATTCATAGAAACAGAAAGTAAACCTGTGGTCCAAGGTTAGAAGCAGGGATGAATGAGAAATAAATTGTATTGAGACTTTTCTGGAGAAATTAAAATGTTTTAGAATTAAGTAGACACGGTGGTTGCACAACACTGTGAATGTACTAAATGAGACCAAACTGTTCGGTTTAAGATGGTTCGTTTTGTGTTATGTGAATTTCACCTTTAAAACATATCCCCCAAAAAAACCAGTTCAGAAAATTTACTAACCAAACAACAACTATTGTACATAAAAGCAACAACAAATTTTTTGAGAGAAGACAAGGGGGATAATACGATTTTCAGAGTTGAAGCAATACTCTGAAAAGTGTTCAGTTTAAAACATTAGTAGGCATACAAAGAAAAGAAGTATAGCCCTGGCCGGGCGCGGTGGCTCACGCCTGTAATCCCAGCACTTTGGGAGGCCGAGGCGGGCGGATCACGAGGTCAGGAGATCGAGACCATCCCGGCTAAAACGGTGAAACCCCGTCTCTACTAAAAATACAAAAAATTAGCCGGGCGTAGTGGCGGGCGCCTGTAGTCCCAGCTACTTGGGAGGCTGAGGCAGGAGAATGGCGTGAACCCGGGAGGCGGAGCTTGCAGTGAGCCAAGATCCCACCACTGCACTCCAGCCTGGGCGACAGAGCGAGACTCCGTCTCAAAAAAAAAAAAAGAAAGAAGTATAGCCCTTCGGTTAAAAGAAAAAAGCTCTCAGATAGCCCAGGCTTACTTACTTACTAAAGTCTATCAACTCTCAAACAGGCTTAAATGCCTTAAGAAGCAACACACAAAGGACTAATGGGTATCAGGAGAATAATGTCCCTCCAAATAAGAGTTTCAAGAAAGGCACTAAAATTACAAAAATGAAACAAGTCAAAATTCTGAAGCTCTCAGTCCCATAGCAGAAGTGAAAAACTCACAAGATGGTTTCAACAGGAGCTTTGAGCAGGCAGAAGAAAGAATCAGAAAACTCTAAGACATGTCAATTGAAATAAATCAGCAGGGGGTAAAAAGAGAAGAATATTAATCAGATCCTAAGAGACCTGTGTAACACCATCAAGTGCACCCATATATGCAGAATGGGAATTTCGTAAGAAAAGAGAAGGAAAAAGGCAGAACAGTTGAAGCAAAAATGGTTAAACAATTTCCAAATTTGTGGAAAGCCCTGAAAGTCTACAACCAAGAAGCTCAGTGCACTCCAACTAGATAAACTCCAGGAGACACAACATAGTCGAACCAACAAAAGGTAAGACACCAAGATGGAGTTTGAAAGCAGTATGACAGACATGATTCTTCGCATATAATGGATGCTTAATAGAATTATCAATAGATTTCTCATTAGAAATAACGGAGGCCAGAAGCCAGTTGGATGACACGTTAAAAGTCATGCAATGGGAAAAAAAATTAAATAAATTGACAGAGAATTAAAAATTGTGGAAGTATGTCTCCAGAAGATGTGCCTACAGGGAAAACAGAAGGACTCCTTCAGGCTGACATGAAAGGATATTACTGAGTAGTTCAGAGCTACATAAAGAAAGTAATACCCCTGAGAAAGGCAACTATAAAAAAAATATAAAAGTTAGTATTACATATACAGCACGAGAGACAAAAAAAATATAGTTAGTTCAGAACTAGAATCAGAAAGCAAGACAAATGGTGTTAATTAGATTGCTTGATGAGCTCATTATCATCAATATATTTTTCTTGTGAGACGAGGAATACTAGGAAAAAAAAGGTACAAGTTAGAATTCATAAAATGTATAAAATGTCAGGAAACGAAGAGGGCCTTTGGAGACATGAAGCACATTTTGTTGAGATGAAAAAACTGAGGAAGATGGCCAGGAAAGTTATAAAAGCTTATAAAGCGGTTAACTCAAAGCTTACAGAATTTCAAAGGAGAAAAGGCATAGCATGTAACAAGACAGTGACCCAGTCCATGTACCACATACACATTGCTAGCTTATTCTTTAGCAAAATGAGCTGATACAATCCACTCCTAGAAATACTCAAAAGTCTGAAACCAGTCCCTCCTGGGTTTTGCAAAGTAAGAATTATATTCAGAAATATTAAGAGAAAACCAATCCTAGACTAGAAGGCAGATAAAAAGGCCAGGATCCAAGTTTTAATTTCTATTCTGTTAAGTAATTATCTAATCTCTCTTTTACTTGTTCTCTTAAGTGTCCCAGCTAACGGTACTGATCTGCAACTTGAAGTCAGCAAGGGAAGGCAAAGAGGTGTGATGCTAAGCCTAATCTCCATAGCAAAATGGATATGGTTTTATTTCTTCCAAAACTAAGTTCTTTCTCATTCCCTTCTCACCCCAGGGAAGAAAATTAAAATTGTTTTGATCCTTGGTACTTACTGGCACACCATGGGACATCAAAGTGTTGGGATTCATGAGAGTGACAAGCTGGTGTAGGAGATCAGGCTGGCTATCAAACAGCTCAGGTGTCAGCATCTTCATCACCTCCTCCAAATGCTCTGCTGCCAGGGAGGGTACACCATACCAGGTCTTCGGCTCACCCCTGCTCACGTAGACAGAAGACACGTCAAGTCTATATACATCGTTGCATATGAGGGCAGTCTTGATATCCAACTGAGCCATTGGGGTCATGCTCACCAATGCAGATAGTTAATAGAGTAACTCCAGTGATCCTCAATATGCCAACAAAATGCTGAGAAAACCATGCCCACGTACAGCCAGGGCACCTTCATGCCTGAGATGTCTGCATTGATGTGACAGAGAACAGACTGATCTAGCACTGGCATCACATTCAGGTTCCAACCACTGGTCGCATACTCCTGTTGGGTCAGAGATTTGCCAGAGTGAGTAGGGAGTAGGATACGATGAGGAGAGGCAAACTGAGCAAAACATACATAAGAAGACAACTGTGTCTTAGAACATGCTGCCTCTGGTATTCCTGGTCACAAGAGGTCCATATTGTAAACTCAAAAATAATGCCCTGTTTTGCCACTGTCAACTAACACAGTGCCGGAGGTCCCAGCCAGAGCAATGAGGCAGGAAAAGAAATTAAAAAAACATTCAAATTGGAAAAGAGAAAGTTATGTTATCCCTGTTTGAAGATTTATAAAAAAGTCTTAAAGAAAACACTTCTTTTTTAAGAGGATGCTAAGGCCTCCGTAAAAATGGTGTTAGAACTAACAAATTCAGTAAATTTGCAGGATACAAAATCAATATAAAAATCAGTGGTGTTTGTATACATTAGTAGAAAATTATCTGAAAAAAACAAAATAAAAACTTCATTTGTAACAGCTGAAAAAAATCTCTAGCAATAAATTTAAAGAGGTAAAAAAATAACTACACTGCAAACTATACAAATAATGATGAAGTAAACTGAAGAACACACAAAGAAATTTTAAGACACCTTGTCCTCACAGACCACAAGAATTAATATTGCTAAAATGTCCATACTATCCAAACTGATCTAGAAATTCAATTTAATCCCTGTCAAAAATAACAGCATCCTTCACAGAAATTTTCAAAAAAGCAACCCTTAAATTGATATGGAACCCCAAAGACTCAAAATACCCAAAGCAATATGTGAAACAAAACAAACCAACAAACAAAAAAGCTGAGAGTATTCACACTAATTTACTATTATATCACAAAGCTATAGTAACTAAAAGGGCTTAGTACTGCCATTAAAAACAAACACACAGCTCCATGGAAAATAATAGCCCAGAAATAAATCTCTGCATTTTCAGCCAACAGAAGTTCCACAAAGACACCAAGAACACACAGAGAGGAAAGGAAAGTCTCTTCAGTATCCATTGTTGGAAAACCTGGATATCCACATGCAAAAGGATGAAACTTGACCCATCTTTCACCATGTACAAAAACCAACCCCAAAGGAAGTAAAAACTTAAATGTAAAATATGTAAAATCCAAAATTATCAAACTACTAAAAGAAGACATAAGAGGAAAGCTCCATGACATTGATCTTGGCAAGAATTTTGTGGATTAAGACCTCAAAAGTATAAGCAACAAAAGCAAAAACAGACAAATGGTATTACATTAAGCTAAAAAGCTTCTGCATAATGAAGGAAACATCAACAGAATAAGGCAACGACCTACAGAATGGAAAAATGTATTTGCAAACTATGCATCTGATAAAAGGTTAATATCCAAAACGTAAGAAACTGAACAAATACAATAGGAAAAAAAAAAACTAATTAAAAATGAGCAAAAGATAAAGAAAATGAAATACTATGAAATACAGCTAACCAAGTAGGTGAAAAATCTCTACCAGAAAATCCAGAAAACACTGCTATAAAAGATCAGAGATAACACAGGTAAATGGAAAACCATTCCATGCCCATATATTGAAAGATTCAATATAATTAAAATGGCCATACCACCCAAAGCAATTTACAGATTCAACGCTATTTCTATCAAACCATCAACATCATTCTTCACAGAAGTTGAAAAAAATTCTAAAATGTATTTGGAACTTAAAAAAAGAGCCCCAACTAGCCAAAGCCAACCTAAGCCAAAAGACAAAGATGTAGACATCACACTACCCAAATTTTGAACTATAATATGAAGCGACAGTAACCAAAACAGCATGGTACTGTAACAAAGACCAACAAAAAGACCAATGGAACAGAACAGAAAACTCAGAAATAAAGCCAGACACGTACTACCATCTGTTATTTGACAAGGCCAACAAAAGTAAGTAATGGGAAAGGGCTTCCTATTCAATAAATGGTGCTGGAGTAACTGGCTACCGACATGCTGAAGACTGAGGGTGGACACCTATACTTCACCATGTGCAAAAAGTAACTCAAGGCCAGGTATGATGGCTTATACCTGTAATCCCAACACTTTGGGAGGCCAAGGTGGGAGGACTGCTTGAGCCCAGAAGCTTGAGATCAGCCTGGTCAACACAGTGAGACTTTGTCTCTAAAAAAAAAATTTAAAAATATTAAAAAAGTATAATAGCTACTAATGTAAAAAATAACAACTTTGTAAAAATTTCTTATTTTATAAAACTTTTATTGTGATAGCTCCCAGCTACTAGGGAGGCTGAAGTGTGAGGGGTGTTTGAGCTCAGAAGTTCTAGGCTGCAATAAGGTGAGTCATGACTGTGCTACTGCACGCCAGAATGTGTGACAGAGAAATCGTGTCTCAAAAGAAATTAACTTGGAATGAACCAAAGATTTATTTAAACATAAAACCTCAAACTACAGTAATCCTAGGGAAACAGTCTTCTCGACAGTGGCCTTGGCAAATAATTTTTGGCTAAGCCCCCAAGAGGAAATGCAACAAAAATAGGTAAGTGGGACCTAATTAAGTGAAAGAGCTTCCCACAGCAAAAGAAACTGTCAACAGAATAAACAACCTATAGAATGGAGAAGATATTTGCTATACATCTGATAAAATCCTGACATTCACAATCTACAGCAAACTTATACAAATCAACAAACAAAAAACAATCACTCCATTAAAAATGGGCAAAGGACATCAGTAGACACTCCTCTTAAAAATATATACAAGTGGCCAACAAGCATATAAAAAGATCATGTCCTTTGCTAAGACATGGATGGAGCTGGAGGCCATTATTCTTAGCAAAATAACACAGGAACAGAAAACCAAACACTGCATGTTCTCTCTTATGAGTAGGGGCTAAATGATGAGAGAATACACAGACACATAAGGGACTTTTGGAGTTTGGAGGGTGGGGGGAGAGACACGATCAGGAAAAATAACTAATGGGTACTAGGCTTAATACCTGGGTGATAAAATAACCTGTACAACAAATCCCCATGACACAAGTTTACCTATGTAATAAAACTACACTTGTACCCCTGAACTTAAAATAAAAGCTTATCCACAATGATCAAGTCAGCTTCATCCCTGGGATACAAGACTGGTTCAACATACACAAATCAATAAACACAATCCATCACGTAAGCAGAACCAATGACAAAAACCACATGATTATCTCAATAGATTCAGAAAAGGCCTTCAACAAAATTCAATAGTCCTTCCTGCTAAAAACTCTCAATAAATTAGGTATTGATGGAACATTATCTCAAAATAATAACAGCTATTTATGACAAACCCACAGCCAATGTCATACTGAATGGGCAAAAACTGGAAGCATTCCTTCTGAAAACTGGCATAAGACAAGGATGCCCTCTCTCACTACTCTTATTCAACACAGTATTGGAAGTTCTGGCCAGGGCAATCAAGCAAGAGAAAGAAATAAACAATATTCAATTAGGAAAAGAGGAAGTCAAATTGTCTCTGTTTGCAGATGACATGGTTATATATTTAGAAAACCCCATCGTCTCAGCCCAAAATCTCCTTAAGCTGATAAGCAACTTTATCAGGATACAAAATCAATGTGCCAAAATCACAAGCATCCCTATACACCAATAACAGACAAAGAGAGAGTCAAATCATGAGTGAACTCCCATTCACTATTGCTACAAAGATAATAAAATACCTAAGAATACAACTTACAAGGGATATGAAAGACCTACTCAAGGAGGACTACAAAGCACTGCTCAAGGAAATCAGAGAGGACACAAACAAATGGAGAAACATTCCATGCTCATGAATAGGAAGAATCAATATCGTGAAAATGGCCATACTGCCCAAAGTAACTTACAGATTCAATGCTATACCCATCAAGCTACCACTGACTTTCTTCACAAAACTGGAACAAACTACTTTCAATTTCATACAGAATGAAAAAAGAGCCTGCATAGCCAAGAGACAATCCAAAGCCAAAAGAACAAAGCTGGAGACATCAAGCTACCTGACTTCAAACTATAGTACAAGGCAACAGCAAGAAAAACAGCATGGTACTGGTACCAAAACAGATATACAGACCAACTGAACAGAAGAGAGGCCTCAGAAATAACACCACCCATCAACAACCATCTGATATTTAATACACCTGACACAAACAAGCAATGGGCTTAATAAATGGTGTTGGGAAAACTGGCTAGCCATATGCAGAAAGCTAAAACTTGATCCCTTCCTTACACCTTATACAAAAATTAACTCAAGATGGTTTAAAGAATTAAACATGAGACCTAAAACCATAAAAACCCTAGAAGAAAACCTAGGCAATACCATTCAGGACATAGGCATGGACAAAGACTTCATGTCTAAAACACCAAAAGCAATGTCAACAAAAGCCAAAATTAACAAATGGGATCTAATTAAACTAAAGAGTTTGTGCACAGCAAAAGAAACTATCATCAGGGTGACAGGCCAGGAACCTACAGAATGGGAGAAAATTTTTGTTATCTATCCATCCGATAAAGGGCTAATATCAAGAATCTACAAAGAACTTAAACAACTTTACAAGAATAAAAAAAAAAACATGAAAAAGTGACCGAAAGATATGAACAGACACTTCTCAAAAGAAGACATTTATGCAGCCAACAAATATATTTCAAAAGAGCTCATCATCACTGGTCATTAGGGAAATGCAAATCAAAACCACAATGAAATACCATCTTACGGCAGTTAGAATGGCAATCATTAAAAAGTCAGGAAACAACAGATGCTGGAGAGGATGTGGACAAACAACACTTTTACAATATTGGTGGGAGTATAAATTAGTTCAACCATTGTGGAAGACAATGTGGCGATTCCTCAAGGATCTAGAACTAGAAATACCATTTGACCCAGCAATCCCATTACTGGGTATACACCCAGAGGATTATAAATCATTCTACTATAAAGACACATGCAAATGTATGTTTAATGCAGCACTGTTCACAATAGCAAAGACTTGGAACCAACCCAAATGTCCATCAATGATAGACTGGATTAAAAAAATGTTGCACATATACACCATGGAATACTTTGCAATCATAAAAAAGGATGAGTTCATGACCTTTGCAGGGACATGGATGAAGCTGGTAATAGCATTCTCAGCAAACTAACACAAGAACAGAAGAACAAACACCGTATGTGCTCACTCCTAAGTGGGAGTTAAACAATGAGAACACATAGACACAGGGCAGGGAACATCTGTCTGTCAGGGCTGGGGGGCCTGTCAGGGCTGGGGGACTAGGGGAGGGACAGCATTAGGGAAAATACCTAAGGTAGGTAGATCACAGATTGATGAGTGCAGCAAACCACCATGGCACATGCATACCTATGTAACAAACCTGCACATTCTGCACATGCACCCAGAACTTAATGTATAATTAAAAAATAAATAAATAAACTACAGAATAATAGGAGAATTTTTGGTCAAATAAAAGGCCATATTATATTTCTTTTGATAAAAGTATCATGTGTTCAGTATGTTTTATTATTTGAAATAATTAACATGACAGGAATATATTTGAAAAAAATTCCAAAAAAAGCTAAATATACAAACTAAGAAAATTATATGATTATACTTATCTGCAGTATTGTAAAACAATAGTTCCAAAAACTTCTGAATTACAAGTTTAATACATACAACTTCAATTTTCAACTACATTGTGGTTAGACGTTCAGAGGAATCACAAAGGACCTCAACATGCTAGATAAGAAAATGTATTTTTTAAATGTTTTGGCTCAGCTGCTTAGAAAATAAGGAAAATCCTCAGAGAATAACACTAAGAAATAACATGTACAAATTAAAGTTCTGAAACTGATGACAATTCGGGTCAACCATAAAAGAGAAAATTTGGAGCTTCCAAAGAAGGTCATATTAGGGTCTTTAACTTACAACGTGACAGTACTATTATCCTTTTAGCTATAAAACTGAAGGAGGTGAAAAACATCCTGAAGAAACAGATATTAAATACTTTCCTTATCTTGGTACTGTTTCCACAAGAAGAAAAGGAAAGATACTCCTAAGAGTTCTTATCTATCAGCCATCCACACAAGAATTCATATTTACTTGAAAACACAACTATTCACATTTACTTGGAAATGTGAAGCTAAAAATTTTTTATCGTCTTAAGGGAATCCTTAACATTAAACAGAAACAGTCTATTCTGTAGCTGGACATTAAAATCTAGGTTTCTGAAAAAATTCCCATACATGTTGTTCAAAGAAATACAAGTTCATCAGAAAACAAAAACAACAGCAACGAAAAACACTAATTAAATCAAAGCCATAAAATATGGAGCGGGGGTTGTAAAATGAGTAAAAATTTGTTGAGAAAACATCAAGCTATAATTAGTTCTCAGAATATGCTATAATAACTAGGTGTTGAAGATAAAATCAGTTTAATTTAAATAAGAGGATAAAAGAAGTATGAGCAGAAAAAGGTTTTCAATATTAACTAGGAAAGTCTGAAAAATAATCAGAAATTCTAAAGATAAAAACATAACATTAAAAATTATAAACTAAGTTGTTTAATAGATTAGGTATTTTAAAAACTGGTACATTTTTAAGTTGCTTTAAGTAAGTTACTTAAAAGACAACAGCAGCAAAAGAATTAAAAAAAAATGAAAGGTGAAGAAACACATACAAGAGAACCTTAGAACAGTAAGGTTCTAGCTAACAGGAGAAATAAATTACAGACTGTAAAAGTTGATGACCAAGAATTTTTCAGAAGTGGTAAAAGCTGAATTCTCAAGTTTGAGAATTCCTATCTATTCCCAGAAATATTAAGTAAAAAGTCACATTCCACACATCAAGAAAACTTGCAAGACACTAAAAGAGATATTATAGCAGTCAAATAGAAAAAGCAAAATAGACTACTACAAATTAATGTAAGATTCAGAATTGACTTGTCAAAAGCCAAAACAGATTTCTAATGTACTGTGAAAAGACAATTATCAAACCACATCCGTATATATACAGAGAAATACCTTTATAAGAATAAAAATTCACAAATGCCTCTGTTCAATAAATGTCTTTTTTTCTTTTTTCTTTTCTGGGCAGAGATTCACGCTGTCACCCAGGCTGGACTGCAATGGTGCGATCTCGGCTCACTGCAAGCTCTGCCTCCCAAGTTCATGCCACTCTTCCACCTCAGCCTCCCTAACAGCTGTGACTACAGGTGCCCGCCACCACGCCTGGCTAATTTTTTGTATTTTTAATAGAGACATGGTTTCACTGTGTTAGCCAGGATGGTCTTGATTTCCTGACCTCGTGATCCACCTGCCTCGGCCTCCCAAAGTGCTGAGATTACAGGCGTGAGCCACTGCGCCTGGGCTTTTTAAGAAATTTCTAAAGAATTTACTTCAGCAACAAAGAAAATGGTTGCAAGAATTTCAAATAATCAAAAGAAAAAATCATGTGTGGATAAATCTATATGCAGTATAAAAACAAAAACAGCATCCATTTTGTTGAGCAAAAAGCTTTAAAAACATGCACAAAAATTTTATAGGTCAGAAGAGAACTGAAGAGTAAGTTATATAGTCTAATATTACTTGGGAGAAGTAAAAAAAAAATTAAATGTTAGGTTATATGTAAAATAAAGTATTAGGCCGGGTACCGTGGCTCACGCCTGTAATCCCAGCACTTTGGGAGGCCCAGGTGGGTGGATCACCTGGGGTCAGGAGTTCGAGACCAGCCTGGCTAACATGGCGAAACCCCATCTCCACTAAAAATACACAAAATTAGCTGGGCGTGGTGGTGGACGCCTGTAATCCCAGCTACTTGGGAGGCTGAGAGGCAGGAGAATTGCTTGAACCTGGGAGGTGGAGGTTGCAGTGAGGGAAGATCATGCCACTGCACTCCAGCCTGGGCAACACAGCGAGACTGCGTCTCAAAAAAAAATAAATAAATAAAATGAAATAAAATAAAATAGTATTAAAACTAGCATACAAAAGTTGCTAAACTTACAAGTGGCTAAAATGGAATAAGAAAGGCAAAAAAAAGATAACAGAAAAGGCAGCAGAAACTAAGTTCAAAATAAGATAGCAAAAAATGGATGCAATCATCAGTCACAATAAATGAAAATTAACTAATTAAAAAATAAAAACTCACTGGATTAAAAAAATCAATTCTGCATTAGTTACAAGTTAAACATTTAAAGCCTATGTATACAGAAAGATAAACTAGATCTAAGATCCAAAGGAAACTAGCAGGAACGGGACTGAGGGGCAGTATAGAGACCAAAGTATTTATTTGTTTTATAAAAGTTAAAAAATTAATACCAGTACAAATTCATTATGAAAGGGGTTAATACAAATATTCTGCATATACTCAAATATCTATACACATATATATGTATTAGTTAAGCATAAATGGTGTGTCCAATAATTTAGCAGATGGGATAATCTGATGCTCTTAAAGGCTTGCCATTGGAATAAGCTAATGGAAAGTGTTTGACCTTAGTAATCAATGAAATAGTGCTACGTGGGAACATATCATACCCACAAAAGTAGGTAACAGTATGAAGTGCTCTGTTAAACATATGGATGACCAGTTCTCTCATTAGTTTCAGTGTAACCTGTCAGAATCCTTTTGTAAAACAATTCAGAGTATCGTTCAATTCCACTTCTAAACATAGAACCTAGAAACTGTTGTTTCAGGAGACCTGTAAAACAATGCTCATACACTGTTAGTAACAGCTAAACACCAGAAGCAATCCACAGAAAGAAAGATAAATGAGATGTAATCCCAGCATGCAATATTATATAATAGTGAAAAAACAGATAATTTAAAGCTATGAGCAACAATATAAATGAATTTTCCTAACACAATACTGACAGAACAAGTCAGAGAACACACAACGTAACATTAGCAAAGCTTGAAAATTAATATTCTTTTTAAAAATACATACATATGTAATCAAACACTACACTTTTTTTTATTATGACAAACCCATGACGGTGGAACATTTAGGTGTTAGTGGAGAGAAAGAGGGAGGTATGACTTGCAGAAAAGCCTGTGGAGAGATATTATCTCACAAAACTTCAATTCTTATGTTCAAAAGTTAGCTCAGGGATATTACTTAATACCATGCTTTATACCGACAAAAGGACTTGTCTATGGCTTCAAAATACAATTTGTTTTTTGGTTGTTTCAAAAAGGGAATTAGAAACAGACCAAAGTTACCAATGGAGGCTATAGGTGATTGCCTTCCAATTACTTAATTTATAGTTTCAATCCCTCAGTAATTTTAACTTACTTCTATTTTAAGAACTATAACCAAACTATCTGTAAGACTTTTAAGCACTATCATACTCAGCTACACATCTCTTAACAAAAGAGGTAAATTTTGTCCTTTTTTGAACGTCATAGAGTATACTCACACAAACCAAGAAGAAACAATCTACTACATACCTACGCTATATGGTATATAACTATTGCTCCTAGGCTACAAATTAGTGCGACACTATTGTACTGAATATTATAGGCCATGTAACACAATGGTTTAAGTATCTGTGCCTCTAAACACAGAAAAGATATAGTGAAAGTACAGTATTGCTCCTTTATTAAACTCAAAATGTTATGCAGCATATGACCGACTATAAAATAGCGCTTATCCAGATACAGACATCTCCATGAACAAACAGTATATATACAGAAAAATCAGAGTAAGACTTCCTAAAAATGTTAGTCACAGCTATTAGCTAAGTTTATCCTCAAACCACTATTTTTTCTGTCTGGATCAACCCTCTTGTAAGACTAATCTATATACAATGCCAAATACTAATTCTTTTGGTTCTGGCCAACATGGTAAAACAGGAAATAGAATTAATTTCTCAAATGTTCAAATAATGCATAAGGACGGCTACATTTTAGCTTTCTCTCCCCAAATTATGTTACTTCAGGCATTATTTTTTTTGGTTCTCCACTACAGGAGAAATGTAAATGTGATGAGTCAGAATTTAGGATGGCTGTATGGGTTTCTTTGACTAATACAAGAAATCACTTTGTAATGAATGAAATCAGTGGTTTCTGCATTACTCCGTATGTTCGACATGAACACAAATTGATACACTTAACAAAGATACTTCTTTCCGCCCTTCCAAATATTTCAAAATAAGCTGGTCATAGTACTTGCTTTTCATAAAAAGATGGTAAGCTTCCAATATTTAGATTTAAGGAAAGGTGAAGGAACACTATAGCTCTTCATTGATAATATCAAGATTTATACTGTTCCTTTTATCTATCTCCATCAGAGTTTCAAGAGAAAAAAAATACGATGACTGTCCATATTCCGGTTCACTGACAGATCATGAACCAGTATCATCAAACCTCATTATTATCCGAAATATGTGAAGACAACACTGTGTGGGAGAACCTAGGAAAGTAATTTTACATGCTAAAATGAGTTTCCCTAGTTAATGTTAACATGAACTACCAACCGTATTACCTTCTCCTCAGGAGATAAGTTTTGTTTGCTATTGCTGACAGGAAAGCCACTGCCAAATTCTTTGGAATGAATATCAGCTCCATATTCAACTGTCACGTCTTCCTCAATGCTGCTCACCAGCCTCCAGAATTCCTTCTCTACAAGTTCTGTAGGCACCATCTGTGAAAACACATGTAAAAGGTTATCATAGCCCACTATACTTTGGACTCATGTCTCCATGAGAACTAAGACTACCACAACAGAATCCCTATAGTCCAGCCCTCAGATCACATACATGTACAGGCATGTTGAAGTAGTCGGACTTGAAGGAATCAGCCATTTCACCAAAACTCTGCAAACTGTACTCCTGGGTAGCCTGTTCAAATCCAAAAGCTTCAGGAGGCTGTTTACACTCCTGAAATAAAATATATTTCAGCAAGACAAAGGGAATAAAGATCCAAAAAAACAGGAGAGCTAAGGGGAGATAAATTTTTCATGTTACATTCAATATCTCATGCAATAATTCTGCATTTTCATATGTTTCCAGGTAGGTTTGTTTCTTCAGTAGGTATTAAACATTATTTTATAATCTTTCCTTACATGCTTCATGCCATTTGAATTATAGTCCCTTGCCTCTGGTTCAGTCAAGTCTCTATCATTCTAGAGTTAGTGTGTTCAATCGTTCTTGTATAGTAGCTCACTGATAGCTTAATCAAAACCTAACACAAATATTAACTTATAAAAGGGCAGAAACTACCTTCCCAAAACCCAGAAGGGGAGATTACAGAAAATCACCAACCAAAAATAAAGCATCTGTGACAGACAGATCTTACCGCCAAGATACATTTTGGGCACCTCCAGATGCCTCTGGGGATTTCAGGAAGGGGTGGTAACAAGCAGAAGATGTGGTAATTGTCATCACAGCCATCACAGAAAAGAAGCTTATCATCTTCATCCCCACGGGAGCATACTTGGCAAATATATGAGTCAATCTACCAAAAAAAAAAAAAAAGTAAAAAATTTAGCTGCTTGTTCCCTGACACCTTATCGCAGGTTTCTAGACCATTCATGAACATCTATCATTAGTCAATAACTATACAGTGTTGTATTTATGAGCTTACTACCTAGTGCAAACTATGACAGGAAATAATTACACTATAATACAGTAAGTTAATAAAGAAACCATGGGGGCAAAGTAGACTTTTTATAGAGGTTCAACGGCGTAAACAAAAATCATAAAGGTATAAAGCAGCATAGATCAGAGAATTACATAGTTAAAAATTTATCTGGCACAGAGGGCAAGTTGAACATAAAAAGGTCAAGTGACCGAATATCCAGTTATAGTTGTTCCTCTGTTGAAAAGTTTGATAGACATATACTTTCATTATAAAGGGTTATCTTAGATTAGATGATGAATTATAAATAGTCACTCAAGTAGTATGTCACAGAAGAGAAACATGAAGCAAAGGCTAAATAACTTGATTCTTACATACTATTGAAAAAAATCTAGTAATAATTACCAGTTTAAAAAGAAAACGCAGTGGTAAGATTTTTAGCAGGGTACACTTACATTTTGAAAAAATTACCTTCAATAAGTAGGATGGGCTTTTCTACAAGAATCTAGAAGTAAACTGATCAATAAAGAGAAAATTTTAAAGATAACTCAAGAGCAGAAGAAACTGTGTGAAAATATAAATATATTTTTAAATATATATACACACAAACATACACACACAAATTATATGTGTATATATACATATATACATGCATATATACACATACATATGCACGCATATACACACATGCATATGACAAATCAGAATATTTATAAACATAAGAGGCCAGGTGCGGTGGCTCAAGCTTGTAATCCCAGCACTTTGAGAGGCCAAGGTGGGCAGATTGCTTGAGCTCAGGAGTTCACGACCAGCCTGGACAACAAGGTCAAACCTCATCTCTACTAAAATAAAAAAAAAAAACTAGCAGGGTGTGGCGGCTTGCACCTATAGACCCAGCTACTTGGGAGGCTGAGGCAGAAGAATTGCTTGAACCCTGGAAGCGGAGGTTGCAGTGAGCTGAGAGCGCACCAGTGCAGTCCAGCCTGGGCGAGAGCGAGATTCCATCTCAGAAAAAAAGAAAAAAATTCAACAGAATTATCAGGAAAAGGTTTCATAAAATAAAAATCTTTTAAACTTATGAAAGATGCTCAATATAAAAAACTGTAAACCAGGGAAATGCAAATAAAAATTACAATGAAATACTACACACCTCCCAGAATGGCTAAAATGAAAACAAAACTGTCAATTCTAAGTGTTAGTGAGGACATGTGGTAACCAGAACTGGCATCCAATACTAGCTGATAAACTCGTCAATCATTTGTAAAAACAGTCTGACAATAATCCACTAGTGAAAATATACATAGTCTCAGTCACAGCAATTCTATCCTGTCTATCTAGGTAACAGAAATGTCTACATACGTTACCTAGAAACATATACTTTAATATCCACAGAATTACTTGAAATAGCCAAAAATTGGTAACTACCAAAAGTTGAATGGTAAAACAGATAGAAAAAAAGCTATGCCTAACAAAACTACACTTAATAGAACACAAGCGTGAGCATTAATAGAACCATATAAATGCATTTTTTGAACCACTAAAAGAAGAAGCCAATACAAAAGAGGTGATTAATTGAAAGTACACGAACAAGTAAAAGTAATCCAGATATTTTTGTGTATGGGTGATACACAGAAATAAAAACAAAAGCAATGGAATGAAGTTAACTACTAGCTGTAAGGGTTAGAAAGTAGTGATCAATGACTCCTACACTTCCAGACTGATGACAGCTCTACCTTGTGTCTATAAAATGCAAAACAGTGAGACAAGTGGGAACAGGACAGTGGTAGTAAACATGATCTCCCAATCATCAGGTGGAAATGACTAAGAGAAACACAGGAATTTGCAGCTCAAAACAGAAGTCTGTTTGAGAACAAAATTTCTGGAAACATCATTTACATAAAGGAAAGGCAAACAAAAATTATCAAAACAGGGTGAGATTAGCTAAAGAGTAAGGAGGAAGGTAGGAATTTTTGTCTTTTTTTTTTTCTTGTAGTGCAGACTTAAATATGTAAGACATTATAAAAATCTTCCAAGTGAGATGTAGAAAGAATAAAAGAAGATGTAAACATACAAGGGACAAAAGTAAAAGAAGATAATAGAAAACTGTCACTACTATATGAAATGTGATGATTTGAGAGTCTGGAGGAATTTGCCAAAAACAAATAAACAGCTCTTTAACATAATTTATATTGGATCACATTATCTCCTATATTAAGCTGTAAAAGTTCAGAAAATGCTAATAGAGTTGAAAAACAGAGTATAGTTTGGTGAAAAGTTCTATCTAAAAAGACATAAAAATTTTGCTTTTGACTTTAGCTATCTTGAAAACATTTCCTCCCATTTCTAGCCACCCGTCTCTTCAGATAAAAGGGCTCATAAATAAGAAGAAAGAAGGAAGAAAAAAAGAAAAGTATGATGAATTCATTTTAGGTTCAATATAATCTTGACGGTTCAAAGTAGAATATTACAAAATCATGAGTCCTTACAAACTGGGCACTGCTGTGATTCTTTCGAAGTTGCATGGTTGTCTTAGTGCAGGGCTCTAGGCTCAAGTGCTGCTTGAGCAATGTTGATGACACGTTCCCACCTCCACTTTGCTCATCCTTCACCGTAACAGTTGGGGGGCATGTGACTAGGGAAGTAAAAAACAACTATGAAACCAATCCTCTCCTGCATCAAGATTACCAAACTATTTCTCCCATGAAACTTTACTATTTTACCCCTCACACTTCCCCAATCTGTTAAAGTTCCTCACCTTTCTTATGCACAGTCTTATCCTTATCCTTAGCCATAAGGCCCAAGCCCATCATTTTGGGACCTGGCCCATATATCTGTAACTTCTTTAGCTCTGGATGCTTCTCAATGTCCTCCTCTGTAGGCTCTGGCTGTTTTAAAAAAGATTCAAACAACGAAGTTAGCTTTACTTATGCAGGTATAAATACTTTATAGGCAAGGTCTGGACAAGTCAGATGGGCTAAAATCAACTAACATCCTTTATCCATTTTTGAATGTTTATTAACCACATTTTTACTGTGAGTGTGGTATGGCCAGGTAGGAGCAAATGGATAAATTTGGAAAGTAATGAATTTCCTCAACTTTTTTCATGTTATGAAAAAAATGACAAAATAATCCAAGGCTTCCAAGGCTAGTGAAGCTTAAATGTCAGAAATTTATACCTTACAACAGAGAATTTTGTAATTAAAAATAAGCCCCCCTCTCCAACTGAGTTCAAGATGGAAACAGTTAAGACAGGAAAAATTCTATTCCATTTAAACTCATATCATTAGAATCATAACTGCTTTCAGACCACAATATAATCACAAACCTGGGAAAATGGAAACTCATTAAGTATCAAAATACAAATCATATGCCACATATATTATATACCATTTTCAGCACTTGTCTCTTCTTAGAGGACACTGTAAAATATATTTTATCATTGTTTAAAATAATTTGTTATATTTTGAAATTAAGCTCTATTACATTTTCCGTTTATTTTAAAGCTTTATTCTTACAAATTTTCTATACAGAGGTAAGTTTTCTTCTATTTACATATATAAACATACATGTATACACAGAGAGACACAGTAACATATTTTATGCTTTTTTTTTATTCCCACGGCAATTTCTGGAAGCAGAAACGTATATTGCATTACGTCTATGAGAATACATTGCTTATTATAATACTATTCCAGCAATCATTTAACTAACTTTTTAATTATACAACATTGAGGCTGTTTCCCACTTTTTGACATTCTGAAGAGCTAAGTAACTAACTGTATTAATCTAATTTTTATTTTATATACCTTATATGGTTTTGACATTTCTGGGGTACCTTGTGGGCTAGGGAGACCAGCTCTTTCAGAGCTGGCTAAACTAAACTATACCTTTACCATATAAACCAAACAATCCCGAGTCCAAACCTCTAACTATTTCCTTTATTTAACTATCATATAGAACCAGTATTTCCCCTTCTGTAAACCAACTCAGAGCCATGTACCAAAAACCTACCGGCATCCACTATGCCTCACAGATCCCTGGAATTATTCTAACAAACTAGCCAATTCTGACATTTGATTGCCCTGCCTTGCC
Source organism: Homo sapiens (assembly GCF_000001405.40). Classification (NCBI taxonomy): domain Eukaryota; kingdom Metazoa; phylum Chordata; class Mammalia; order Primates; family Hominidae; genus Homo; species Homo sapiens. The sequence goes on from NC_000024.10 coordinate 19,736,958, forward strand.
TGTCTCACAGAAATACCAATAAAGGCTGTGACCTGTGCCTTTCACCTTACCTTTTACCTCCTGACTGATTACTGTGGCTCTGTGGGGTATGTTGTACATCTCATTTGGAAATAAACAGTCAGCAACACTAAACTTTTAGCATTGACCTCTCCATCTCACCATTACTGAATCATGTCTATAAATTAAGACTCGGGCACAAATCATTAGTACCTATGTACTTGCTGCATTATTCTTCTCAAAAGACAATTAACAGAAGTTAAGCAGGAGGATGTAAACATTTAAAATTTTAGTAACTTCAAATTTTAATTTTAATACAACCCTTCACTACTACAAAGAGTGCACACAATGCCTAGTTCCTCATATCCTTGACACATTTTGGCCATTTCCTAACCAGTTATGTGAAAGGGATATGTGGTTACTTCATATTTTCAATGTATAAGTGAGGTTAAACACTTTTGATTTATTATTCATCAGGGTTGCTGGAAAAGGAAACCTGAAAATAAGCTATGATAAAAAAGAAAAGATTCAATCAGTTTCGTGCTTCTACAACTTTTAAGCACAATATATAATTTTATACACAAAATATTGTATTATGTACATTATAGATTTTACATTAATGTTACATAGGTTGTTTCTAACCATTAAATACTTTTTAAAAGAGCTGGTATTTGCTTGTTTTAGAATAAAGTAATACCATACTACTCTACATTTCGGACAGTCTACTACCCATTCTTGAATTACAAACACACATAAAATAGAAAAGATGTGTTAGTCCTTATTTCTCCTTTCTTGCTTTATGCAGAATTTGTAACTTTTTTTTTCTTTATATTTTGGAAGTACTGTCGATTTTTGTACACTGTACAGTTTTAAATTTTGTTTTGTTTTTGACAGAGTCTTGCTCAGTCACCCAGGCTGGAGTGCAGTGGCATGATCTTGGCTCACTGCAATCTCTGTCTTCCAGGCTCAAGTGATTCTCATGTCTCAGCCTCCTGAGAAGCTAGGATTACAATTGCCTGCGACCACACCCAACTAATTTTCATATTGTTAGTAGAGATGGGGTTTCACCACATGGGTCAGGCTGTTCTCGAACTGCAGACCTCAGGTAATCCACCCAACCCAGCCTCCTAAAATTCTGGGATTACAGGCATGAGCCACTGTGCCTGGCCCAACAATTTTTAAAACCTTTCCTGCAAAATGGACAATGAACTCTCCCTGCCAAAAAAGTGTCTAAGGATCCATTTTATCTGGAAAAATGTTTAGACCTTTTACTGGTATTTACAACTTGAAACAAATTTTACTGGTTTCCTAGTTATTACATGTTCATTTTTCTTATTCAGTTTCTTCCAGACATAATTCTTACTATAAAGAACTAAAGTACTAATACAGAATCCATCTGCATTTCAATAATCTTAACTAGATAAAATTTCTCACTTTGGTCTAATTTCTAATATTACAATATCTCAAAATTTAAATATTGTTAGAATTATCCAGAAAACACCTAAAGATAACACAGCATTGCCTTATTTAAGGTATTTCAGAAATAAAAACATCCAAATCTTATGAAAATGTTGCATATGGAGCAGTGAAAACACACTTATATAAAAGTTATTAAAAATATATTGTTTGTATTTTCATTTTCTGAATATTATGATGTTTTAACATCTTAAATCTTTCTGGTTATGACAGATTGTCCTCCCAGGGTTAGCTACTCCTACAAATACCAAATGGCTCACCCAGGAGTATGACTTTAATGTGTCTTTAATATGTTCACTGACAAATCCAAAGCTAATCCTTATCTATTCAGCCCATACAATTCATGAGGCAAAGTTCCTCTGCTTTAATTCTAGGGTCAGGCAACTAGGGAATACTGCTGTAGCCTAGAGCCTGCCAAAATTATTCAAACTAGCCAATCCCATACTTCTTATCCTGCTCTGTCTTGCCTTTCCCTTGGTAAACCCAATATAGGCTATGGCCTAGGTGCTTTTCTTATTCCTGCTTCTTCTGCATATCCAAGATAGGTTTTCCTCTCTAGCACTGTGTAGCATATAGTGACTACCTCTCTAAGGCCTGTGATAATAATAAACTTTGCTTTCCTGAGTCTCTGTGGTCACACCTACTGACCATCACATGGAAGACCATAGAATAGAACAAACAGTTAACAATAACTGATTTGTACAGTGTGCTTTGCAAAAATCGTTCCAAGATTCACAGAAATTAACAATACCTTATAACCGGGCATGATGGCTAACCTCTGTAACCCCAGCTACTCCAAAGGCTGTAGAGGGAGAATCACTTAAGCCTAGGAGTTCGAGAATAGCCTAGCAACACAGCAAGACCCCATCACTTAAAACAATAGCAATATGTTTTAAAATTTATAAAAGCAAAACTACAAAGACAAAATATTATAAACCAGACCTATGAACAAAATAATTAATAATTCATTTCAATTAATTTTATCCTGAACCAGACATATGTAAAACAATGCATTCAGCAATGAATTTTCCCCAATATCAAGGTCTAGATGAACCTTCTCAGCTATAGGAAGAATAACAGGAGTAACAGTCACTCACATCAGGCTGTAGCCTTTTTGCCCGTCGACTGTAGCTGCTGAACTTTGAAGGCTGCACAGACTGTCTAAGGGGGATGCTGTGGGGCTTGTATTCCTTATCTTTTACCTCATTGTCAAACGGGTGTGTGTTACATTGCTAGAGAGAAAAAAATATATAGAATCAGAAATTGAGTCATATTTGTAATAAGTGATTCCTTCATTTACAACTCTAGCAAATAAAGCTGTAGTTCTTTCTAAATTACACAGGTCCACTCCTCTTGTTCTTTGGATAGAGCACATATCCTGACAATTTTCGTGCCTCTGCTTATGAATGAGCATCACAGAATATGAAAGAACATGGTCTTTGGACTGTATTGATATCAATCTGGGTTTTTACTCTTATTCTCTGTGTGCTTTCAGCAAACATACTGAACTTCTCTCTTTGTGCTTCAATTTCCTGGATGAAAAACAAGTAATAAAAATACTCAATCTGGGTGTGGTGGCTTAAGCCTATAATTCCAGAACTTTGGGAGGTCGAGGCAGGTGGATCATGGGGTCAAGAGATCAAGACCATTCTGGCCAAATGGTGAAACCCTGTCTCGGTAAAATACAAAAGTTAGTAGAGCCTGGGTGACAGAGTGAGACTGTCTCAAAAAACAAAACAAAACAAAAATACTGAATCTTTAGAATTATGTACGCTAAGTGAAACATGTTTATAAACATAAATACACAGTTTTTATAAAATATTTTAAAGTTTTACGGATAATAAAACCTAAAAACTGGCCAGTCGTGGTGGCTCATGCCTGTAATCCCAACACTTTGGAAGGCTGAGTCAGGTAGATCACGAGGTCAAAGGATCGAGACTATCCTGGCCAACATGGTGAAACCCCATCTCTACGAAAAATACAAAAATGAGTGGGCATAGTCACGCGCCTGTAGCCCCAGCTACTCAGGAGGCTGAGGCAGGAGAATCACTTCAATCCAGGAGGTGGAGGCCGCCTGGCCAGAGTGATAAGCTGCCTCAAAAACAAAACAAACAAACAAACAAACAAAAACAATTAACTTATTATGTAAAATTACCCTGCTAAATCAGTTTCCACACCCTGAGTTAAACCCAAGTCACACCAAGCTTTTAACCTAAACTATCTTCAAGTGAACCAGCCTCATGAAAGCTTAGGAACACCATTATCTTTTTCAGCCAGGCATGGTGGCTCCCGTCTGTAATCCCAGCACTTTGGGAGGCCGAGGCAGGCAGATCACAAGGTTAGGAGATCAAGACCATCCTAGCTAACATGGTGAAACCATGTCTCTACTAAAAACACAAAAAAATTAGCCAGGCGTGGTGGCAGGCCCCTGTAGTCCCAGCTACTTGGGAGGCTGAAGCAGAAGAATGGCGTGAACCCGGGAGGAGCTTGTAGTGAGCCAAGATCCTGCCACTGCACTCCAGCCTGGGCAACACAGCAACACTCCATTTCAAAAAAAAAGATTATCTTTTTCATGTAAGATACTTAAAATAGGAAATGGTTTCCTCTAACTTCTAGTTTAAGATCTTCTCCATAAAAAGATCTTAGTAAACATCAACCTCATAAGATAGAAAGGTTACTCTAGTTCTTACTTATGTATAGCAGGAATAAAACTATGCCACATAAAGAGGCTGCAAAGTATTTTCTAGGGCCAATTCCTGGAACATCTTCACTCTAGAGATTTAGAATCTATAGACCCTGACTACTCAAGAGAAAAGTCCAATCCAAAGAAAAAATACAAAAGAAAACAAAATCACATCAGGCCACAAACCAGTTTAAGGGCCCTCACCACATGGTTGGCTCCAGACTGAAACATTTCATAGGGGTAAATAATGCGTTCGTAATGTGATCGTAGCAGGGAGCCAATGTTTTTGCCTGGTGGGTAGTGGAGACGCTGGGCAACTCGAGCCCACCGACGATCCTTGCAGATGGCTTCATAGCCACCTTCCTCAATCACAATCTGAAAGTATAAGAAACAATATGGATGAACTGTGAACAGACTGGAAAGGGCTACCAACACAACAATGAGACTTGAATATGGGGGGCTGTGCCCTTCCCCCAACACCAATCATTGCAAGACTCAAAGATTACGTCAAGAAACGCTGCCAGGCTCTGTGTTCTTTCCTTTCCTGCCTATTGTTTCTACCACAGAAGATCCTTGAGGCAAGGCTTTTTGTTTTTCCTTTAGAAAGTAGACTACTCTTACCTTACTAAGGCTGTAGAGGTCCAAGATCTTCCGCTCCACATTGGGAATCTTTAAAGAGGAGCCTTGAATTTCCCAGAATTTTGCAATCTGATCCAAATAGTTCAATTTCACTCTAGTTTGGGCCTGGGAAAGAGAGGGCCTTATAAGATTGGCATACTCCTTAACCTGACTTCATCGAGTATGCAGTAAATGAACAAGTATTATTCTATGCTATCTACACTTCTCCACCAACGTGCCGGAGCCCCAGCTTCACTGTCTTATCTCACCAGCGGGGTCCACAAAAAGCTCAAATAAGCTGAGTCTTTAATCTATAAAGAGCTAAGAATGTGCCGTCTTAGGATCAACATCATGTCTAAATTTAAGGAATTATTCTTGGACTTAAAGGTGGCTTGACCAAAAATATGTAGGCTCCAACAGTATTTAGACTCAATATCATCAAGACACTCATTTAGAATGTACTGATATATAATTCAAAGAATTAAAATATTTTTCTAGTTCATGTAAAAGAGCTGGACACAAAACCAGTTTCTGAATCACTGCTTTCTTACTCTAACTCATACACAGCTTCTAGCTACTGATCATAGTCAAAATCCTAAGAGTAAAAGAAAATGACAAATCATTCATATACTTTCTATATTGAATACTAAACTGTGAAGACTGAGTTGACTGCTTTAAAGAGCAAGTTTGCCTCTGACATTTTATTAAAGCAGAACATATGTAATACCATCACTCTGTTGCTGGATATTTAAAAGATCCTATTTCTTGTCTGAACTCTGCTTCTGTTAAAGAACTAAAAAAAATTTAGTCACACTGGGTGCAGGGGCTTACGCCGGTAACCCCAGCACTTTAGGAGGCCAAGGCAGGCTGATCACCTAACGTTTGGAGTTGGAGACCAGCATGACCAAATCGGTGAAACTCCATCTCTACTAAAAATACAAAAATTAGCTGAGCCTGCTGGTGTGCACCTGTAATCCCAGCTACTTGAGAGGCTGAGGCAAGAGAATCCCTTGAACCTGGAAGGTGGAGGTTGCAGTGAGGCGAGATCCCGCCACTGCACTCCAGCCTGGTAGACAGGGTGAGACTCTGTTTCAAAAAAAAAAATTCATTCATTAAATATGTGAGTACGAGAAGACAAAATGGGAAAGGTACTGTCATTTTGATAGTTCTAACCTGAAACTATTGAACAGCGAAACAATGCATCATTCTTCCTCAGATATTTAAAGCCTTTGTGTTCTACCATTTTTGTGGACATAAATTATGTATTTTATAGAAGACTTTCTCCAAAATCAGTATTCTGGAAAATGGTGGAGTTCGGGTTCAAATTCAATACATTAGATTTCAAAACTTAAGTTCTACATTATTATGAAACTACAACGGCAAGATTAAAGATCAGATTCCTTTAAAAAAAGTGTGCCTCCCAATCTTACCTCCAGTTCATTTAGCCTTTGGACGCGAGGAGTAAATCTGAAATTGTCAACTTCTACTGCAAAAGGAGGCTGCCAATCCTAGAAGAAAGTGTAAGGACCTGGTAACTATGGCACAGTAAAGGATGAAGATAGTGAAAACCACAATCATTTGTTCCCACTCTTTTAAAGTCTTCTGGTAACCATTTTTGTACACAAGGGCCTCAAATGATTCCTTCTTCATAATCAAGATTAACTGCAAAAAAAAAAAAAAAAGGAAAAACCCTGCAAATCCAAAACTCTCCTTGATATGTGTCCTTCGTAACAGACGAAAAAAAAAAAAAAAACCTCTATAATCCCAAGGCTAGAAAGCGACTCGACTTCCAAGGAATGACGCACATCTGAACAAACACTATGCTATTTGGGTTATGAGTCCTTACTAAAATGAAGATAAATGTAATGCAGATAAAAAATTGTTTCACTTTTTAAAACCTAAGCCATTATCTCTTCCCACTCCCAGCAGTACGAAAAAGTTTAATTGCAAATGCTGAGAAGTGCGAACATCCACATAAAAATAACGTTGCAGCCTGGTTCAATATATGAGAAAAAAGCTGTATGCTCTGCGAAAACTTTTTGACTTCTCTGAATATTGTGTTAGTTGTTCACGACGACAGCCCAGGCTTATTTCAGTTTACATTCTTAATTCAGTCAAACTTCTACGAGGTTCATTTAGTAGTTTTCAGTATAGCAACCCAAAATGGTCTACGTTTAATAATAAATTTAATTGATGGCAAAGGATGCCACATCACTCCCATTATTTGCTATATTTGCTACATACATCTAAGGTCATATCAAAGAAAGAAAACACCAGTCCAAGTGGTTAACACACAAGCTTATATAACTTGCTTCTGTCATAGATCAAGTACTTCTGAGTAAGCTATTTTTTTGCGGTTAAATGTAATAAAAGCTTGTGTATGCCTAAACTATATTTAATAACAGCAGAACGTAGAAATATTTGAATCTTATATTTTTGTCCCTACAGCAGTCAGATGTTTAGAACCCCGTGGAATGTGGCGATCTGATACTAATATTCTGATGCCAGCTTGTTCGGGTCAGAAAAGTTAAATGAGAAATTTGGTGCTAAGGGTTTCTGGTCATGAGTGTAAATAACGCCTCGCCAAGTGGTAAACTGCCCCAACGTTCAAACCAAAGGCTACCCATTCCCAAATTTTGTTTCAAAGACTTACCGCGGGTGGGCGGATTTTGCAGATGCCAGACTTCTCTGCTATGGGCCTTATTTTCGCAATGTAGCCAAGCGGGTCTTGGAATTCAGCCCAGCTAGGCTCAAAAACCGGGCACTCCGGTGGCGGCAGGAACTCGTCACACCCCGGTTCCATGTCGGGCCTTAATGCTAAGCTGTAAAATAAGAATCACATTGTCTTTAATGACGCGCTGGTTCCTCCTACTAAAAGGCCTATGAAAATTTCATTTTCTTGAGAATTTCAAGGTTACTTTAATCCCGTAGCTGCTTACCAATCGTCAGGGATCCTAGTTTTACAGCCACCATCTTGACCTCCGGGCCCTGCAGTGTGGTACGAGCCGTCTCACTCCGCGGATCGATTTTTCCGGCGCTATTTCCAAACCTGTGAGACCTTCCGCACCTGAGATAAACGCTGAGGACGCAAGAGCGATTTTACCAGAGGAAAACAGTCACAGAGCCGTCGCTGGACTCATATTAAACAGTACTGCGACAGAACGAAAAAGCAAGATAAAAATAGTATGGCCGGATCTTTTTTAAAATGGGACCACTGCGCAAGTTACGCCTGCGTATTGCAGGGAAGGACCGTAAAAGGCTGTGGTGCTGATCAACGAAGGATTTCTCGGAGAAAATTCCTCCTTTGCGGAAATGTCCGTAGAAACGCACCTTTTTTTTTTCCTGCCAGGACAAACCGCCGGCGATATCCGTTCATGTGAAAGTGTTTACTAACATTCTCTGAAGACTCACTGGGTTCTCAGCTCGAGAACGTTCCTGTCACAAGACGTTTAGGAGGCAGGATGCCGGTACAATGTATTTATGTTCTTGTAAACTGTTGCATTAACAGTGCACTTCAAGTGGGCACATTTGTCGTTGGATTTTTTACCAACTCGAGCTTGGACTTTAGGACGGGGAAAAGAAGTGCTAAATGTTTTTGAATAAAACCTTTACTGCACATGATAAACATCCCTTAAAAATTACCTAGGAGCACCCTAAATTTTAAAATGATCACAAAGACCTGGACAGATTACAGTAAACCTTCAACATCGCTAAACACACGTACCATAAATCAAAAGAAACACACTGCTAATGATCCGTTTTTTGATGTGGAAATATCATGCTGTTTTTAAGGGAAATTATACTTTATTGCGATGTTTTATTTCAAAACAAGATGTTACACTTTATTTCCTATAATTTTATTTACAATATTTTACACCCGTTAAGCAAAAATCCCCCTACATTGCTATTCTGTTTTTTTTTAATCAGTTCACTACTGTAGTATCTTTTTGTTCTCCATATATTTTTGAAAAATACGCAAAAGGTAAGTTTTAAAAATCAAATGGTAGATTTTATTTGGAAGGGCACTGCCAGAAGTGCCTTAAAGTTTGATAGTTTGACAATTGTTTCGTATTGTACGATTCTTGGCATTTCCGTTTTTTTTTTTAACAATTTATCCATTTCATCTAGATTATCGGCTTCATGAGTTTATTATACTACATTACATATATATTCCTGTTTCAAAAGTTGTTACTTAATTTTCTGCTTTCTTTTTCCTAGTTTTATCTACATACTTTTTCTGTTTCATAAAGTTAGAGTTATAGAGTTCTATTTCATAAAATTAGTTATAGAGCCTGTATTATTTCAAATGATGAGATCTTTTTTCTCTGTTCAAGATAATTCATTATAATACAGCTTTATATTTTATGAATTCATTAGTAAATAGATATTTCAATTTCTACTTTTAGCTATTATAATGTTGCTATTAGCATTTGTGTACCGGTTTTTGTGTGCATGCTTAGTGTCATTTCTCGTGTGTATACACCTACAAGTAGAATTAGTGGGTTATATGGGAACTTTAGGTTTAAACTTTTCTTTTCCAAAGCATCTTCATCATTTAATTTCCATCTAAAGTGGAATACCGTTCTAGTTTCTTCATGTCCTCACCAATACTATAATTACATGACTTACTGATTTGACCATTACAATGTGTATGAGATCTCATAGAGTTTTGAGTTGGACTTCTTGAATTACTAATGATACAGTAGTGTTGAGCATCTTTTCGTAAGGTTGTTGGCTTGTTCATATGCTTTATATACCTTCTCTGGAGAAATGTCTATTCAAAATTTTTGGCTCTTTTCACATTGGTTTGTCTTTTTTTGTTTAGTTGTAATCTTATCTGATTCTTTTATCAAATATTTGATTTTTATAAAAAATAATTCTGTAAGCTGGCTTTTCTCTTTCCTAATAGTAAACTTTGAACAGAAAGATTTTTAATTTGATCTTTATCCAGTTTGCTTTTTTCTATTGTCACTTGTACTTTCAGTGTTGCCTCTGAGGGGATTTTGTCTAACCCAAAATCACAAGGATGTACTCTTCTCCTCTATTCTAGGACCTTTATAGTATTAGCTTCTACATTAAAGTCTTTGATACATTTTGAGTTAACTTGTGTAAACACTGTGAAGTAATGATCCAACTCAATATTTTTGCGTGTTGCCATCTAGTTGTCCCAGAATTTGTTGGAAACATTATTATTGCTTCATTAATTGTTCTTGGCACTCTTGATAACATTCCGTTGGCCATAAATGTATGGGTTTATTCTTGGACTCTCAATTTCGTTCCATATTTATATGTATGTATATATTCTAATGCCATATTGTTTTTATTGCTGTAGTTTGTGGAAGGTTTGAATTGGGAAAAGTGAGTAATCCCAACTTTCTTCTTGTTTTTTTCGAGACTGTTTGGCTATTATTTGTTTCTTGTATTTTTATTACCTTGCCTGTTTCTACAGAGAAACAAGCTGGGGTTTCAACAGACAAGCAAGCTGGGACTGAGACAGAAATGTTGAATCTACAGACAAATTTAGGAAATATTTCCATCTAAGTTTCCTATACATGGACAAAGCATGTATTTCAATTTATTTAGGTCTTCTTTGGTTTCCTGCAACAAAGTTTTATAGTTTTTGGTATTTTTTGTATATTAGTATTTAGTATGTATTATATATATTTGAAATTAATTTACTTCAGATTATCTTATTCTATTTCTGCTACTATGAATCAAATTTTTAAAAGATTTCCCCTATTAAGGGTTTGTTAGTGATACACAGAAATATGATTAATTTTTGTATGTTGATCTTGTGTTCTGGCACCTTGCTAACTTCATTTATTGTAATACATATATTTTTTAACTTTTAAGTTCAGAGGTTCATGTGCACTATATGATGGTTTGTTTTATAAGTAAGCCTGTGTGATAGGGTTCGTTGTACAGATTATTTCATCACCCAGGTATTAAGCCTAATATCCATTAGTTATATTTCTTGCTTCTCTCCCTCCTCCTGTGCTCCACTCACCCACTTATAAATGAGAACATGCAGTATTTGGTTTTCGGTTCTGGCGTTTGTTTGCTAAGGATAATGGTCTCCAGCTGTGTTACTGCAAAGACATGATCTTGTCTTTTTTTATGGCTGCATAGAAATCTATGGTGTATATTTACCACATTTTCTTTATCCAGTCTATCACTGACGAGCATTTGGGCTGATTCCATTGTCTTTGCTTTCGTGAATAGCTGCAGTGAATGTACATATGCTGTTGTGAATACCTGCAGTGAACATACATGTGCATGTATCTTTATAACAGAATGATTTATAATCCTTTGGGATATACCCAGTAATGGGATTGGTGGGGTTGAATGATAATTCTATCTTTAGGTCTTTGAGGAATTGCCACACTGTCTTCCATAATGCTGAACTAATTTACATTCCCACCAGCAGTGTAAAAGCATTTCTATTTCTCCAGAACCTCACCTGAATCTGTTATTTTTTGACTTTATAATAATAGGTATTCTGACAGGTTTGGGATACTATCTCATTGTGGTTTTGATGCGCATTTCTATAAGGATCAGTGATGTTGAGCTTTTTAAGATGTTTGTTGTCTACATGTGTATGTCTTGAGAATTGTCTGTTCATGTCCTTTGCCCACTTTTTAATGAGGTTCTTTGTTTTTTCCTTGTAAATTTGTATAAGTTCTTTGTGTATGCTAGATATTAGACCTTTGTCAGATGCATAGTTTACAATTTTTTCCCATTCTGTACTTTGTCTATTTAATTTGTTGATGGTTTATTTGCTAGTGCAGAAGCTCTTTAGTTTAATTAGATGTCATTTGTTAATTTTTTCTTTTGTCACAATTGCTTTTGACATCTTCTTCAAGAAGTCTTTACTCCTGCCTATGTTCTGAATGGTTTTGCCTAGATTTGCTTCTAGGGTTTTTATAGTTTTGGGTTTTACATTTAAGTCTTTAATCCATCTTGAGTTAATTTTTGTATATGGAGTAATAAAAAGGTCCAGTTTCAATTTTCTCTATATGGCTAGCCAGTTTCTCACAGCACCATTTATTAAATAGAGAGTCTTTTCACCATTGCTTTTGTAAATTTTCTTGAAAATCAGATACTTGTAAGCATGTAGTCATATTTCTGGGTTTTCCATTCTATTCCTTTGGTCTATGTGTCTGTTCTTTTATCAGTACCATGCTGTTTGGGTTACGGTACTTCTGTAGTGTAGTTTGAAGTTGGGAAGCATGATGAATTTAGTTTTGATTATGTTGCTTAAAATTGCCTTGGCTGTACAGTCTCTTTTTTGGTTTCACATGAATTTTAAAATAGATTTTTCTAGTTCTGTGAAGAATGTTAATGGTAATTTAATGGGTATAGCATTGGATCTATAAATTGCTTTGGGCAGAGTGGCCATTTAGTGATATTGATTCCGCCTATCTGTGAGCATGGAATACTTTCCATTTGTTTATGTCATCTCTTAGTTATTTGAGTAGTGATTTGTATTAATAGTTCTTCCTGTACAGGTCTTTCACTTCCCTGGTTAGCTGTACTTTAGGTGTTTTATTCTTTTTGTGGCTATGGTGAATGAGAGTTTGTTCATGACTTGGCTCTTGGCTTTACTATTGATGGTGTATAAGAACGCTAATGATTTTTGCACATTGATTTTGTATTGTGAGATTTTGCTCAAGTTGTTTATCAGCTTAAAAAGCTTTGGGGCTGAGATGATGGATTTGTGTGCATATAGAATCATATTGGTTGCAAACAGGGATAATTTGATTTCCTCTCTTCCTATTTCAATATCTTTTATTCCTTTCTCTGGCCTGATTGCCCAGAACTTTCAATACTATATTGGATACAAGTAGTGTCAGAGGACATCTTTGTCTTGTGCCAGTTTTCAAGGAAAATGATTCCAGCTTTTGCCTTTTCAGTATGATGTTTGCAGTGGGTTTTTCATACATGACTTTCATTACATTATTTTGAGGTATGTTCCAGATATGGCCCCGATAAGTGGAGTAGCACTAGGATCCTTATTCTTGCACTGAATTGAATAAAATGACACGGACACACGTGAGTGGTTTTAAGGAGTGGAAACTTTAATAAGAAAGAAGCAAGGAAGAAGCAAACAGGTACCCTTACAGATATGGAGTTGGGGAAGAGGGATTCTAACAAAGAGAAAATCCTGTGTGCAGAGAAAAGTTGCTGCTTATATGGGAAAGCTGGTGGAGGTGGTGTCTGATTTGCTTAGGGTTCAGGAGATTGGTTTGACCAGGCTTGCCATTTACATAGCCCAGAAAAAGTCTGGCCCTTCCACCCTAGCCTTTTAATATGCAAATGTAGGGCACCATGATGTTCTACACACATAGGGTATGTGGGGGTGGTCATTTTGCCAGGCACATGTAGGGGCAAGGAAGAAAAGGGCAGGAATTGTTATGTTTGGGTGGACCCAGTTTCTGATGGGCAGCATTTTCATATCATAGCTTGCTGCCCGGCTCTCTGAGCAGGGGCTATTCAGGTAGACAAGAAACATTTCTGGAGCTGCTTTCAAAGAAAAAAACTTCTGAAGGACCCCTTTCCCTCCCATCTGCTTATAGTAATTTTTTAATAAATCCTACAACATTCCTTCCGTAACTGGTTTATTGAGAGTTTTTAACATGAAGTGATATTGAATTTTATCAAAAGTCTTTTCTGCATCTATTGAGATAATCATGTAGTTTTAATCTTTAGTTCTGTTTATGCAATGAAACACATTTATTGATTGCCATATGTTTAACCAACCTTGCATTCTGGGCCTGAACCCTACTTGATTGTGGTGGATATGTTTTTTGCCATGCTGCTGGATTTGGTTTCTCAGTATCTTGTTTGGGATTTTTGTATCGGTGTTCATCAAAGATACAGGCCTGAGGTGGTGGTGGTGGTGGTGGTTGTGTCTCTGCCTGATTTTGGTATCAGGGTGATGCTAACTTTGTAGAATGAGTTAGGGAAGGGATCCTTTTTTCCAGTTTTTAAAAATAGCTTCAGTAGAAATGGCACCAGCTCTTCTTGGTACCTCTGATAGAATTCAGCTATTAATCCACCTGGTCCTGAGATTTTTTTCTCTCTATTTTTCTTCTCTCTATTTTTTTCTCTCTATTCTCAAATAGAGAATCTCTCTATTTGATTCTTCTCTCTTTTCTTCTTTATTAGTCTTGCTAGCGATCTATCAATTTTGTTGATCCTTTCAAAAAACCAGCTCCTGGATTCATTAATTTTTTGAAGGGTTTTCTGTGTCTCTATTTCCTTCAGTTCTGCTCTGATTTTAATTATTTCTTGCCTTCTGCTAGCTTTTGAATGTGTTTGCTCTTGCTTTTCTAGTTCTTTTAATTGTGATGTTAGGGTGTGAATTTTGGATCTTTCCTGCTTTCTCTTGTGGGCATTTAGTGCTATAAATTTCCCTCTACACAGTGCTTTGAATGTGTCCCAGAGATTCTGGTATGTTGTGTCTTTGTTCTCATTGGTTTCAAAGAACATCTTTATTTCTGCCTTCATTTCGTTATGTACCCAGTAGTCATTCAGGAGCAGGTTGTTCAGTTTCCATGTAGTTGAGCGGTTTTGAGTGAGTTTCTTAATCCTGAGTTCTAGTTTGATGCACTGTGGTCTGAGAGACAGTTGTTATAATTTCTGTTTTTTTACATTTTCTGAGGAGAGCTTTACTTCCAACTATGTGGTCAGTTTTGGAATAGGTGTGGTATGATGCTGAAAAAAATGTATATTCTGTTGATTTGGGGTGGAGAGTTCTGTAGATGTCTATTAGGTCCACTTGGTGCAGAGCTGAGTTCAATTCCTGGGTATCCTTGTTAACTTTCTGTCTCGTTGATCTGTCTAATGTTGACAGTGGGGTGTTAAATTCTCCCATTATTATTGTGTGGGAGTCTAAGTCTCTTTGTAGATCACTCAGGACTTCCTTTATGAATCTGAGTGCTCCTGTATTGGGTGCATATATATTTAGGATAGTTAGCTCTTCTCGTTGAATTGATCCCTTTACCATTCTGTAATGGCCTTCTTTGTCTCTTTTGATCATTGTTGGTTTAAAGTCTGTATTATGAGAGACTAGGATTGCAACCCCTGCCTTTTTTTGTTTTCCATTTGCTTGGTAGATCTTCCTCCATCCTTTTATTTTGAGCCTACGTATGTCTCTGCACGTGAGATGGGTTTCCTGAATACAGTACACTGATGGGTCTTGACTCTTTATCCAATTTGCCAGTCTGTGTCTTTTAACTGGAGCATTTAGTCCATTTACGTTATGTGTAAATTTGATCGTGTCATTATGATGTTAGCTGGTTATTTTGCTCGTTAGTTGATGCAGTTTCTTCCTAGCCTCGATGGTCTTTACAATTTGTCATGATTTTGCAGTGGCTGGTACCACCTGTTCCTTTCCATGTTTAGCGCTTCCTTCAGGAGCTCTTTTAGGGCAGGCCTGGTGGTGACAAAATCTCTCAGCATTTGCTTGTCTGTAAAGTATTTTATTTCTCCTTCACTTATAAAGCTTAGTTTGGCTGGATATGAAATTCTGGGTTGAAAATTTTTTTCTTTAAGAATGTTGAATATTGGCCCCCACTCTCTTCTGGCTTGTAGAGTTTCTGCCGAGAGATCCGCTGTTACTCTGATGGGCTTCCCTTTGTGGTTAACCCGACCTTTCTCTCTGGCTGCCCTTCATTTGAACTTTGGGTAGTCTGACAATTATGTGTCTTGGAGTTGCCCTTCTTGAGGTGTATCTTTGTGGTGTTCTCTGTATTTCCTGAATCTGAATGTTGGCGTGCCTTGCTAGATAGGGGAAGTTCTCCTGGATAATATCCTGCAGAGTGTTTTCCAACTTGGTTCCATTCTCCCTGTCACTTTCAGGTACACCAATCAGACGTAGATTTGGTCTTTTCACATAGTCCCATATTTCTTGGAGGCTTTGTTCATTTCTTTTTATTCTTTTTTCTCTAAACTTCCCTTCTCACTTCATTTCATTCATTTCATCTTCCATCACTGATACCCTTTCTTCCAGTTGTTCGCATCGGCTCCTGAGGCTTCTGCATTCTTCACGTAGTTCTCGAGCCTTGGCTTTCAGCTCCATCAGCTCTTAAGCACTTCTCTGTATTGATTATTCTAGTTATACATTCGTCTAAATTTTTTTCAAAGTTTTTAACTTCTTTGCCTTTGGTTTGAATTTGCTCCTGTAGCTCAGAGTAGTTTGATCGTCTGAAGCCTTCTTCTCTCAACTTGTCAAAGTCATTCTGCATCCAGCTTTGTTCCGTTGCTGGTGAGGAACTGCATTCCTTTGTAGGAGGAGAGGCGCTCTGCTTTTTAGAGTTTCCAGTTTTTCTGCTCTGTTTTTTCCCCATCTTTGTGGTTTTATCTACTTTTGGTCTTTGATGACGGTGATGTACAGATGGGTTTTTGGTATGGATGTCCTTTCTGTTTGTTAGTTTTCCTTCTAACAGAGAGGACCCTCGGCTGCAGGTCTGTTGGAGTTTACTAGAGGTCCACTCCAGAGCCAGTTTGCCTGGGTACCAGCAGCGGTGGCTGCAGAACAGCAGATTATCGTGAACTGTGAATGCTGCTGTCTGATCGTTCCCCTGAAAGTTTTGTCTCAGAAGAGTACCCAGCCGTGTGAGGTGTCAGTCTGCCCCTACTGGGGGCTGCCTCCCAGTTAGGCTGCTCTGGGGTCAGGGGTCAGGGACCCACTTGAGGAGGCAGTCTGCCCGTTCTCAGATCTCCAGCTGCATGCTGGGAGAACCACTGCTTTCTTCAAAGCTGTCAGACAGGGACATTTAAGTCTGCAGAGGTTACGGCTGTCTTTTTGTTTGTCTGTGCCCTGCCCCCAGAGGTGGAGCCTACAGAGGCAGGCAGGCCTCCTTGAGCTGTGGTGGGCTCCACCCAGTTGGAGCTTCCCGGCTGCTTTGTTTACCTAAGCAAGCCTGGGCAATGGCGGGCTCCCCTCCCCAAGCCTCGCTGCCGCCTTGCAGTTTGATCTCAGACTGCTGTGCTAGCAATCAGCGAGACCTCACTGGCGTAGGACTCTCCAAGCCAGGTGCGGGATATAGTCTCCTGGTGCACCGTTTTTTAAGCCCATTGGAAAAGCACAGTATTAGGGTGGGAGTGACCCGATTTTCCAGATGCCATCTGTCACCCCTTTCTTTGACTAGGAAAGGGAACTCCTTGACCCCTTGCGCTTCCTGAGTAAGGCAATGCCTCACCCTGCTTTGGCTCATGCACGGTGTGCTACATCCACTGTCCTGAGCCCACTGTCTGGCACTCCCTAGTGAGATGAACCCGGTACCTCAGATGGAAATGCAGAAATCACTCGTCTTCTGCGTCACTCACGCTGGGAGCTGTAGACCGGAGCTGTTCCTATTCGGCCTTCTTGGCTGACTGAATAGGAACATTTGGCCTGACCTCAAAAGAATTTTTGGTTATTTCTTGTCTTCTGCTAACTTTTGGGTTCATTCACTGTCGGTTATCTAGTTCCTTTAGTTATGAAGTTAGGGTGTTAACCTGACAACCTTCTTTTTTTTTTTTTTAAAGTGGGCATTTATGCTATAAATTTCCCTGTTAATACTGCCTTTGCTGCATCCGAAAGATTCTGGCACATTGTAGGTTTGTTGTCATGAGTTTCAAATAATTTTTTGATTTCTGCCTTAATTTCATTATTTACCCAAAAGTCATGCAGAAGCAGGCCATCCAATGTCTATGCAAATTGTATGGCTTTGAGTGAATTTTTTAGTCTTGAGTTCTAATTTGATTGTGCTGTGGTCTAACAGACTGTTTATTTCCAGTTGTTTTGAATTTGCTAACGAGTGTTTTATTTCTAATTATTTTATCAATTTTAGATGAAGTGCTATGTGACAATGAGAAGAATGTATATTCTGTTGTGTTTTGATGCAGAGTTCTGCAGAACTTATCAGGTTGGACTCTGTGAAGCCTGCAGGCCAGAATTGCTAAGGTGACAAAAAAGCAAAAAAAAAGTCAACTTCTCCTCTCTCTAGGAAGTCTGTCCCAGGAAGTTTTCAAACCTCTCTTGGCCAGAGAACATCAGTGGGAGTGATTGGAGGCCCTGGATGGGAAGTCCCGCCAAGTAAGGAGGAACACATAGGAACTTGCTTAAAGAATAATTCTGCCCATGCTTTCATAGAGATAATGTGCTGTACTAGGGTACTGTCTGCCCCTGCATGGTTTGGACTTTGCTAAGACAACAGGCTGGAATGGCTGAGTTTTCCAAACAGCAAAGACCATGGCCCACCCCTCCCCTAGGCACTCCATCCAGGGAGAAATTAAAACTGCTGGAGAATATAGGTGGGGGTGGCTAGAGGCCCCAGTTGGGAGGCCCCTCCCCAGAGATAAGAAGCAGATTGATGTCCCACTTAAAGAAGCAGTCTAGCCACATTTTGGTAGAGCAGCTGTGGTGTGCCAGGGAGTCCCTTTCATCCCCTGGTCAGTTTTGTTTGCGCTCTCCTAAACCTGCAGGCTGGAACAGCTGAGCCATCCAAACAGCAAGGATGACAACCTTCCCTTTCTCCTAAGAACTCTGCCCCATTCAAGCTTGGCCCAACACTGTTGCCAGGGGCTGGCTGGAATTCCAAGCTGGTGAGTCTTATCCTATGAGGTGCCATGAAAGTGGGGCCCACAGAAGGATGCTGCTCAGCTTCCTGGATTCAGCTCTCTTCCTAAGGTTATGTACAAAAATCTTATCTCTCACTTTGCCTGAGTTGCAGCTACCTTTGCTGGTGATCCTGGACCCAAAGTGTGCCAGCCTCTCCTGATACTCTGTGTGTACCTGAGCAGCTATTCTGCCAAGACTTCACACAGCTCTGTGCATGAAACCCAAGGCCTTAGTGAAGTGGGATCATGAGGGGATCTCCTAACTGGAGTGTTAAAAGATCCTTAGGAGAAACATTGAGTATTATTTCCCAGGGTGTACATTCGCTCACCACTTCCCTGTGTTAGGGGAGGTTCACTTGGCCACTTGTTACTCATGTTGTTGTTATTGTTTAAGTATTTATTTAGATGATCCATTAGATGATCCATTAAATGCCCAAAGTGGGGTTTTGAAGTCGACAATTATTATTGTGTTGGGGTCTATCTCTCTCGTTAGCTTAATAATCTTTTCTTTGTAAATCTTGATTCTCCAGCATTGGGTGCATGTAAATTTAAAATTGTTATATCTTTTTGCTGAATTGATCCCCTTATCATCATTTAATGGCCTCACTTTTGTCTCGAAATCTATTTTACCTGATATAAGTATAGCTACTGCTCCTCTATTTTGGTTTCCGTTGGCACATATTTGTGTCCTTATAAGGTGAGGTAAATTCTCTTGTAGACAGCATGTAGTTGTCTTCCCTTTTCATTTATTCACCTACTCTACATCTTTTGGTTAAAAAATTTAGTTTATTTACATTCATTATTATAGATGAGCAGGGACTTACTACTGACGTTTATTTGTATTTTTTTATTAGTCATTTTTTTCTTCATGTCGTTTTATACAAGTGACTTTTTTTTCTGCTTCTAGGGTTTAATTTCTTTATTTTTATATATTGTGTATCAATTATAGGTTTTGTATATGTGCTTACTAGTTTGCTTACATATAACATGTTATAACCAATTATTTTAAATAAAAACAACTATAATCAAAATTTTAAAACATAGAAAAGTAAAAATCTCTACACTTTATATTCTCCTCTGTTTTATGTCTTTTGGTTGTCTTGTCTTTGTATATTATCTGTCTCTTAAATGATGTAATTATCAGTTTTAACATATTGCTTCTTTAGTCTTTCTACTAAAGATATGAGTGGTTTGGACAACACGATTGTAACATTACAGTATTTTCTACTTGTGTATTTACTAGTAACATTGAGTTTTATAACTTCAGATGACTTGTTGCTCATTTCTGTTTTTTACTTTTCAGATTTCAAACATTTAGGTTCAAGGGATGCAGATGCAGGTTTGTTACATGGATAAACTGCAAGTTGTGTAGATTTGGTGCACAGATTATCTTGTTACCCAAATAATGAGCACAGTATGCTGTAAGCAGTTTTCTTTGCTCAGCCTCTTCTGGCCCTCCACCCTGAAGTAGATCCTGTGTCCATTATTGTCTTATTTCCATGTGTACTCAGTTTTAAGCTTATACATGTAAGTGAGAACATGCTATTTGGTTCTCTCTTCCTGTGTTAATTTGCTTAGGATAATGCCTTCCAGCTGCATCCATGTTGCTGCAAAGGACATAATTTTATTCTTTTTTTATGCTGTCTGGTATTCCATTGTGCATATATTTATTTTTATGTATGTACTTTTTAAATTCAGCTTACTGTTAATGGACACCTGGGTTAATTTCATGTCTTTGCTAGTACAAATAGTGCAGTAATGAACATATGTGTATATGTATTTCTATCATAGAATAATTT
This sequence comes from Homo sapiens, assembly GCF_000001405.40. NCBI lineage: Eukaryota > Metazoa > Chordata > Mammalia > Primates > Hominidae > Homo > Homo sapiens. Next base: position 19,757,139 of record NC_000024.10, read on the forward strand.
CCATTTCTTTGAGTATATGCTGAGCAGTGGGATTGCTGGGTCAAAGTTAGTTTTGTTCTAAGTTACTTGGGAAATCGTCAAACAAATTTCCACAATGCCTAAAGTAATTTACATAATCAGTAGCGGTGTATAAATGTTCCTTTTTCTCCACAACCTTGCCAGTATCTGTTATTTCTTGGTATTTTAGTAATAGCCATTCTGACTTGTGTGAGATTACCTCTCGTTGTGTTTTGATTTGTAATTCTCTAATAACTAATGATGTTGAACATTTTTATATGCTGGTTGGCTGCATGTATGTATTATTTATAGAAGTGTCTGTATATGTCCTTTGCCCATTTTTAATGGGATTGTTTTCTGTGAGTTAATTTCTTTTTTTTTTCTTTTTTTTTTTTTTTTCTTTTGAGATGGGGTGTCACTCTCGTTGCCCAAGCTGGAGTGCAATGGCGTGATCTTGGCTCACCACAGCCTCCACCTCCTGGGTTCCTCCTGCCTCAGCCTCCCGAGTAGCTGGGATTACAGGCATATACCACCATGCCTGGCTATTTTTTTTTTATACTTTTAGTAGAGACGGGATTTCTCCGTGTTGGTCAGGCTGGTCTCGAAATTCTGACCTCCGGTGATCCGCTCGCCTTGGCCTCCCAGAGTGTTGGGATTACAGGCATGAGCCACCACGCCTGGCAATTTAATTTCTTTATAGATGCTGGATATTAAACCTTTGTCAGATGCATTGTTTGCAAATATGCTGTCACCTTGGGTGGGTTGTCTGTTTACTCTGTTTACAGTTTCTTTTGCTATACAGAAGCTTTTCAGTTAAATTAGGTCTGACTTATCAATTTTTGTGTTTGTTGCAATTTTTTTTTGGAATCTTTGTCATAAAGTATTTTCCAGGGCCTATGTACAGAATGATACTCTCTAGGTTTTCTACTAGGGTTTTTAAATTTTTAGGCTTATAGTGAAATCTTCAATATATGTTTAGATTATTTTTGTATATGATAAAAGCAAGGGGTTCAATTCAATTTTCTGCATATAAGTAGCCAGTTATCCTAGCACTATTTATTGAGTATAGAGGTTTTTCCTTATTGCTTGTTCTTGTTGACTTTGTCAAGGATCACATCTGAGCTGGAGCCATGGCAGAGGAACATAAATTGTGAAGATTTCATGGCCATTTATCATTTCCGAAATAATACTTTTATAATTTATTATGCCTCTCTTTAATCTCTTAATCCTGTTACCTTTGTGAGCTGAGGCTGTACGTCACCTCAGGACCACTGTGATAATTGTGTTAACTGTACAAATTGATTGTAAAACGTGTTTGAACAATATGAAATCAGTGACCCTTAAAAAGAACAGAATAACAATTTTTAGGGAACAAGGGAAGACAACCTTAAGATCTGACTGCTTGTGGGGTTGGGCAAAAAGAGTCATATTTTTCTTCTTGCAGAGAGCCTATAAATGGACGTACAAGTAGGAGAGATATCACTAAATCCTTTTCCTTGCAGAGAATATTAATATTAATACCCTGGGAAAGGAATGCATTCCTGGGGGGAGGCCTATAAACGACTGCTCTGGGAATGTCTGTCCTATGCGGTTGAGATAAGGATGGAGATACCCCCTGGTATCCTGCAGTACCCCCGGGCTTACTAGGGTGGGGGAAAAAACTCTGCCCTGGTAAATTTGTAGTCAGACAGTTTCTCTGCTCTGGAACCCTGTTTTCCGTTGTTTAAGATGTTTATCAAGACAATATGTGCACTGCTGAACATAGACCCTTATCAGTAGTTCTGTTTTTGCCCTTTGCCTTGTGATCTTTGTTGGACCCTTATCAGTAGTTCTGCTTTTTGCACTTTGAAGCATGTGATCTTTGTACCTACTCTCTGTTCTTACACCCTCTCCCCTTTTGAAAGCCTTAATAAAAATTTGCTGGTTTTGAGGCTAAGGCAGGCATCACGGGCCTATGTGTGTGCATAGAGTTTTTTGTAATATTCTTTGATGGTTGTTAGTATTTCTGTGGTGTTAGTGGTAACATGCATTTTGTTGTTTTTGTCTTTATTTGGATCTTCTCTTTTTTCTTTATTAGTCAACTGGTAGTTTATCTTATTAATTTCTCAAAAGAAAACAACTCCTGAATTCATCGATTACTGATTTTGGTTATTTTTTGTCTTCTTTACGTTTAGTGTTGGTTTCCTCTTGTTTCTGTAGTTTCATTAGTTGTGATGTTAGGTTGTGAAATAGAGATCATTCTAACTTTTTGATGTGGATTTAGTGCTATGAATTTCCCCCTTAACACTGCCCTGCCATATCTCATAATTGGTATTATGTTGTATATGTTCTTAAAATAACTTTTTAATTTCTGCCTTAATATAATTACCTACCTGTCATTCAGAAACTTGTTGTTTAATTTTCATGTAATTGCATGATTTTGAATGAGTTTTTTTGTATTCTTCTATTAATTGAACTGTGGCCTTGGTGTATGTTGGATATGATTTTGGTTCTTTTGTATTTGCTGATTGTTTTATATCCAAATATGTGGTTGACTCTAGAGTAGATGGTGATGAGAAAAATGTGTATTCTGTTGCTTCAGATTGAAGAGTTTTTGGGGAAGTCAATCAGATCCTTGTGGCTCCATGTTGCGTTCAGGTCCTGAATAACTTTGTTAATTTTTTATCTTGATGATCTCTCTAATTTTGTCAGGGGAATGTTGATGTCTCCTACTGTTGTTGTGTGGGAGTCTACATCTCTATAGTGATTTCTAATAACTTGCTTTAAGAATTTAGGTGCTCCTGGCTCAGAGCAGTGGCTGATGCCTGTAATCCCTACACTTTGGGAGGCCAAGGTGGGTGGATCACCTGAGGTCAGGAGTTCAAGACCAGCCTGGCCAACATTGTGAAACCCTGTCTCTACTAAAAATACAAAACTTAGCCAGGTGTGGTGGAGCATGTAATCCCAGCTATTTGGGAGGCTGAGGCAGGAGAATCATTGAACCCAGGAAGTGGAGGTTGCAGTGAGCCAGGATTGCGCCACTGCACTCCAGCCTTGGTGACAGAGCAAGACTCCATCTCAAAAAAAAAAAAAAAAAAAAAAAGAATTTAGGTGCTCCTGTCTTAGTATGTATTTACAATACCTACCATTATATAATGCCCTTCTTTATCTTTTTTTTTTTAAATTTTTGTTGGTTTAACGTCTGTTTTGTTTGAAGTTAGGATTGGGCTCTTTTTCGGTTCTCCATTTCGTTTGTAGATTTGTTTCCATCTCTTTAGTTGAGCCTGTGGATATCTTTGCAGGTGCAATGTATCTCTTGAACAGAGCACAAAATGGGGTCTTACTTCTTTATCTAGATTACCACCCTGTGCCTTTTCATTGGGATATTTAGCCTATTTTCATTCAAGGTTAGTATTGATATTTGTGGATTTGATCCTGTCGTCATGTTGTTGGTTTCTCATTATGCAGTCTTGTTTATGTTATTGCTTTATCATGTCATTGGTTTGTGTATGCCAAGAGTTTTTGTTGTTGTTGTTGTTATTGTTGTTGTTTTTTCAGTGGCTGATAATGGTCTTTGCTTTCTGTACTTAGTGCTTTTTTAGGAGATCTTATACAGCAGGTCTAGTACTAATGAATTCTCTCAAGATTTGCTTCTCTGAAAAAGATCTTATTTTTCACCTGTGAAGCTTAATTTGCCTTTATAGAATATATAAAATATAGCATATGTAAAATTCTTGGTTGAAATTTTTTTAAGAGTATTGAATATAAGCCCTCAATATTTTCTGGCTTGTGGAGTTTCTGCTGAGAAGTATTCTGTTAGTCTAATGGGCTCCCCTTTGTAGGTGACCTCACCTGCCTCTCTAGCTACCTTTAATATTTTTTGTTCCATTTTGTCCTTAAAGAATCTGATGATTATGTGTCTTGGGAATGATCTTTCTGTGAAATGTCTTGTTGAAGTTCTTTATGTTTCCTGAATTTAAATTTTGGCCTCTCCAGCTACATGGGGGAATTTCTTATAGATAATATTTTGAAGTATGTTTTTCAGGTTGTTTCCATTCTTCTCATTTCTTTCAAGAATGCTAGTGAGTCATAGATTTGGTCTCTTTACATAAGCACATATTTTACAGAGATTTTGTTCATTCTTTTTATTCTTTATTGTTGTCTTATTTTGGAAAGCCGGTATTTGACCTCTTAGTCTTTTTTTATCAGCTTAGTCTGTTCTGCTTTGATATTTGCAAGTGCATTATGAAATTTTTATAGTGTGTCATTCAGCTCTATCAGGTTGATTATGTCCATTTTTTTTTTTTTTTAGAGTCTAACTGTTACCCAGAGTGGAGTACAGTGGCACGATCTCAGCTCACTGCAACCTCAGCCTTCTGGGTTCAAGCAATTCTTTGCCTCAGGCTCCCAAGTAGCTGGGATTACAGTCACCTGCCACCAAGCCTGGCTAATTTTTCTATTTTTAGTAGACACAGGGTTTCACCATCTTGGCCAGGCTAGCCTTGAACTCCTGAACTCCTCATCCACCCACCTCAGCCTTTCAAAGGATTATGTCCCTTTTTATACTGGCTATTTTTTTCTGTCAGTGCCTGTATTGTTTTATTTTTATTTATTTTTATTTTCAGTCTTAATTTTTTATGATTGGATTTCAATATCCTCCTCAATCTCAGTGGTCTTAGCTCCTGTGAATAGTCTGAATACTGTTTCTGTCACTTCAGCCATCTCAGCTCAGTAAAGGATCCTTGTTGGAGAGGTAGTGCAGCCATTTGCGGGGGAATAAAAGGCACTCTAGATTTTTCAGTTGTCAGAGTTTGTGTACTGATTTCTTTTCTTTTCTTTTCTTTTTGAGAGAGAGTTTCACTCTTGTCACCCAGGCTGGAGTGCAGTGGGGTGATCTCAGCTCACTGCAACCTCTGCCTCCTGGGTTCAAGTGATTCTCCTGCCTCACCCTCCTGAGTATCTGGGATTACAGGCGCCCACCACCACACCCAACTAATTTCTTGTATTTTTAGTAGAGATGAGGTTTCACCATCTTGGCCAGGCTGGTCTTGAACTACTGACCTCAGGTGATCCACCCGCCTCAGCCTCCCAAAGTTCTGAGATTACAGGCATGAGCCACCACGCCCAGCTGATTTTTTTTTTTTTAAATCTGTATGGGCTGATGTTTCTTCAGTCTTTGAGGTTGCTGTCTTTTGGATTTTTGAAAAAATCCTATTTAATAACTTAGTGGGTTGGTTTGTAGCAACAGTGAATTCAATCAACTGGCTTTATTTCTAGAATATTTTAAAGATATTTTATCTCAGGATTTCTGGATGGTGTTCTGTAACTCTAGGGACTGGGAATGAGCTTTGGCTTTGTTCCTTTACACCCTGAGGTTAGAAATCTGCTGCACTGGAGGGACCAAGATGCTCTCAGAGAAATGGTCACAACACTCTAATGATTGGTAGTAGCCAATGTGCTTCATATGCGGGTGGTAGCAGGATTCATCTTCGTACTCACATGCCACCAGCATCAGCAGTGGCAGCATGATGGGGTGCACATTCATCAGTTGTGCCAGGGTGTCAGTGGGTGCTGGGTTTCCAGTCTCCATGAAAGCATATGCAGCACTGACAGTGGCAGCACACTATGGGAGGTTATGTGGAGGGCAGTTGGTGATTGTGTGCATATTTGTAGTGTTGGTGGGTGTTAGCATGGGGGCAGCTTTCTTTTGGATGCAGGACTGTGTGTGCCCTCTCTGTGCATTTGTGGGGGCAGTGGTGATCACTCAGATGTGGTAGGTTGCACTGTTTTCTGTGCCTACTTTTATGCTGGCAGCAGTGTTGTTTCAGGTTTGGAGCACTGGCAGGGGCAGGACTGGTGGACTTCATTCCCTCCAACACTCTGATGACAGTGGCAGTCCAGTGGAGGGTGTGAGATGCACTAACACCAACAGCAGTGGCACAGCAGGTTGCACACACATGCATGCTGGTAGGCAACCAAAAGCAAGATCTGTTCACGCATACATACACCAGCAAATGGGGGTGGCCATTTACTTTCAGTCTTAAGAAGAAAGTTTGTCATTTGAAATATGCAATTTAGTGTATTTTAAATATGCTGGGAGATTAGCATATTTTAAAATATTTTACGTAAAAATGAAGAAAATGACATAGAACAAAGTGAGCACAAGGGTCACATTGAGAGGTTTTAACTATAATTAAATTTTCATCTAATAAATATGATAATTATAAAGAAAACCAGCTGGTTTTTGGAAGACATCAAAGTGTTCTGTATCAAGCAATAATCTCCATTAACCTATTCTGAAAGGCAGGAGCAGGATGGACTGCATATTCTGAACTTTGGGAGGTAAATCTGTGTTGGAGCTGCTCACTGTCCATGGAGGAGTGGAGCACAAAGTATCTGGGGGTGAAGGTCATGGCACCATTTTTCAGCAGGGGGAGGAATAATTTTTGGTTTGAAATATTCAAAAAAAAATTTGAAAAAATTAAACTGGGTATGTGTGTATTTGACCATAGTAAAAAAATTTTAACAGACCTTTTTTTGATTATCATTACATAATACAAATAAAATTTACTGATAATTCAAAAATTTGAACAACAAAAAGCCTTGTCCTAAACTGACATATATTGAACCTGAGCTTTGTGTTATGTTTTTCAGTACATATGGGTCAATTATTTCCTCTCAAAAATTTTAACAAATTATGACATTTTATATAACAAATTATAACCTTTTAATTATAGAATATAGCCTCACTACCCAATAAGTAATAATATTTTTGAAATGCTGTATTAAATTTCTTAAATAGTAAAAATTGAAACTGGGACACTTGTAATGAATAATTACTTTGTTTGTAAATCACAATAGAGATTCTCCATATCAAAGCTGTGAACTGTATTCTATAGTATTTAGGCAAATAAGATAGCTACAAATTTAAGTACTGTAATAATAGATGCCTGACAATATGTGCTATAGGTAAATCTTTGAAATTTATTAAATGAAGTATAGATTGAATACAAGTAATATGTAATAATACATTATAATTTAATAACATTTAGAATAATTACATTTTATACAAAAATAAAATTAAGATAAAATTCACATAGTGCAATGGTGAGTAAGATGTGAAAAGACAATAAGAATAAACAGCATTAAAATTATTGATAGAGTTTGTAAAACCCCTAGAGATTAAGGAAAACAAACATAGGAATAAATTAGAAAACTAGAGACAATAATAATTTCTGTAAATTATAGGCTACCAAAACCAGAATAAGAATAAACAAGGACTCAAAAAACAAATTTTAAATATTTGGAAGTATTAATCAAAAGTTCTCATTACTTTAAATGATTCTTTTTCCATTTTTAAGGTCTAGGTATTCCTTATTCAAAGCAGTTTTACTAATCAGGAAAATGGGAAAAGCCATGGAAATATTTTATATGGCTATTACACTCAAAACATGCAAGATTTAAAACTAGGCCAATATAAATTATGGACTTGGATATACAACTAGTATCTAAGTATACAAATAATAACAAATGGTTTATTTCAGAATTATACGATATACCAGTAAGAGGATCAAATCATATCATCAAATACATTACAAATTAAATGAGACAAGTACATTCACTGAGGAAATCATTTTATACCCTTATACATTGTTTCTAAGCAATTTAACTTAGAAAAAAATTAACAGAGAACATTTCAACTCTTCATGATGGCAACACATCAGGATATGGAAATAACCAATGAAAATGCCCAAGAAACCCATAAAGTCATGTTCAACGTCCTTATTGATTAGGAAAATACAAATAAAAACCACAATGAGATATCACTTCATAGCTAGTAGTATAGGTACAGTTAGGAAGATAGATAAATGTGCGTGAGGATGTGGAGATAAGTAGAGACTAATACAATGCTGGTGAAATGGTGAAATGATGCAGCCATTTGGGAACACTTTGACAAGTCCTCCAAAGGTAACCATAGAGTTACCATATAATCCAGAAATTCCACTCCAAAGGATACGCCCAGTACAAACAAAAACATACAGCCACACAAAAACTTGTACATAAATGCCCACAGAAACATTATTTATTATAGCCAAAAGTGCAAACAATCCACAATGACAATCAGTGGAGGAATAGATAAACAAATGTGATACATTCATACAATGGAATAGTATTTAGGTATAAAAAGGAATGAAGTACCAATATGAGCTACGACATGGATGGAGATTGAAAACATGCTCAATGAAACAAGCAACACATAAAAGGCCAGGTACTTTATGAATCCATTTGTATAAAATACCCAGAGCAGGCAAATTCATAGAAACAGAAAATAAATTAATTTTTTGCCAGCTTGGGGAATGAGAGTAGGAAGGGACAGCTTAATTTGTATGGCTTTTATTTTGGGGGTGATTATACTGTTCTGGAGTTACCTCATATTAACAATTGTGAATACATCAAGAAACACTAAGTTGTAAATTTTAACATGATCAACATTTTTGTTATATGATTTTAATATCAATAAAATGAATTTTTAAAAATAAACAAGATAATTGTTGCCAAAATGCAGACCATCTTTCCAGCTGCAAATGTAAGTGTAGAAAACACACACACACACTCACAGAGAAACATTAAATGAACAGAATGAAAAGGTAAAATGAGCAAAGCCGAGTCATCAAGGTTGTATTGGTGTTTTGGGGTAACCTAGGAAAGCCAAAAATAGACACACTCAGGCTTCAGCCATGTATTTAGTGCAACTCTGTCATAGAAATATACCTGGTCTTGGTAGATGAATCAACTAGGTATATCTGTGTAATGTAAAATATGCTTAAAAATAATTTTTAAAAAAATGTCATGAGACTCAGAACATATGGTAAAATAATATTTAACTAATGAAGGACCAACAGATATGATAATCTTTTTTTTTTAAAAAAAGCACTATCAGCCAGAAGAGTATTATTCATGAATATCTAAGTGAATGTAAAAATGCAGGGAAAACTCATTTCATTATAGGGTGAAAGGAGAGACGATTGGACAAGACACCATGCTCATCTGACAGTGACCTAAAACTTAACAAAGGTCTGTAAAAGCACTCAATGGCATTGCAGGCTAGAATCATATAACCTGGATTGGTGTCATTTAGACAGGCTCAGGCTTACCATTGAAGAACACATTTCTACTATAAAAAGTCAAGTGGAAAAGTTACAGTTTTCTCAAGAACAGGGTACCATCATTAAGGTGACCAGGTTTTTATCATGGGAACTTCTAGTCCCAGATCTGATCATGGCTAAATGAATACCAATGGCATCCCAATGTCTAGGGTGTCACAAAGGCTGATCCCTAACCAGTGAGGGGCTGGCCCAGAGGTACACAGTGGGTGAGACTGAGCACTGCTGTCTTGAGACTCCAAGGCCACGTGGAGAGTCAAGTTGGGTCAACTGGAGCAAAGCTCACTTAGTCCTTTTCATGATGCTGTAACAGAAGCTGAGACTAAAAAAATTATTAAGGAAGGAGGTTTATTTAGTCCATGGATCTACAGCCTAAGAATTACAAGATTGGCTGGGCACAGTGGCTCATGCCCGTAATACCAGCACATTGGGAGGCCAAGGAAGGCAGATCACCTGAGGTTGAGAGTTCAAGACCAGCCTGTCCAATGTGGAGAAATCCCATCTCTACTAAAAATACAAAATTAGCCAAGCATGGTGGTGCATAATTCCAGCTACTCAGGAGGTGGAGGCAGGAGAATCGCTTGAACCTGGGAGACAGAGGTTGTGGTGAGCCGATGTCACAGCATTGTACTCCAGCCCGGGCAACAAGAGTTAAACTCTGACTCAAAAAAATAATAATAATAAATAAGATGTACAACCCTGGCACCTGCTTAACTTGTGGAGGGCCTTATACTACTTATGCTGCTTCCACTCAAGTTGAAAAGTGGAAGGAAATCAGGTGTGTGCAAAGAGAACACATGGCAAGAGGGGAAGAAAGAGAGAGAGAGAAACCAAGGAATCTACACTCTTTAACAACCCATTCTTGCAGAAAATGAGAGCAAGAAATTACAATGCAGGAATACATCAATCTCTTTATGTGGAATCCACACCCATGACCCCAAATCTCAAATAGATCCTACCTTACAATACTGTCCCATGGAGAATTGAATTTCAAAATGAGTTTTGTTGTAGACAGTCTACATCAAAATCATAGCATTCACAAAACCACAGAACTACGAAAAAGAAATGTTGGAGCTCTCAAAGACATAGGAAGTAGGCCTGCCCCCTCTCAGCATGAGCAGAACTACAGTTCCCATAAGCCCTGTGGACACCTCCTGTGGGAGATCAGCTGTGCCCAGTGCCTGAGCTCATCCACACCTGTTCTTCTTGCTGCAACTTTGCACCTGATGGGCAACACCTTGGAGCTGATGGGCAATGAAGCCCACAATAACAGAAAGTGCTGTAATATTGTAATAATATATATATATATAGTATTGTAATAAAATATATATATAAAAATATAACGTATATGTAATAAAATATATATTGTAGATGTATAATTACATGTTATATATTAAAGTATACATATACATTATATGTGTGTGTGTGTGTGTGTGTATATATATATATATATATATATATCCTTGTCCCAGACACGTGTTCCATTTGTTAGTAATTAAATATTTATGATTGGGATTATTTATAAGTATATTTTCTTAGAAACACAATTTTATCCATCTCATAGATGAAACACCATCTACCTAATGATCACATTTTTTATAGAGCTACATAGAGTTATCAGTGGCTAAACAAGTCTTAGAAAATATTTTCTGCATAAATGCTGTCCCAAGTGATAGTCTCAAAACATATGTAAGTCTTATGAATATTTTCATGGGCTGCATTAAATTAAAAAATGTTATCTTATCAAGTTGTGTAGTTATCTAACCCCTTTACCTTCAGCACCAAATTTTGAGATTTGTACCTCTGTATCAAAGGCTCAAATGCCACCCTCTTATGCCTCTGGCCTTTACAAAGACAGCTGGTAAGAGGCTGCCCAGCTCATCTGAAGTACAGGATAAGATTGTCTGACTTGGAGATACCATTTTCCACTTAGCAGCCATGTAATCTTTCATATTCATTTTTTCTAAGTGGCACTTTTCTCAGATGTAAAATGGGGATAATGAGTTTATTCATCTTTGAGTTGCTCCCAAGCAGAAGTCAACTTGAGACTATAAACTTGTGCTCACTGCAGTGCTTGAAACCGAGTTTGTACTTAATAAATAGCTGCATACATCTTTTTCTATACATGTCAGATGCTTAATTGTGTTTCCCGAAGATGTTGCCAAGCCGGGTCCTCACATAACTCCTGATCCCTTGGGTCACAGGGTGTGAAAACCACACTCTGCTGAACTTTGTAGAGTGACTATGAGAGGAGGAAGACAGTTATATCAGTGAACTACAGCACATGCTGGCTCCTCTCCATTCTCCAGTCCCTGGTGACTCACACACTCTCTGCCTCTCTACCACCAGTCAAAGCAGAAGGACCTGGCTTGACTTTTGCCGACTTTGCTAGGATGACCTAAGAATAAAATAAATGCTATAGGAGTTGTGCTTAGAATTCATTGAATATGTACTTTATCATACAAGAACCATTATTACCATATAATGCCAATTAAAACTCTTATGTTCATATGTCACCCAAACAAATTTGTCATTTAGTATACAGAGTCATGAATGACTCTTAACATAGCCCAATTCATTCTATGATTAACTCCTTCTGTGGAAAAATAGACCATGGTGGTTAACATTTGTCTAGTCAGGGGTTGTCATAGGATTGCACCATCTCCTTGGCAAGGGCATAGGGACACAAGAGTCCAGAACGGGCTAGCATGGGGGAGAGGGCTTGGGTCATCGTTTTTTTCTGTCAGGTCTGTGCTGCCTTCTCTCCTTTGTACATCCAGCATTTTGAGAGTACGCAGGATCAAGAACTTAGTTCATTCTGCCTGCTTGGAAGCACTCTAGACCCTATAGTCTTCAGCGTCTACAACTCCTGTGCATCCCAGGGGACTACACAGGGTGCTTAATTGGGCACATGTATCAAATAGAACTGTAAATGTTTGCATTATTCCCCTCTGTCAAATACCCATTTAAATTTAGTTTAATCTTTAAGGTTAACAAAGTTAGATACAGAGGGAGGGAGATATTAAGGAGTGCTGAGAAAGTGGGCACCTCTATGCGGGTAAACAAGGCATATTTCCAACCACATCAACTACCACAGCTTTAGATTCACCAAAGACTCAGGGTCAGCTTTGGAGACTCCTTTATCTTTTTCCTAGCAGGAGAAAAATAAACAATAACAAAAGCACTCGGGTTCCTTGTTTCAATCCCACCTCACATACACATAAGCATCATTAACAGTACAGCGTGGGGCTCTTTATCCCATCTTGTGCACCGCTTGCCTGAGAGAATTTGCTACTGGTCCTGGGGAGCCCTGTCATATTCCCTTAGCAGGCCTGCAAAGATCTGTGTCCATTTCTTTTCCAAAAAGTCATTTTTCTCTCAACATCCCAATCTCATTTCCAAAACTGTCAATAAATATCAAGTTTCTTAGATTTTACTCATTTCTTAAGCCAACGTATTAACCTTCTAATTTCATGAATGCTAATAGAAAGCATGAGACACCTATGCATCATATAAAAGTGTTTTTTATTCGTTGCATAAGTGGGAGTAAAGCTCAATGTTTGTATTCCTTTTTCTTGTCAACCCCTGGTACTTCAGGGAATGCAAAAAGGCTCCAGTGGACACTGCAAATTCAGTACATTTTTGTCAGCTGGGGACTCTCACGGTTAAGAAAACCCTATTATTAAAGCGGCCAAGAATATCAGAATTCAATCATGTATTAAAATTAAAATTTTCAGAATACGATGAAGTATTACAAGCAGAATTCACCAATCTGAGAAAGAATCTCAGAACGTAAAAATCTGATCTATGAAGTAACTCAGAAAAAATAAAGCCTAAAGAAAAATAAAACCTTTGAGAAATAAGCGATTATGTAAGGAGACCAAATCTATGCCTCATTGACATTCCTGAAAAACAGGGAGAGACAGCAACAACTTAGATAATATATTTCATTATAACAAGATGAAATTTTTTTTTGAACCCACTAGTTAGGTCAAAATTCAAATTCAGGAAATGCAAAAAAAAACCCCAGTAAAATACACGAGACCATTCCCAAGACACAAAGTTATCAGAACCTGCAAGTTTCAAACGAAAAAAAAAATGCTAAAGGCAGCTAGACAGAAGTGGAAAGTAACGTTACCTACAAAAGAAACTCCTTCGGGTTAACGGTAGACCTTTCAGTAGAAACTCGGTGAGCCAGTAAAGAAGGGAACTTCTATTCAAAATTTTAAAGAAAAAAATTTCCAATAAAAAATTATCTAGTCAAATTAAGCTACATAAATAAAGAAGTAATATTATTTTCAGCATGAGATCTACCTTATAATAATTTGAATTTCTGTTTTCCTGTTCAAATGTTGCCTTTTCTTTTTTTGTTTGTTTGTTTTTTTGGAGATAGAGTCTCGCTCTGTAGCCCAGGCTGGAGTACAGTGGCGCGATCTTGGCTCCCTGCAAGCTCCACCTCCCAGGTTCACACCATTCTGCCTCAGCCTCCCAAGTAGCTGGGATTACAGGCACCTGCCACCACGCCTGGCTAATTTTTTGTATTTTTAGTAGACACTGGGTTTCACTGTGTTAGCCAGGATGGTCTTGATCTCCTGACCTCATGATATGCCCACCTCAGCCTCCCAAAGTGCCAGGATTACAGGCATGAGCCATCACGCCTGGCCAAATGTTGGCTTTTCTAACACCACCCATGACCCCATCTCACTCCCAAGGCTTTGCCTGTAAACCCCCAGATGGAGCCAGCAGAAAGGAGAGAAGTAGATGAACATCTGAAACTATACCTGAATGTCAGAGAAAAGTGGATTGACTTCAGAGGAACAGCTTGATGGTGTAACTTTGGAGAAGAATCCGGCTGGAGACTTTAGTGATCTGGGTAGAAGATAAAATCATCCACAATATTTACTGGGGTTTTTTTTGCATTTCCTGAATTTGAATCTTGGCCAGAGTAAAGGGAAATATTCATCCCTCCTCCTTTTTAGCACCCATTCCCACTTAAAGCCACCTCTATCACATAAAATCCTCCACATTTACCATCATTCAATTCATCTGTGTAACTTCATTTTTCCTCAATATTAGACAAAAGTTTGGGAGCCATGAGTGCAAATCCAATTGCTGTCACACTGACCTTTAACCATTGCTGGTAGACAGCAGCTGCCTCACACAAAAAAGCTATGGGCATACTGAGCTGTAAACACTTCAAGCTGTCTTTGGATGTTAGAGCTAAAAGAGCACTGTAACACTCTCTCTGGGACTTTATGGGTCATGGACACCACCCCTAGACACTGCTGCGGGGCCCACACAGAGTTTGCCTCTGGCAGCACCCAAAAGCATTCACCCTGGCTCCTGTACCTGCTCACCTGTATGCCCCATCCTACATATTGTGGCATGCAGCAGATCCAACTGAGTGGCATTCACCACTACCGGTGCCAGTCTGGCCTCTCCAAATACAAAAACCAGACCTTTTTTTAATACCAGGTAGCTCCTACAGCTTCAGGCTCCTGGCTGGTAACAAGGCACTGAAACTCAATCTTCTCCTAGTTCCAAGCTAGAAACCATAGCTATAAAAATCAGGCCTTTCAATTAAACGAGGTCTCCACACATGTCACAGCATTAGGTGGAATCCCAGCAGTCCTGAAAAACAGATTTTCCTTATCACAAGACTAAAGAAGAAAAGAAGCTTGTGGAAGTCATGGAACAGCATAAAAAAGACAAATACTTGAGTTATAGATGCTTTAAAAAGGAGAATAAAAGGATTGAAAGTTTACTTAAATAATAGCTGAAAACTTTCCAAATATAAACATACTTATAAAAAGGAATAAATATCCAGATATAGAAAATAAAATGTCTTTAGACTGCACCCTAACAAGGCCATTCCAAGACATATTATAATAAAACTGTCAAAGACAAAGGATGCTTAAAGCGGGAAGAATTAAAAAGAGAGTTGCAATAATTCTAGCAACAGACTTCTCAGCAGAGACCCCACAAAGAAAGAGATATAATATACAGGGATAGCTTGTTTCATTGTGGTTTGCTTTATCAGACATTTAAGATACTGCGTTTTTTTTTGCAATTTGAATGTTTGAGGAAACCTGAGTGAAACAAATGTTTTGGGCCCATTTTCCTAACAGCATGTGCTCATTTATCTGTGTCACAATTTGATTATTCTTGTAACATTTCAAACATTATTTTTATTATATTTGGGTATAATAATCTAATCTGTGATCCTTGATGTCTTTATTGTTCATATTTTTGGGTGCCACAAAATGTTCTCACATAAGATGGCAAACAAAATTAACAAATTATTTGTGTTTTCCGACATCTCCATGGTTCAGCCATTCCCCCATCTATCTTTTTTCTGGTCTGCTTATTTCCTGAGACACAACAATATTAAAATTAGTCCAATTACATAGGAAGAGGGACATCACACACCGGGGCCTGTTGTGGGGTTGGGGGACGGGGGAGGGATAGCATTGGGAGATATACCTAATGTAAATGACGAGTTAATGGGTGCAGCACACCAACATGGCACATGTATACATATGTAACAAACCTGCACATTGTGCACATGTACCCTAAAACTTAAAGTATAATAAAAAATATATATAAAAAAATAAAAATTAAAAAATTAAAAAATTAAATAAAATTTGTCCAATTAACAAGACTACAGTGACCTTCAGTGTTAAGGAAAATAGTTCCATGTCTCTCACTTTAATTCAAAACTTACAAGCTTAGTAAGCTTAGTAAGAAAAACATGTTGAAAGCCAAAATAAGCAAAGAGCTGGGCCTCATATGACAAATGAATAGCCAAGTTGTGAATTTTTTTTTTTTTTTTTGAGACATAGTTTCACTCTTTTTGACCAAGCTGGAGTGCAGTGGCATGATCTCGGCTCACTGCAACCACTGCCTTTCCACTTCAAGTGATTCTCCTGCCTCAGGAATTTTTTAATTAAAAAATTAAAAAATTAAATAAAATTCTCATGAATAGCTGGGATCACAGGCACCACACCCAGCTAATTTTTGTATTTTTAGTAGAGACAGGGTTTCACCTGGGTTGGTCTTGAACTCCTGACCTCAGATGATCCACCGGCATTGGCCTCACAAATTGCTGGGGATACAGGAGTGAGCCACTGTCCCCAGCCAATAATAATTTTTAAAATCCCAGCTTAAAACAAACAAACAAACAACAACAACAACAAAAATTAAAGGTGTTACTCCAGTCAAAATATGACTAATAAGACAGTAAAGCAGATTTATTGCTGAAGTAATATTTTAGTGATCTGGGTAGAAGATAAAACCATCTACAAAATCCCTAAAGTCAAAGACCTAAACCAGAGCAACTCTCCTATCTTTAATTCTACAAAAACCGAGAGGTGAGAAATCTGAGAAGAATGAGAAGAGAGGTGAACTTGAGAAGCAGCTGCCTACTATGATGAAAACCCCTGCAAACTTACTAAGGAGCTGTGATCATCTAGTAGAAAATGGGCTCCCCACAGACGACAGGAAGCACCAGAAATTAGGGACAGGGTTCAAGATAGCTTGCCCAGCTAGGAACAAACTGAGAGTTGGGAGAGTCTCCCAGACACAGAAAAACAGAGAGCACTCCTTAGAGCTCCAAAATAGGCTTTCACATCTTGGCTACAGGAAAAATCTTCAATCCATTATGGCATTCTGTATCATAGATGCAGCTACCTAAAAATGGCACTGAGATCTTTCTCCAGTAAGTGAACTCACACATAATTCCACAGGCATCTGAGCCCGTAGCAGCCTCAGCTGCCATTTTGATGGCAACCTAGATACTGGGGTTCTACAGACACAACTGCAGCCACTGTACTGCTCCAAGGACACAGAACAGGTATACACACACACCCATGGAGGGGTATTTGCCACATTGCTATGAGCTGCTGTTGAGACTGAGAATTGGCCAGACCATGCTCTTCACAGCTTCTTGCTCCTGCTCCTTGCCTAGGTTCTCCCCCACCTTCTCTGGTCTTGAACCCAATATGCCATTTTAGAGAGTTTGATGTTGGATAGTACCCCACCCTTGGCCTGAGTTCAGGTTGATGCAGTTGCAGTCGCTGCCCATCCAAGAAGAGACAAAAACACTAGGCTATCCTCTTCATACTTAGAATAATATCCACTGCTCTGCAACAAGACGCTGTGAAACTGAAATAAAACTGGACTCCCCTTCTCACAGCTACTTGCCCATGCCACTCAACTGAGAGGGGTCCCACTCTTTCCAGTAACAAGTGTTTTGTCAGTACCATTTTGAAAGTTTAGAGACATTGTTTAGTTACCTGGCAGTGGTAGTCACTAGAGGCATTTTGGTCTCAGGCCAGATATTGGAGCACTTGCTCTGGGAGGAAGGGATTCCACATCCAGAAATGAGTAGTGAATGTGAAGAGTGAGCCCAGAAGTAGGTACTGGAATTAGGCTCTCTTCCTTCACAGGGGTGAAGCACGAGGAGCGTTACAGAAAGAGGTTTTTCCTGGGCAGCAAGATTTGCATTCAGAATAGCTTTGTGACCTGGAAACAGTCTGCATGTGTCATTGCTGGTTGCCCTTGTGTGCTCCCTTGGTAAATAAAAGACCCACCAGCTCCTAGGGACAGGAGGAAAATGGATGCCAGCCTCTCTGGTGCTGTAACCATCAGTAAAGTCGACCTCTAAGGGAAAGGAAAGTACAGCTTGTCAAAGTCCCCCCTGGGTCAAAGTACACATCAGTAGAGTAACAGTTGCTGAAGGCAGCACCAGCAAAGCATGGGAAGAGATTTGGAAAGGGAAGCACCTCTTTTCTACCCGTGACATTCGCAGTGCATGGTTGCAGACTTGGCCAAGTCTCTTTAAAATTAAATCCTGGAGAACACAGCCTCAATGAAACCACCTTTCACTCATTTCCAGTGGCTCTATCCCCCACTGAAGGTGACTGCCTGCTAGGGGGGCACTTTTCATGTTCTTACATTACCTTTATCTCTACATTTACCTGCTCGCTCTCACTATTAAATGACAACTACTGGACTTTAGCCTGAGTGAAACCATCAAACAAAATTAAATGGCTACAAGGAGTAATTTCTGAAAAAGCCACTGCACAAACCTATCTGCAACCAAGGAACTCATACAAAGCTTTGGCATTCTGCAAGCACCCAGAAGTGAAGCCAACACATTATACAAAATTTTCATCACAATTGTACCCTTGAGAGAAAAAAGAACACAAAATTAAGAAGCCTCAACTAAAATAGATTTTATAAAAAAGGAAAAAAGAGGAGCATTATGTTCCTCAGATAAGAAGAAACTAAGCGCATGAACTTTGGCAATAAAATGTGTTTACCAGAGAGTTTTTTCACCTCCAAAGGTCCAACTAACTCTTAAGCAGTTGTTCTAAGCAGGATAAAAAATCTGGAATTACAGTTATAGAATTTATAATAGATGGCAAAACTCAATGAGATCCCCCCTAAAAAAACTTACAGAAAAAAACTAAAAATATAATCCAGAATTTGAAAGATAATATAATTATATAAACAATGAACCAAGCAGAACTTCTGGAATTTAAAATTTTA
Source organism: Homo sapiens (assembly GCF_000001405.40). Classification (NCBI taxonomy): domain Eukaryota; kingdom Metazoa; phylum Chordata; class Mammalia; order Primates; family Hominidae; genus Homo; species Homo sapiens. The sequence continues at coordinate 19,775,831 of NC_000024.10, forward strand.
CTACAATAATTTGAAAATACATGTAAAAACCTCAGTGACAGATTAGTCCAAGCAGAAAATAAGAATTTCAGAGGAGTATGTGGCCAAGATGACTGACTAGGAGCAGCTACAGCATGTGTTTCTTATAGAGAGAAACAAAAAGTGTGAGAAACTATGGCATTTTCAATTGAAATATCCAGCTGTGCACTTTGGGACTGAGCAGAGAAAAAGCTTGACACATGGAGAACAGAGAAATGCAGTGCAGGGCAAGGGCCCACCCAGAAGCAACACAGTCAATGGAGCCTCCTTCACCCAGGAAACTGCAAACTGAATGCATGATCCTAGGATCCTCTCCCATGGATCTTTGCAACTTTCAGGTCAGGAGATCCAGTCAGGGACCCATTCCACTAGGGCCTTCAGTTAGAAACACAGAGCTCATGGAGTCTTATCAGAGTAGCTGTTAAGGCATGCATAGGGACCCAGGAGCTTTATACACCCTGACCGTAAAGTCCCCAGCAAATATGACTGAAATTCAAGCAAGGTGGAACACTAACCTTTGCACATACACTTGGGAAGGGAGTGGAAATCAAGATGCCAAGCAGCATTGGTCTGTGAACCCCACTTTCACAACATTTCACAAGCTAAAAGCCCACTGGCTTGGATTTCCAGTCAGCTGCCAGCAATAGTGTTGCACCTTCTTGGGATCAAATGGAGTTCCTGAGGATAAGGAAAGACTACCATATTAGTGCTGGATGGCTTAGCCTTTCCAACCTGTAGGCTTAGGAGAGTCCAGACTTACTAGGGATGTAAGGGATCCTCTTACACAAAACAGGTGCACTACCAAAATGTGGCCAGAGTGCTTTAAACAGGACCTTGACCCATTTCTCATCTCTGGGAAGGACCTCACAACTGGGGCCTTCAAACACACCCACCCTCATTGTCTGGCTGACAAAGTTTTTACTTATTGCTGAAAAATAGTGCCCTGAGGGAAAGGCAGGCTCCCATCACTGATGCTTTAATGACTCATCTGTTCTAGTCTCCAGGTTACAGAAAGCCCAGGCTGACTGGGGATGAAAGTAGTACCCCAGATTAACCAAATGAAGAAAAGAATTTCAAGGCATGAAAACTGTCTTTCTGAAATAAGACAGGCATACAAAGCCAGACCAAAAAATAAAAAGATAGAAAAGAAATGAACAAAACCAAAACTGGGATTATGTTAACAGACCAAAACTATGACTGATCGGTGTACTCAAGAGACAGGGAGAACAGAATCAAGTTGAAAAACACTTCAGGATATCATCCAGGAGAATGTCCGTAACATAGCAAGACAGACCAACATTCAAATGCAGGAATTCCAGAGATCGTCATTAAGATACTCCACAAGAAGATCATATCCAAGACACATAGTCATCAGATTCACTGAGGTCAAAATGAAAGGAAAAAATGATAAGGGCAGACAGAGAGAAAAGCCAGGTTGCCTGCAAAAAGAAGCCCCTCAGTAAAACAGCAGATCTCTCAACCAAATCCCTACAAACCAGAAGGAACTGGAGGCCAATATTTTACATTCTCAAATAAAATAATTTTTAATTTAGAATTTTATATCAGACCAAACTAAGTTTCATGAGAAAAATAAAAATAAGGTCATTTTCAGATAAATGTTGAGGATATTTGTAACCACCAGATATGCCTTATAAAGGCTTCTGAAGGAAGCACTAAAAATGGAAAAGGAAAACAATTACTTGCCACTCCAAAAACACACTGAAGTACACAGACCAGTGACACTATAAAGCAAACACATTAAAAAAGTCTGCCAAATAATCAGCTAGCATCATGACGACAGAATTAAATCCACACATAACAATTTTAACTTTAAATGTAAATGGGCTAAATGCACAAAGTAAAAGATCCAGCTTGAGTGCAGTGGCTCATGCCTGTAATCCCAACACTTTGAGAGGCTGAAGAAGGCTAATCACGAGGTCAGGAGTTCAAGACCATCCTGCCCAACATGGTGAAATGCTGTCTCTACTAAATGTATATATAAAATCAGCTGGGCATAGTGGTTGACACCTGTAATCCCAGCTATTTGAGAGGATGAGGCAAAAGAATTGCTTGAACCCAGGAGGTGGAGTTTGCAGTGAGCTGAGATCATGGCACTGCACTCCAGCCTTGGTGGCAAAGTGAGACTCTCTCTCTCAAAAAAATAAAAAATAAAAATAAAAATCCAGAGTGGCAAGCTGGATAGTGACTCAAAACCCATTGGTATGCTGTTTTCATGAGACCCCTCTTACATGCAATGACACTCATAGGCTCAAAATAAAGGGATGAAGGTAAACATGGTAAGCATATATATATATATATATATATATATATATATATATATATATATGCAAGCAAATATATACATACATATATATGTGTGTGTGTATATATTATGTAACAGAAAAAAGCAGAATGACAGTCCTAGTTCCTTATAAAGCAGACTTCATACCAACAAAGATCAAAAAAGGAAAGGACATTTCATAATGTCAAAGGGATCAGTTCAACAAGAAGAGCTAACTCTCCTAAATATATATGCACCCAACACAGGAACACCCATATCTATAAAGCAAGATCTTAGAGACCTTCAAAGAGACTTTGACTCCCAAAGAGTAATAATGGGAGTCTTTAACAACCCACTGACAATGTTAGACAGATCATCAAAAAAAAAAAAAAAAAGTTAACAAACATATTTAAGACTTGAGCTCCACTTTGGATTAAATAGACCTGATATATATCTACAGAACTATTCACCCAAGAGCAACAGAATATACACTCTTCTTTGTGCCACATGGCACTCACTCTATAATTGATCATATAATCAAAAGTAAAACACTCCTTAGCCAATGCAAAACAACGAAATCACAACAACAATTCTCTTTGACCACAGCAGAATCAAATTAGAACTCAAGACTAAGAAATTTACTCAAATCTATACAATTATATGGAAATTGAATGATCAGCTTCTCCATGACTTTTGCATAAATAATGGAATTATGTCAGAAATCAAGAAATTCTTTGAAACTGAGAACAAAGATACAATGAACCAGAATCTCTGTAACGCAGCTAATACAGTGTTAAGAGGGAAATCTGTAGCATTAAATGCCCACGTCCAAAAGCTAGCAAGATCCCAAGTTAGCAATCTAAAATCACAACTAAAAGAACTAGAGAAACGTGAGCAAAGAAATCCCAAGTCTTGTAGAACACAAGAAATACTCAAAATCAGAGCTGAACTGAGGGAGATATAGACAAAAAAAAACTCAAAAAATCAACAAATACAGAAGCTTCTTTTTTGAAAAGCTAAAGTAGATGGACTGTTGGCTAAACTGATAAGGAAAAAAAGAACATTCAAAACAACACAATAAGATATGATAAGGGGAGTATTACCACTGACCTCACAGAAATACGACCAACCATCAGATGATTTTATATAAAAACCTCTAGACACATAAATTAGAAAATCTAGAATAAAAAGATCCATTCCTGGACACTTACACGCTCCCAAAACTGAATTAGGAAGAAATTGAATCTGTGAACAGACCACGAATGAGCTCTGAATTTGAGGCAGAATTAAATAGCCTACCAACCAAAAAAACTCAGGACAGGATGCATTTACAGGTGAATTCTATCAGATGTACAAAGAATCACTGGCACCATTTCTACAGAAACTATTTTTAAGAATTGAAAAGGATGAGTTTTTTTTTAACTTATCATTTAATTTTAAGAATATTACAAGTTTAAAACTTTAATTTTTAAAATAGAAAACAATGACTTTTTCCTACCTCTGTGAGTCCAGAATCATCCTAATAATTTTCATTAAAAAGAATTTCAGGGGAGTTGTTCCAAGATGGCTGAATAGGAACAGCTGCAGTCTACAGCTCCCAGCATGAGCAATGCAGAAGATAGGTGATTTCTGCATTTCCAACTGAGGTACTGGGTTCATCTCACTGGGGTTTGTCAGACAGTGGGTGCAGCACACTGAGCATGAGCCAAAGCAGGGTGAGGCATTGCCTCACTTGGGATGCACAAGGGGTCAGGGAATTCCCTTTCCTAGCCAAGGGAAGCTGTGACAGACAGCACCTGGAAAAATGGGTCACTCCCACCCTAATACAGCACTTTTCCAACGGTCTTAGCAAATGGCACACTAGGAGATTATATCCCATGCATGGCTTGGAGGGTCCCACATGCACAGAGACTCACTCAGTGGTAGTACAGCAGTCTGAGATCAAACTGAAGGCAGCAGCAAGGCTGAGGGAGGGGTGCCAACCATTGCTGAGGGTTGAGTAGGTCAACAAAGTGGCTGGTGAGCTTGAACTTGGTGGAGCCCACTGCACCTCAAGGAGGCCTGCCTGTCTCTGTAGACTCCACATCTGGGGGCAGGGCATAGCTGAACAAAAGGCAGCAGAAACCTCTGCAGACTTAAATGTACCTGTCTGACAGCTTTGAAGAGAATAGTGGTTCTCCGAGCACAGAGTTTGAGATCTGAGAATGGTCAGACTGCCTCTTCAAGTGGGTCCCTGACCACCAAATAGCCTAACTGGGAGGCATCCACCAGAAGGGGCAGGTAAAAAGGATACCCAGGAATTGAACTCAGCTCTGCACCAAGCGGACCTAATAGACATCTACAGAACTCTCCACCCCAAATCAACAGAATATACATTTTTTCAGCACCACACCACACCTATTCCAAAATTGACCACATTGTTGGAAATAAAGCTCTCCTCAGCAAATGTAAAAGAGAAATTATAACAAACTATCTCTCAGACCACAGTGCAATCAAACTAGAACTCAGGATCAAGAAACTCACTCAAAACTGCTCAACTACATGGAAACTGAACAACCTGCTCCTGAATGACTACTGGGTACATAACGAAATGAAGGCAGAAATAAAGATGTACTTTGAAACAATGAGAACAAAGACACAACATACCAGAATCTCTGGGACACATTTAAAGGAGTGTGTAGAGGGAAATTTATAGCACTAAATGCCCATAAGAGAAACCAGTAAAGATCTAAAATTGACACCCTAACATCAGAATTAAAAGAACTAGAGCAGCAAGAGCAAACACATTCAAAAGCTAGCAGAAGGCAAGAAATAACTAAGATCAGAGCAGAACTGAGAGAGATAGAGACACAAAAAACCCTTCAGAAAAAATCAGTGAATCCAGGAGCTGGTTTTTCAAAAAGATCAACAAAATTGTTACACCACTAGCAAGATTAATAAGAAGAAAAGAGAGAAGAATCAAATAGATGCAATAAAAAATGACAAAGGGGATATCACCACCGATGCCACAGAAATACAAACTACCATCAGAGAATACTATAAATACCTCTACATAAACTAGAAAATCTAGAAGAAATGGATAAATTCCTGGACACATACACCCTCCCAAGACTAAACCAGGAAGAAGCTGAATCTCTGAATAGACTAATAACAGGTTCTGAAATTGAGGCAGTAATTAATAGCCTACCAACCAAAAAAATCCAGGACCAGACGGGTTCACATCCGAATGCTACCAGAGGTACAAAGAGGAGCTGGTACCATTACTTCTGAAACTATTTCAATCAATAGAAAAAGAGGGAATCCTCCCTAATTCATTTTATGAGGCCAACATCATCCTGATACCAGCAGAGACACAACAAAACAGAGAATTTTAGACCAATATCCCTGATGAACATCGATGCAAAAATCCTCAATAAATACTGGCAAACCGAATCCAGCAGCACATCAAAAAGCTTATCCATCATGATCAAGTGGGCTTCACCCCTGGGATGCAAGTCTTGTTCAACACATGCAAATCAATAAACTTAATCCAGTATATAAACAGAACCAATGACAAAAACCACATGATTATCTCAATAAAAGCAGAAGAGGCCTTTGACAAAATTCAACAGACCTTTCTGCTAAAAAGTCTCCGTAAATTAGGTATTGATGTGATGTATCTCAAAATTATAAGAGCTATTTTTGACAAACCAACAGTCAATATCATACTGAACGGGCAAAACTGGAAGCATTCCCTTTAAAAACTTGCACAAGACAGGGATGCCCTCTCTTACCACTCCTATTCAACATAGTGTTAGAATTTCTGGCCAAGGCAATCAGGCAGGAGAAAGAAATAAAGGGTATTCAATTAGGAAAAGAGGAAGTCAAATTGTCCCTCTTTGCAGATGACATGACTGTATATTTACAAAATCCCATCATCTCAGCCCAAAATTTCCTTAAGCTGATAAGCAACTTCAGCAATGTCTCAGGATACAAAATCAATGTGCAAAAATCACAAGCATTCTTATACACAAATAACAGACAAACAGAGAGCCAAATTATGAGTGAACTCCCATTCACAATTGCTTCAAAGGGAATAAAATACCTAGGAATCCAATTTACAAGGGATGTGAAGGACCTCTTCAGGGAGAACTACAAACCACTGCTCAATGAAACAAAAGAGGACACAAACAAATGGAAGAAATTTTCATGCTCATGGATAGGAAGAATCAATATCATGAAAATGGCCATACTGCCCAAGGTAATTTATAGGTTCAATGCCATCCCCATAAAGCTACTGATGACTTTCTTCACAGAATTGGAAAAAACTACTTTAAAGTTCATATGGAACCAAAAAAGAGCCTGCATTGCCAAGACAATCCTAAGCAAAAAGAACAAAGCTGGAGGCATCACGCTACCTGACTTCAAATTATATTACAAGGCTACAGTAACTAAAACAGCATGGTGTTGTTACCAAAACAGAGATGTAGACCAATGGAACAGAATAGAGCCCTCAAAAATAATACCACACATCTACAACTATCTAATCTTTGACAAACCTGACAAAAACAGGAAATGGGGAAAGGATTCCCTATTTAATGAATGTTGCTGGGAAAACTGGCTAGCCATTTGTAGAAAGCTGAAACTGGATCCCTTCCTTACACCTTATACAAAAATGAATTCAAGATGGATTAAAGACTTAAATGTTAGACCTAAAATCATAAAATCCCTAGCAGAAAACCTAGGCAATATCATTCAGGATATAGGCACGGGCAAGGATTTCATGTCTAAAACACCAAAAGCAATGGCAACAAAAGCCAAAATTGACAAATGGGATCTAATTAAACCAAAGAGATTCTACACAGCAAGAGAAACTACCATCAGCATGAACAGGCAACCTACAGAATCAGAGAAAATTTTCGCAATCTACTCATCTGACAAAGGGCTAATATCCAGAATCTACAAAGAACTCCAACAAATTTACAACAAAAAAATAAACAACCCCATCAACAAGTGGGCGATGGATATGAACAGACACTTCTCAAAAGAAGACATTTATGCAGCCAACAGACACATGAAAATATTGTCATCATCAGTGGCCATCAGAGAAATGCAAATCAAAACCACAATGAGATACCATCTCACACCAATTAGAATGACAATCATTAAAACGTCAGGAAACAACAGTTGCTGGAGAGGATGTGGAGAAACAGGAACACTGTTACACTGTTGGTGGGACTGTAAACTTGTTTAACCATTGTGGAAGACAGTGTGGGGATTCCTGAAGGATCCAGAACTAGAAATACCATTTGACCCAGATATCCCATTACTGGGTATATACCCAAAGGATTATAAATCATGCTGCTATAAAGACACACACTCACGCATATTCATTGTGGCACTATTCTCAAAAGCAAAACTTGAAACCAATCCAAATGTCCGTCAATGATAGACTGGATTAAGAAAATGTGGCACATATACACCATAGTATATATGCAACCATAAAAAAGGATGAGTTTATGTCCTTTGTAGGGACACGGGTGAAGCTGGAAACCATCATTCTCAGCAAACTATTGCAATGACATCCTTATACTGTCTTCAAGGAATTCATCTCACATGTAATGATTCCTACAGTCTCAAAATGAAAAGATGGAGAGAGATTTATCACATAAATAGCAAACCAAAGAGAGAGAGACAGAGGGAAAAGAGAGAGAGTTGCTATATTTGTATTAGATGAAAGAGGCTTTAAGTCAACAACAGTAAAAAAAAGTCATTAAATGATAATAAACAGTTTAATTCAGCAAGAAGAATTAACCACTATAAATATACATACAAGCAAAATTGAAATACCTAGATTTATAAAATGATTGCTTCTCAATGTAAGAAAAGGTCTTCACAATACTAATGAGAAACTTCAACACCATACTGAAATCTCTAGACAGATTATTGTGAAATAAACTAAGAAATTCTGAACTTAAATTGAATACTAGACCAATTCGGCCTAACAGACATGTACAAAATACTACAACAAACAACCATAAAATATGCATTCTTCTCAACCACACAAGAAACATTCTTGAAAATTGACCTTATTTTATTTTAAAGTCTCAATAAATTTTATAAATTTAAAATTATACTAACCAACTTCTTGGTCTACAATGAAATAAATATAAAAGCCAATGCCAAGAAAAATCTCAAAAACACACAAATACATGAAAACTAAACCACTTACTCTGCATAACATTTGAATACACAACAAAATTAAGGTAGAAATCAAAATATTATTTGAAACAAATAAATGTAGAAAAAATACCAAAACCTCTGAAATGTGGTAAAAGCAGTGTTAAGGGGAAGTTTATGAATATTAAATGTCTACACGAAGAAGATACATCTGAAATTTCCAACATTACCTTGCATGTAAAGAACCTAGAAAATCAAGAAAAAAAAAAACTATACCCAAAGCTGCAGGAAAAAAAAAAAAAAAGAATCAGAGCATAATTAAATGAAATTGAAACCCCTGGAAGCCATAAATGGGATAAATAAGATCAATAGACCACTAACTAGACTATCAACATAAAAGAGAGGCTGGACCCAATAAGCACAGGCAGAAATGACAAATCTGACACCAAAACTGCTCCCACAAAAGTACAAAAGAGCCTCAGAAGCTACTATAAACCTTTCCAGGCATACAAACTAGGAAATTTAAAGGAAATTAATAAATTCCTAAAATCACAGAATCTTCAAATAATGAACAAAGAAGAACAAAAATCATAAACAGACTAATAAAGGGTAATAAAATTGAATCAGTAATAAAAAATCATTAGCCCCCCAAAAAAGTCCTGTACCAAAAAGCTTCACAGCCATTTTTTTTCAGAGATACTAAAAAGCTGGTAGAAATACTACTGAAACTATTCAAAAATAAAAAATAAAATAAAAAGGAAAGAATAATAATTTTTTTTTTTTTTTGAGACAGATTCTGGCTCTGTAGCCTAGACTGGCTCTGTAGCCCAGACTGGCTCTGTAGTCCAGACAATGGCACGACCTCTGCTCACTGCAACCTCCGCCTCCCAGTTCAAGCAATTCTCCTGTCTCAGCCTCCCAATTAGTTGGGAATACAAGTGCCCGCCACTACACCCAGCTAATTTTTGTGTTTTTAGTAGAGACAGGGTTTCACCATGTTGGGCAGGATGGTCTTGAAATTCTGACTTCATGATTTGCTCACTTCAGCCTCCCAAAGTGCTGAAATTACAGGTGTGACTCCTAATTTATTCTATGTAATAACTATTATCCTGATACTCAAATCTGGCAAAGGCACAACAAAATAGAAAACCACAGACAAGTAACCTCAATGATTGTAGATAGAAAAATTATCAACAAAATATTAGCAACCCAAATCCAGAATTACATCAAAAAGTTTATGCACTATTATCTAGATGGCTTTATTCATGGAATTTCAAGATAATTTAATATAGGTAAATCAATAAATGTAATTAAACAAAAAAACTGAAATCATATAATTATCTCAATAATGCAAAACATGCTTTTGATAAGATTCAATATGTCATAATAAAATCACTAAATACGCTAGGCATCAAAAGAACATCACTCAAAATAATAAGAGCCATCTTTGACAAACACACAGCCAATATCATGCTGAATGAGAAAATTGATAGCATTCTCCCTACAAGCTTAACAAGATAAGAATGTCCATTCTTATCTATCTTACTCAGCTTGGTATTGCAAGTCCTAAACACAGCAATCAGACAAGGGAAAGAAATAGAAGACACACAATTAAGAAAAAGAAGAGGTAAAAATATCTCTTTGCAGACAGTATGATTCTATACGTAGAAAATCCTAAATATTTTACAAAAAGGCTCTTTCAGAAGAACAAATTCAGCGAGTGTCATGATATAAAATCAGTGTGCAAAAATAAGTAACTTTTTTACACACTGATAATTTTCAGGCTGAGATCCAAATAAAGAATGCAATTTGGCCAGGCATGTGTGTCATATCTGTAATCCCATAACTTTGGGAGGCCAAGCTGGGTGTATCCTTTGACACAAGCCTGGGCAACATGGAGAAACCTTGCCGCTACAAAAAATACCAAAATTAGCTGGGTGTGATGGTGCATGCCTGTAGTCCCAGCTAATCAGGAGGGCATGAAAATCTCTTCGACCTGGGAGGTGGTGGTTATATATAGTTAGCAGAGGTTGTGCAACTGCACTCTAACCTAAGACACAGGGTGAGGTCCTATAATAAAAAAAGTGAAATTTCACTTACAGTAGCCATAAAAATGGGAATATAGCTAACCAGGAAGGTGAAAAATCTCTGCAAGGGGAATCAAAAACATTGCTAAAAGAACTCATAGATAACACAAACAAATAACAAAGCATTTAATGGAAATTAGCTGAAAAAATTAATATTGTTGAACTGTCATCTGCTTAAAGAAATCTAGAGATTCAGTGCTATTCTGAACAAATCACTAACATTATTTTTCACAGAAATTACATGAAAATTTCTGAAGTTTATCTGGAATCAAAAAATTGCCTGAATAACAAAAGTGATCCCCCCAAACCAGACAAAGGACAGGGGCTTTATATTACTCAACTTCAAATCAAACAATAAGGTTACAATAACAAAAATAGCATCATATTGATACAAAAAAATAGATACATAGTTTAATGGAAAATAATAGAGAGTCCAGAAATGTAGTTGTACATCTACTACCAATTAATCGTCAACCAAAGTTGACATAAAAATAAACAATAGGGTTTTGATTTGCATTTCTCTAATGACCAGTGATGATGAGCTATTTTTCATATGTTTGTTGGCTGCATAAATGTCTTCTTTTGAGAAGTGTCTGTTCATATCCTTTGCCTCTTTTTTTAATGGGGTTGTTTTTTTCTTGTAAAGTTGTTTTAGTTCCTTGTGGATTCTGCTTATTAGCCCTTTGTCAGATGGATAGATTGCAAAAATATTCTTTCATTCTATAGGTTGCCCGTCCAGTCTATTGATAGTTTCTTTTGCTGTGCAGAAGCTCTTTGGTTTAATTAGATCTCATTTGTCTATTTTTGCTTTTGCTGCCATTGGTTTTGGTCTTTTATTCCTGAAGTCTTTGCCCTTGCCTATGTTCTGAATGGTATTGCCTATGCTTTATTCTAGTATTTATGTAATTTTAAGTTTTACATTTAAGTCTTTAATCCATCTTGAATTAATTTTTGTGTAAGGTGTAAGGAAGGGGTCCAGTTGCAGTTTTCTGCATATGGTTAGCCAGTTTCCCCAGCACCATTTATTAAATAGATAATCCTTTTCCCATTGCTTGTTTTGGTCAGGTTTTTTGAAGATCAGATAGTTGTAGATGTAATTCTGAGGTCTCTGTTCTGTTCCATTCATCTATATGTCTGTTTTGGTATCAGTACACATCAGTTAGAAGGGTGATCATTAACAAGTCAGGAAACAACAGATGCTGGAGAGGATGTGGAGAAATAGGAATGCTTTTACACTTTTGGTAGGAGTGTAAACTAGTTCAACCATTGTGGAAGGCAATGTGGCGATTGAAGTATCTAGAACAAGAAATACCATTTGACTCAGCAATCCCATTACTGGGTATATACCTAAAGGATTATAAATTATTCTTTGATAAAAACACATGCTCATGTATGTTTACTGTGGCACTGTTCACAATAGCCAAGACTTGGAACCAACCCAAATGCCTATCAGTGATAGATGGATAAAGAAAATGTGACACACACACACCATGAAATACTACGCAGCCACAAAAAAAGGATGAGTTCATATCCTTTTCAGGGAGGTGGATGAGGCTGGAAACCATCATTCTCAGCAAACTAACACAGGAACAGAAAGTCAAACACCCTATGTTCTCACTCATAAGTGGGAGCTGAACAATGAGAACACATGGACACAGGGAGGGGAACATTACACACCAGGGTCTGTTGTTGGGTGGTGGGCTAGAGGAGCATTAGGAGAAATACCTAATGTAGATGACGGGTTGATGGGTGCAGCAAACCACCATGGCATGTGTATACCTATGTAACAAACCTACTCATTCTGTACATAAACCTTGGAACTTAAGGTATAATAATAATAATTATTATTATTATTAATAAGTAGTTCTGGAAAATTACAAATAATAAAATATTTTCCTAAAACTTGTTTCTGTACAATAAATGGGTGAAAAGAGAATTTAAAAAATCAAAAAATACCTTGAGATTACAAAAATGGAAATAAATTATCACAAACTTATGGAATACAGCAAAGTAGTGTTACAGGGTAAGTTTATAGCAGTAAGCACAAAAAAGAGAAATATTTCATATAAGCACTTTAATGTTATACCTCAAGATACAGGGAAATAGGCACAAAGTTTAAAGAGGTTAGAAAAAATAAAGATTAACATAAATAAACAAAATAGACACAAGAAAAATAATTGAATATCCAAAGCAGAGTAAGAGTTGGTGTTTGAAAAATATAGAAAATGTTGGCAAACCTTTATTTAAATTAATTAAGAAAGATAAAGACTAAAGTAAATAATATTATAAATAAAAGAGCAGCTATTACATGTGATAACACAAAATCCAGGATTATAAAACAATCTTGCTAACAATTGTATGCTAAAAAATAACTGGAATACATGAAATAAATGAATAAAATTTTAGACACATAAAACCTACAAAAAGTCAGTCATAAAAATAGTAAATCTATAAAGACAAATATTGAATAAAATATTAAGTTAAAAATAAAATTTATCTGATGAATTAAAAGCATAAGAATTACAATATTAGCAAGATGGCACAATAGGACAGTGAAGACCAGGGTTACAAATTTTCAAGTAAAAATTTGGAATTCAGTACTGAAGCCAAGCTCATCTTTCATATGGCTTAGGTAAGTGCTTGGCTTGATTGTGTCTATGCCCTAGGGCTTTCTGGAATGCTGAATTTAGGAATATGAGTTATTTTTCAGAAGAAATTTCTAAGCAACAAAGCATTCAAGATGTAGTGTGGCTGCTTGTAACCACCTATGATTAGATATGAGAACAAAGAAGTGACTTAAGATTGAAACATAATTAAAAGTGAAGCAGAGCAAATGAAATATTTACAGCTTGGCCATGTGTTAGAAAAAGAAAGGATTTTCAGGAGAGGAATCCAGGTAGAGCTGTGAAACAACCACTTGCTAGGGAGATTAAACATAAGAAAACCAGGTGCTAATATTCAGAATAATGAATACACTAAAGGTATTCCAGAAACCTTCCAAGTTGCATCTTCCATCACAGCATCAGGGACGTAAGAGAACAAACTTGTTTTGAGAGTTGTGTCAAGCACACTGCTTTTCTGTGCCACCTCAAGATGCAGCTCCCACATCATGGTCAATCTGTCTCCAACTGGAGCCTTAAGAGCCTCAGGTACAGCTCAGTCTACCACTCAGAATAGTGCAAGCCATAAGACTGCATGCTTTAGATGAAGAATTAGATCATAGTGGTGAAGCCTTTGAAGCTTTCACCTAGATTTCAAAAAAATATGCTAAAAAGCCTAGGTGGTAATGCATAAGCCTCTGGGAGCAGGAGAGTTCCAACATAGAGACTCAACAAAAGCAGTGAAAAAGGGAAATGTGTGGTTGGAGACTTCAAACACAGTATGCGTAGTGGAAATGTGGAAATGGTGCTGCCACCCTACAGACTTCAGAATTGTAGAGCCACTGGCAGATTTATCTTCAGCCTGGAAGAACAACAGTCATTTAACTCCACCCTTTGAGAGCAGCCATGGTGACAAGTGTGTATACATTGTATACATTGCCTAGACATCAAGTCAAAAGATATCATTTTGAAGTTTTCAAATTTTTGCTTTGTTTGGTTTGAGAAGGAATCTCACTCTGTCACCCAGGCTGGAATCTGGTGGCACGATCATAGCTCACAGCAACCTCCACCTCCCTGGTTCAAGTGATTCTTCTGTCTCAGCATTGCAAGTAACTGGGATTACAGGCACTTGCCACCATGCCCAGCTAATATTTGTATATTAGTAGTGATGGTTTTCACCATGTTGGCCAGGTTGTTCTTGCACTCCTGGACTCAAGTTACCAACCCACCTCAGCGTCTCAAACTGCTAGGATTACAGGCATGAGACACCACACCTGGCCTGAAGCTTTCAAGTTTAATGTCTGCCGTCTGGATTTTGAAATTTGTGGAGACTTTTATCTACATTTTTGGCTGGTTTTTCCCTTTTGGGATGAGAACGTTTATGCAAACCTATACCATCACTGTATCTTGACAGTAAATAATTTTTTAATTATTATTATATCTTATATGGAAATAACTTTCTTAGAGTCTAAGATAAGAATTTGGACTTTGGACTCTTGAGTTGATACTAAAATGAATTAAGACTCTGGGGATGAGAGGATTGTATTTTGTAATGACAAAGACAGAGTATTTGGGTGCCAGAAGTAAAAAAATATACTTTGCATGATTGTGACCTATAAATCTTATGTTGAAATTTGATCCCCAATGTTGGGGATGGGGCCTAGTGTGACGTATTTGGATCATGGTGGCAGATCACTCATGAGTGACTGTGTGCTGTCATTGTGGGAATAAATGAGTTTTAACTCTATTAGTTCCCTTGAGACTTGATTGTTCAAATAAGCCTGATATCTCTCTTTGTTTTCTCTTGCTCCGTTTTTGACCATGTGTCATACCTCTCTTCCCTTCGCCATATTCCATAATTAGAAACTTCCTAACGTTCTTATCAAAAGCAGATGCAGGTATTATTCTTAAACATCATGCAGACCTATGAGCCAAGTTAAACTGCTTTTTAAATAAATTGCCCAGCCTCAGGTGTTCTTTTATATCAACACAAAACAGACTAACACAGTCATATTGAATAAGAATAGATACATTTTTACAGTTAAAAAACACAGTGTGGCTGAATGCATTAAAAAACAAGACCCAAATATATTCTGCCTTCCAGAGGCTCACATCACCTGTAAGGACATAGTAGACTGCAAGTAAAATAATGGAAGAGAAATTTTTCATGCAAATGAAAACCATGAAAGATCAGTTTATGTAAGATAAAGTTTAAGACAAAAACTGTGCAAAACCAAAAAGATTATTATACAATGACAAGGAGTCAACTTAGCATGAGAATGTAACAATTATAAGTATATATACACACACATATATGTGTCATAAATATATATTTTTACATCTATGTATATAAATTTATATGTATAAATATATATTTATATATAAATATATGTATATATGTATATGTATATATATATAAATATATGTATATATGTATATGTATATACATATAAAAATATATATGTGTATGCCCCAAGCATTGGAACAGCTAAATACATAAAGCAAATATTATAGGCCTAAGGATGAAATTACCTGCAATAAAAGAACATCAAAAAACTTCCACATCTTACTTATATCCATGGACAAAACATCAAATAGGAAATCAGCAAATAATCACCAGAGTTATATTGCTTTCAAAACAAATAACTCTAACAGACATTTACAGACCATTACCTTTTTTTTTTTTTTTAGTTGAAGTTTTGCTCTTGTTGCCCAGGATGAAGTTTTGCTCAAGTTGCAATGGCATAATGTTGGCTCACTGAAACATCTGCCTCCAGATTCAAGCAAATCTCCTGCCTCAGCCTCCCAAGTAGCTGGGATTACAGGTGCCTACCACCACATGGGGGTATTTTTTTGTATTTTTACTAGAGATTGGGTATAGCCATGTTCACCAGGTTGGTCTCCAACTCCTGGCCATGTGCTGGGATTACAGGCATGAGCCACTGCACCTGGCCAGAACATTACCTTTAACATATATATAATCTAGCTATTTGTAAAAGTAGAAAAAAAACATATATGTTAGGCTTCTGAGAAAAGTGAACACTTATACACTGTTGGTCAAAATGTAAATTACTTAAACCAGTCTAAAAACTAGCTTAGAGATTTTGCAAAGAATGAAAAATGGAACTACCATTTGCTCCACTGCTAAGAAGTAATCTTAGCACTAGACATATAACCAAAACTATATCTTGTTCTAACAAAAAGACACATGCACTTATGTGTCTGTTGCAGCACTCTATTCATTACAGCTAAGACACAGAATAAACCCAGGTGCATATCAATAGTGAATTGGATAAAGAAAATGTGGTACATGTATACCATAAACTACGATACACTCATAAACAGAACAACATCCTGTTCTTCACAGCAATATGGATACAGCTGGGGAGTTCTTTTTTTTTACTTTAAGAATATACTTTTATTGTTTTTTTAAATTATACTTTAAGTTCTAGGGTACATGTGCACAAGGTGCAGGTTTGTTACATAGGTGTACATATGCCATGTTGGTTTGCTGGACCCATCAACTCGTCATTTACATTAGATAATTCTCCTAATCCTATCCCTCCCCCAACCCCTCAACCCCTGACTGACCCCAGTGTGTGATGTTCCGCCACACTGTGTCCTTGTGTTTTCGTTGTTCAGCTCCCCACTATGAGTGAGAGCATGTGGTGTTTGGTTTTCTGTCCTTCTGATAGTTTGCTTGGAATGATGGTTTCCAGCTTCATACATGTCCCTGAATCTTTTTTATGGTTGCATAGTATTCCGTGATGTACATGTGCCACAATTTCTTAATCCAGTCTATCACTCATGGACATTTGAGTTGGTTCCAAGTCTTTGCTATTGTGAATAATGCTGCAAGAAACATATGTGTGCATGTGTCTTTATCATAGAATGATTTATAATCCTTTGGGTATATGCCCAGTAATGGGATTGTTGTGTTGAATGGTATTTCTAGATTTAGATCCTAGAGGAATTGCCACACTGTCTTCCACAATGGTCGAACTAATTTACACTCCTACCAACAGTGTAAAAGTATTCCTATTTCTCCATATCATCTTCAACAGCTGTTGTTTCCTGATTTTTTAATGATTGCCATTCTACTGGCATGAGATGGTATCTCACAGTGGCTTTAATTTGCATTTCTCTGATGACCAGGGAGCATTTTTGAAAATGTCTCTTGGCTGCATAAATGTCTTCTTTTGAGAAGTGTTCATATACTTTGCCCACTTTTTGATGGGATTTTTTGTATTTTTCTTGTAAATCTGTCTAAGTTATTTGTAGATTCTGGATGTTAGCCCTTTGTCAGATGGGCAGATTGCAAAACATTTCTCCCATTCTGTAGGTTGCCTGTTCACTCCAATGATAGTTTCTTTTGCTATGCAGAAGATCTTTAGTTTAATTAGATCCCATTTGTCAATTTTGGCTTTTGTTGCCATTGTTTTTGGAGTTTTAGTCATGAAGTCCTTGCCCATGCCTATGTCCTGAAGGGTATTACCTAGGTTTTCTTCTAGGATTTTTATGGTGTTACATTTTACATTTAAGTCTTTAATCCATTCTGAGTTAATTTTTGTATAAGGTGTAAGGAAGGGATCCAGTTTCAGCTTTCTACGTATGGCTATCCACTTTTCCCAGTACCATTTATTAAATAGGGAATCCTTTACCCATTTCTTTTTTTTTTGTCAGGTTTGTGAAAGATCAGATGGTTGTAGATGTGTGGTGTTATTTCTGAAGCCTCTGTTCCATTCCATTGGTCTATATTTCTGTTTTGGTGCCAGTGTCATGCTGTATTCGTTACTGTAGCCTTATAGTATAGTTTAAAGTCAGGTAGCATGATGTCTTCAGCTTTGTTTTTTTTGCTTAGAATTGTCTTAGCGATGAGGGCTCTTTTTTGGTTCCATATAAACTTTAAGATAACTTTTCCAATTCTGTGAAGAAAGACAGAGGTAGCTTGATAGGGATGGCATTGACTCTATAAATTACTTTGGGCAATATGGCCACTTTCGTGATATTAATTCTTCCTATCCATGAGCAGGGAATGTTCTTCCATTTGTTTGTGTCCTCTTTTATTTCCTTGAACAGTGGTTTGTAGTTCCCCTTGAAGAGGTGCTTCACATCCCTTGTAGGTTGGATTCCTAGGAATTTCATTCTTTGTAGTAATTGTGAATGGGAGTTCACTGATGATTTCTCTCTGTGATTGTCTATTATTGGCATATAAGAATGCTTATGATTTTTGCACGCTGATTTTGTATCCTGAGACTTTGCTGAAGTTGCTTATCAGCTTAAGGAGATTTTGGGCTGAGATGATGGGTTTTTCTAAATATACAATTATGTGACTTGCAAACAGATACAATTTGACTTCCTCTTTTCATAATTGAATAATCTTTATTTCTATCTCTTGCTTGATTTCCCTGGCCAGAACTTCCAACAGTATGTTAAATAGGAGTAATGTGGGAGGGCATCCTTGTCTTGTGCCAGTTTTCAAAGAGAATGCTTCCAGCTTTTGCCCATTCTGTATGGTATTGGTTGTAGGTTTGTCATAAATAGCTGTTATTATTTTGAGATATGTTCCACCAATACCTCGTTTATTTAGAGTTTTTAGCATGAACTGCTGTTGAACTTTGTCGAAGGCCTTTTCTGCATGTAGTGAGATAATCCTGTGGTTTTTGTCGTTTGTTCTGCTTATGTGATGAATTACATTACTGATTTTCATATGTTGAACCAGCCTTGCATCCCAGGGATGAAGCCAACTTGATCATGTTGGATAAGCTTTCTGATGTGCTGCTCGATTCGGTTTGCCAGGATTTTATTGAAGATTTTTGCATCGATGTTCATCAGGGATATTGACCTAAAATTCTCTTTTTTTGTTGTGTCTCTGCCAGGCTTTTGTATCAGGATGATGCTAGCCTTGTAAAATGAGTTATGGAGGATTCTCTCTTTTTCTATTCATTGGAATAGTTTCAGAAGGAAACAGACCAGCTCCTCTTTGTACCTCTGGTAGAATGCAACTGTGAATCTGTCTGGTTCTGCACTTTTTTTGGTTGGTAGACTATTAATTATTGTCTTAATTTCAGAACATGTTGTTGCTCTATTCAGAGATTTAACTTCTTCCTGGTTTGGTTTTGTGAGGGTGTATGTGTCCAGAAATTTATGCATTTCTTCTGGATTTTCTAGCTTATTTGCATGGAGGTGTTTACAGTATTCTCTGATGGTAGTTTGTATTTCTGTGGGATAAGTGGTGATATTCTCTTTATCATTTTTTATTCTGTCTGTTTGATTGTCTCCTCTTTTCTTCTTTATTAGTCTTGCTAACTGTGTATCTATTTTGTTGATATTTTCAGAAAACCAGCTCCTGGGTTCATTGATTTTTTGAAGGGTTTTTTGTGACTCTATCTCCTTCAGTTCTGCTCTGATCTTAGTTATTTATTGTCCTCTGCTAGCTTTTGAATTTGTTTGCTCTTGCTTCTCTAATTCTTTTAATTGTTAGGGTGTTGAATTTAGGTCTTCCCTGCTTTCTTGTGTGGGCATTTAGTGCTATAAATTTTCCTTTACACACTTCTTTAAATGTGTCCAAGAGATGCTGGTATGTTGCATGTTTTTTCTCATTGGTTTCAAAGAACATCTTTCTTTCTGCCTTCATTTGAATGACTACTATTTACCCAGTAGTTATTCAGGAGCAGGTTGTTCAGTTTCCATGTAGTTGGCCATTATTGAGGGAGTTTCTTAATCCTGAGCACTAATTTGATTGTAGTGTGGTCTGAGAGACAGTTTGTTGTGATTTCTATTCTTTTACATTTGCTGAGTACTGTTTTACTACCAATTATGTGGTTAATTCTCAAATAAGTATAATGTGGTGCTGAGAGGAATGTTTATTCTATTGCCTTGAGGTGTAGAGTTCTTAGATGTCTATTAGGTCTGGTTGGTGCAGAACTGAGTTCAAGTCCTCAATATCCTTATTAATATTCTGTCTCATCGATCTGTCTAATATTGACAGTGAAGTGTTAAAGTCTCCCGTTATTATTGTGTGGGAGTCTAAGTCTCTTTCTAGGTCTCTAAGGATTTTCTTTATGACCCTGAGTGACCCTGTATTGGATGCATATATATTTAGGATAGTTAGCTCTTCTTGTTGAATTGATCCTTTAACCATTATGTAATGGCCTTCATTTTCTCTTTTGATCTTTGTTGGTTTAAAGTCTGTTTTATCAGTTAGTAGGATTACACCCCCTGCTTTTTCTTGCTTTCCATTTTCTTGGTAGATATTCCTCCATCCCTTTATTTTGAGCCTGTGGTTGTCTCTGCACCTGAGATGGGTCTCCTGAATACAGCATACTGATGGGTCTTGACTCTTTATCCAAATTCCCAGTCTGTGTCTTTTAATTGTGGCATTTAGCCCATTTACATATAAGGTTAATAATGTTGTGTGTGAATTTGATCCTGTCATTATGATGCTAGCTGGTTATTTTGCCCATTAATTGAAACAGTTACTTCATAGCATTGATGGTTTTTACAATTTGTCATGTTTTTGCAGTGGCTGATACCAGTTGTTCCTTTCTATATTTAGTACGTTCTTTAGGAGCTCTTTTAAGGCAGGCCTGCTGGTGGCAAAATCTCTCAGCATTTGCTTGTCTGTAAAGTATTTTATTTCTCCCTCAGTTTTGAAGCACAGTTTGCCTGGATATGCTATTCTGGGTTGAAAATTCATTGCTTTAAGAATGTTGAATATTGGCCCCCACTCTCTTCTCATTTGTGGCATTTCTGCTGAGAGATCCTTTGTTAGTCTGATGGGCTTCCCCTTGTAAGTAACCCAAACATTCTCTGGCTGCTCTTAACATTTTTTCCTTCATTTCAACCTTGGTGAATCTGACAATTATGTGTCTTGGGGTTGCTCTTCTCAGGAGGTATCTTTGCAGTGTTCTCTGCATTTACTAAATTTGAAGGTTGGCCAGCCTTGTTTGTTGGGGAAGTTCTCCTGGATAATATCCTGAAGAGTGTTTTCCATCTTAGTTCCCTTCTCCCCATCCCTTTCAGGTACAACAGTCAAACATAGATTTGGATTTTTCACACAGTCCTATATTTCTTCAAGGCTTTGTTCATTTCTTCTTACTCCTTTTTCTCTAAACTTGTCTCCTCACTTTATTTCATTAATTTGATCTTCAATCAATGATATCCTTTCTTCCACTTGATTCAATTGGCTATTAAAGCTTGTGCATGCATCATGAAGTTCTCATGTTTTCATCTGTTTTCATCTCCAGCAGGTCATTTATGGTGTTCTCTACACTGCTTATCCTAGTTAGCCATTCATCTAACTTTTTTTTCAAGGTTTTCAGCTTCCTTGCTATTGGGTAGACTATGCTCCTTTAGCTTGGAGAAGTTTGTTATTAACAACCTTCTGAAGCCTACTTCTGTCAACTTGTCAAACTCATTCTCTGTCCAGCTTTGTTCCCTTGCTGGTGAGGAGCTGTGATCCTTTGGAGGATAAGAGGTGCTCTTGTTTTTAGAATTCTCAGCTTTTCTGCTCTGGTTTCTCCGCATGTTTGTGGTTTTATCTACCTTTGGTATTTGATGTTGGTGACCTACAGATGGGGTTTTGGTGTGGGTTTCCTTTTTGTTGATGTTGATGCTTTTCATTTCTGTTTGTTTGTTTTTCTTCTACCAGTGAGACCACTGGGGGGTCATTTTTCTAAATGAATTTCACACACACCCACACCACAACCAACTACCACAAAAAATATGTACTCACTTGTAAGTGGGAGCCAATTCTTAGATATGCATACACATCATATGTAAACAAGAGACATTAGAGATTCCAAAATGAGGGAGTAAAGCAGAAGTAGAAAAGCTAAATAAAACTTCCCCATTTAGTGTTATGTTCTTCGTCTGTGTGACAGGATTAATAAAATTCCAAACCTCTGCATGACATAATATATTCTTGTAATAAATCTGAAATTGTAGGCTGATAATTTAAAATAATAAGTAAAATTCTAAAAAGATCAATACATTATACATAAAAATACACATTATTGTCAACTGCATATGGAACATTCACCAGGAGAGATTATATTAGGTAAACAAGCAAGTCTCAATAAACTTAAGAAAGTTAAAATCATATCTCCTGACCTGACCACATGGTATACAATTAGGAATCAATATCAGGCAGATATTTGAAAACTTTAGAAATACATGAAATTTAAACATACCCCTGAACAGCAAATACTTGAATAAAAATATTGAAAAAATGCAAAAATGTTTTGAGAAAAATAAAAATGAATATGCAATTTACCAAAATCTATGGCATAAATAAAAAGAGCTTTTTTAAGTTAACAGCAATTTCTTTTTACTGAAGAACATCTCAAATAAAGATTCTAATAATGCACCTCAAGGAAATAAAAAGACATACAGAAAAAACTATCCCCAAGGGTAGTACAAAGAAAGAGATAATAAGTATAAGAAAAACATTTTAAAAAGTGAGTTAAAACAATAAAAATTAATAATGTAAATTGTTTTGGAATGATAGATAGAAGCAAAAGACCTTTACCTAAACTCAGTAAAAAGAGAGAAAACCCAAATAAATAAAATAAGAAATAAAGAATACATCCCAACTCATGCCACAGAGAATTATATAATATTATTATTAACATTTATTAGTTAACACCTTTTAAATCCTAGAGAAATAGGTATACTTCTGGACACATAAAACCTACTAAAATAAAATGTAAAGAAATAAAAAAATTGAAAAGAACAACAACGAATAAGGAGATTAAATAAGAAATAAACAATATTAAAAAAATCTCAGGATATTATGACATTATTGGTCAATGCTAAAGAAATTTAAGAAGGGGACTACTGTGAATTTTTCTCATACTCTTCCAAAAACTTCAGAAGGTAGTACTTCAAAACTCCATTTTACAATGCCAGCATTAATATGATAGAATTATCAGACAGCAGCACAACAACAACGTCAAAACTACAGACCAATATTTCTGACAAATGTACATGCCAAAAATCCTCTAAAAAATACTAGCAAATCAAATTCAATACCACAATTAAGAAATCATTTATTACACTCAAATGGAATTCATCCCAGGGGTGAAAGAATACTTTAATATTTACAATTTAATACACATGATACTTTATAGTAACAATAATAGATAGAATTATATAATTATTTAAATAGATGCAGAAGGATTTGACAAAATTCAACATTCTTTTATGATATAATTTTCAAATATTTGATGTAAAAGAAATATATCCAACACAATAAAAGCCACATTTGACTAACCCACAGGTAACACTATACTGAATGCTTGAAAGCACAAACCTTTTACTCTAAGACATGGAAAAAGACAAGAATGTCCACTTTCACCACTTTTATTCAACATAGTATTAAAATGTGTAGCTAGATCTATTATATTAACAAAAAATGGAAAACATCAAAGTTGAAAGAAAAAAGTCAAACTGTCCCATTTTACAGTTGACAGGATATTATATATATGTAAATTTGAACAAGCCACCAAAAAATCCTGTTAGAATTAACAAATAAAAATAAAATGAGTAGAGTTGGAAATAAAAAATCA
This sequence comes from Homo sapiens, assembly GCF_000001405.40. NCBI lineage: Eukaryota > Metazoa > Chordata > Mammalia > Primates > Hominidae > Homo > Homo sapiens. The sequence continues at coordinate 19,799,547 of NC_000024.10, forward strand.
ACATGTGAAAATCAGGAGAGTTTCTACACATGTATAGTAAAATGAGAAAAATTTTCAAGAATCTCATTTACAATAACTATAAAAACAGATAAAAATTAATTTAATTAAGAATTATACACTAAAAGCTGTAAAAGATTGACAACAAATTGAATAAAGTGTAAATAAATTGAAGGATATTTACTTTTAGAGATTGGAAATATTAATATCATTAAAATATCTATAAAACCCAAAGTAATATATCAATTTAATCCACTATCAAAATATGAGGGACATTCTTTACACAAACAGAAAAAAAAAAAACCTCTTAAGCTTTGTGTTGACTCAAAGACTCCAGAAAGCCAAAGCAATACTGAACAAAATAACAAAACTGGAGGCATGATGTTACATACTTCTAAATATAATGTGATACAACAGTAAACAAAACAGTGAAATAGCATGGTATTGATAAAGATAGATTAATAAAACCAAACAGAAAGCCTCAAAATATTTACTATCAACTAATTTTTGGCAAAGAAACCAGGAAAACATAAGATGGAAAAAAAGTGTCTTCATTATAGTGAAAAAAATGGAATATGCTCCTACAAATAATAAAATCAGATGTTTATCTCACATGATTACAAAAATAAACTTTAAATAAATCAGAGACTTAAATACAACCCTGACTTTAAAAAATTACTAGAAAGAAAGCTACTGAAGTTACTTTCAGACACTGAGTTTGGCAATAACTTTCTGAATGAGATCTCAAAAAGCAGGCAACAAAAACAAAAATAGGCAATCAGATGCATCAAGCCAAAGAGCCTCTGCATAGCAAAATATGCATTTGATAAAATAAAAAGACAACCTACAGAATAAAAAAGATATTGGTAAATTCTGCATCTGATAAGATATTCAAATCTAAAAAATGTAAGGAATTCAAAACATAATAGCAAGAAAAACAAAATCACTAACAACCCAATTTTTATAGACAAAATATTTTAATAGATATTTTTCTAAAAAAGACATATAAATGGTAAAATGTATATAAAAATGCTCTGCATGACTAAGCATAAGAAAATGGTAAATAAAAACCACAATTAGATTTTTCCTCAGTTCATTTAGAATGCATGTTATCAAAGAATAAAAGATAAGAAGTGCTGGTAAGAATGTGGGAAGAAAAAACACATGTTATTGGTAGGTAAATTAGTACAACGATTTTGGAAAATAATACAAACATATCCAAAAAGTTAAAAACAGAAATAGTTAACAAACCTGCAGTTACTCTACTTGCTATATATCCAAAACTAAAATAAAACTAGTGCAACCAAGAAATATCAGCACTGACAAGTTTATTGAAGCACTATTCACCATAACCAAGATATTAACTCAACCTAAATGTATATTAGAAGATGAATGAAGAAAATATACTACATACAGTGAACCTAATATTATTCACCCATAAAAATAATAAAATTATGTCATTTGTGAGACACGAATAAACCTGAAAAATACTTTGCTGAATAAAATAACCCAGGAATAGAAAGAGCAATACCATATAATCTCACTCATATGTGGAGTGTAAAAAAGGTGATTTCATAAATAGAATAAAATAGTAAATAAGTGAGGCTAACATTAATGGAGGAAGAAGGCAGTAAAAAGAGGCTGGCCAAAGAGTACACAATTACATTTAATCAGGTATGATAAATTTAAGAATTATATTATATAGGACTGTGACTGCAGCTAATAATGACATACTATACTCTTCAAAAGTAGGGAATAATTCTTAAGAGCTATCATTAGAAAACTAATAATTATGTAAGGTTATTCATTAATAAGCTAAAAGTAATCACTCCATAGTACATATGTACCAAAAAAATCATGATGTGCATGATAAATACATACAATAGTATCTGTCAAACTTAAAAATTTCATACCAAGAAGATACAGAATTGTTCATTACCTGATGACTTTCCTACTGAATTCTATAAAATAGTTAAAGAATGAATATTAATTCTTCTAAAACGTTTATAAATAACTAAGAGAAAGAAACATTGTTCAGACTTCCTTAGCAAGATCTGCTTTAAAAATGTAAGAAATTGGAAGAGGTTCCAAGATGGGTGAATAGGAAGAGCTCCAGTCAACAGCTCCCAGTGTGAGCAATGCAGAAGATGAGTGATTTCTGCATTTCCAACTGAGGTACCAGGTTCATCTCACTGGGGCTTGTTGGACAGTGGGTGCAGCCCATGGAGTATGAGATGAAGCATGGTGGGGCATCACCTCACCTAGGAAGTGCAAGGGGTTGGGGAATTCCCTTTCCTAGCCAAGGGAAGCCATGACACATGGTACCTGGAAAATTGGTAAACTCTGACTCTAATACTGCACTTTCCCAATAGTCTTAGCAAATGGTACACCAGGAGATTATATTCTGTGCCTGACTTGGAGGGTCCCACGCCCATGGAGCCTCACTCACTGCTTGCTTGGCAGTCTGAGATCAAACTTCAAGCTGGCAGCGAGACTGGGGGAGGGGCGTCTGCCATTGCTGAGGATTGAGTAGGTAAACAAAGTGGCCAGGAAGCTCGAACTGGGTGGAGCCCACCACAGCTCAAGGAGGCCTGCCTGCTCCTGTAGACTCCACCTCTGGGGGCAGGGCATAGCTGAAAAAAAGAGAGCAGAAACTTCTGCAGACCTAAACCTCCCCGTCTGACAGCTTTGAAGAGAGTAGTGGTTCTCACAGCACAGAGTTTGAGATCTGAGAATGGACAGACTGCCTCCTCAAATGGGTCCCTAAACCTTGAGTAGCCTAACTGGCAGACACCTCCCACTGTGGCCAACTTACACCTCATAGAGCCTGGTGCCCCTCTAGATGAAGCTTCCAGAGGAAGGATCAGGCAGCAATATCTGCTGTTCTGCAGCCTCCGCTGGTGATACCCAGGCAAAAAGGGTCTGGAGTGGACCTCCAGCAAACTCCAACAAACATGCAGCTGAGGGTCCTTTTAGATGGAAAACTAACAAACAGAAAGGACATCCACACCAAAACCCCATCTGTAGGTCACCATCATCAAAGACCGAAGGTAGATAAAACCACAAAGATGGGGAGAAACCAGAGCAGAAAAGGTGAAAATTCTAAAAATCAGAGTGCCTCTTCTCCTCCAAAGGAATGCAGCTCCTCACCAGCAATGGAACAAAGCTGGACAAAGAATGACTTTGACAAGTTGAGAGAAGGCTTCACGTGATCAGTAATAACAAATTTCTCTGAGCTAAAGGAGGATGTTTGAACCCATCACAAAGAAGCTAAAAACCGTGAAAAAAGATGAATGGCTATCTAGAATAAATAGTGCAGAGAAGACCTTAAATGACCTGATGGAGCTGAAAACCATGGCATGAGAACTATGTGACACATGCAAAAGCTTCAGTAGCTGATTTGATCAAGTGAAAGAAATGGCATCAGTGATTCAAGATAAAATGAATGAAATGAAGTGAGAAGAGAAGTTTAGAGAAAAAAGAGTAAAAAAAAGTGAATAAAACCTCCAAGAAGTATGGGACTATGTGAAAAGACCAAATCTATGTCTGATTGGTGTACCTGAAAGTGACGAGGAGAATGGAACCAAGTTGGAAAACACTCTGCAGAATATTATGCAGGAGCAATTCCCCCACCTAGCAAGGCAGGCCAACATTCAAATTCAGGAAATACAGAGAATGCCACAAAGATATTCCTTGAGAAGAGCAACTCCAAGATGAATAATTGTCAGATTCACCAAAGTTGAAATAAAGGAAAAAATTTTAAGAGCAGCCACAGAGAAAGGTCAGATTACCCACAAAGGGAAGCATTTCAGACTAACAGCAGATCTCTTGGCAGAAACTCTACATACCAGAAGAGAGTGGGGGCCAATATTCAACATTCTTAAAGAAAAGAATTTTAAACCCAGAATTTCATACCCAGCCAAACTAGGCTTCAAAAGTTAATCAGAAATAAAATCCTTTACAGACAAGCAAATGCTGATAGATTTTTTTTCACCATGAGGCCTGCCTTACAAGAGCTCCTGAAGTAAGCACTAAACATTGAAAGGAACAACTGGTATCAGTCATGCAAAAACATGCTGTTGTAAAGACCATTGATGCTAGGAAGAAACAGCATCAACTAATGAGCAAAATAACCAGCTAACATCATAATGACAGGATCAAATTCACACATAACATTAACAACCTTAAATGTAAATGGGCTAAATGCTCCAATTAAAAGACAAAGATTGGCAAATTCGATAAAGAATCAAGACCCATCAGTGTGCTGTAAACATTCTCACATGCAGAGACACACATAGGCTCAAAATAAAGGGATGTAGGAAGATCAACCAAACAAATGGAAGACAAAAAAAAAAAAAAAAAAAGCAGGGGTTGCAATCCTGTCTTTGATAAAACAGACTTTAAACAAACAAAGATGAAAAGAGACAAAGAAAGCCATTACATAATGGTAAAGGGATCAATTCAACAAGAAGAGCTAACTATCCTAAATATGTATGCACCCAATACAAGAGCATGCAGATTCATAGAGCAAGTCCTCAGAGACCTAGAAAGAGACCTAATAGACATCTACAGAACTCTCCACCACACATCAACAGAATATACATTCTTCTCAGCACCACATCACACTTACTCCAAAATTGACCATATAGTTGGAAGTAAACCGATCATCAGCAAATGTAAAATAACAGAAATTATAACAAACTGTCTCTCAGACCACAGTGCAATAAAACTAGAACTCAGGATTAAGAAACTCATTCAAAACTGCTCAACTACATGGAAACTGAACAACCTGCTCCTGAATGACTACTGGGTACATAATAAAATGAACGCAGAAATCAAGATGTTCTTTGAAACCAGTGAGAACAAAGATGCAACATAGTAGCATCTCTGGGACACATTTAAAGTAGTGTGTAGAGGGAAATTCATAGCACTAAATGCCCACAAGAGAAAGCAGGAAAGATCTGAAATTCACACTCTAACATCACAATTAAAAGAACTAGAGAAGGAAGCACAAATAAATTCAAAACCTAGCATAAGGCAAGAAATACTGATCAGAGCAGAATTGAAGGAGATACGGACACAAAAAAGACCTTCAAAAAAATCAACGAATCCAGGAGGTGTTTTTTTTTTTTTTTTCTGAAAAGATCAACAAAATTGATAGACCACTAGCGAGGCTAATAAAGAAGAAAAGAGTCAAGAATCCAATAGATACAATAAAAAATGATAAAGGGGATATCACCACCGATCCCACACTACCAACAGAGAATACTACAAACACCTCTATGCAAATAAACTAGAAAATCTAGAAGAAATGGATAAATTTCTGGACTCATACACCCTCTCAAGACTAAACCAGGAAGAAGTTGAATCCCTGAATAGAACAATAGCAGACTCTGAAACTAAGGGAATAATTAATAGCCTACCCACCAAAAAAAGTCCAGGACCAGATGGATTCACAACCAAATTCTACCAGAGGTACAAAGAGGAGCTGGTATCTTTCCTTCAGAAACTATTCCAATCAATAGAAAAAGAGAGAATCCTCCCTAACTCATTTCTTGAGGCCAGCATCATCCTGATACCAAAGCCTGGCAGAGACACAATAAAATAAAGAGAATTTTAGACCAATATCCCTGATAAACATCGATGCAAAAATCTTCAATAAAATACTGGCAAACTGAATCCAGCAGCACGTCAGAAAGCTTATCAACCACCTTCAAACTGGCTTCATCCCGGGAATGAAAGCCTGGTTCAACAGCAAATCAATAAACGTAATCCATCATATAAACAGAACCAAAGGCAAAAACCACATGATTATCTCAATACATGCGGAAAAGGCCTTTGACAAAATTCAACAGCTCTTCATGCTAAAACTCTCAATAAACTAGGTATTGATGGAAAGTACCTCAAAATAATAAGAGCTATTTATGGCAAACCCACAGCCAATATCATACTGAATGGGCATAAACTGGAAGCATTCCCTTTGAAAACTGGCACAAGACAGGGATGCCCTCTCTCACCACTCCTATTCAACAGAGTGTTGGAATTTCTGGCCACGGCAATCAGGCAGGAGAAAGAAATAAAGGGTATTCAATTAGGAAAAGAGGAAGGCAAATTGTCCCTGTTTGCAAATGACATGATTGTATATTTAGAAAATCCCATTGTCTCAGCTCCGAATCTCCTTAAGCTGATAGGCAACTTCAGCAGTCTCAGGATACAAAATCAATGTGCAAAAATCACAAGCATTCCTATACACCAGTAATAGACAATCAGATACACAAATCATGAGTGAACTCCCATTCACAATTGCTTCAAAGAGAATAAAATACCTAGGAATCCATATTACCAGGGATGTGAAGGACTGCTTCAAGGAGAAGTACAACCATTGCTCAACAAAATAAAAGAGGATACAAGCAAATGGAAGAATATTCCATGCTTATGGATAGGAAGAATCAATATCAGGAAAATGGCCATGCTGCACAAGATAATTTATAGATTCAATGCCATCCCCATCAAGCTACCAATGACTTTCTTCACAGAATTCTAAAAAACTACTTTAAAGTTCATGTGGAACCAAAAAAGAGCCTGCATTGTCAAGATAATTCTAAGTCAAGAGAATCAAGCTGGATGCATCACTCTACCTGCCTTCCATCTTATACTACAAGCCTACAGTAACCAAAAGAGCATGGTACTGGTACCAAAAGAGAATTATAGAACAATGGAACAGGACAGAGCCCTCAGAAATAATACCACACATCTACAACCATCTGATCTTTCACAAACCTGACAAAAACAAGAAATGAGGAAAAGATCTCCTATTTAATAAATAGTGCTGGAAAAACTGGCTAGCCATATGTAGAAAGCTGAAACTGGATCCCTTCCTTACACCTTACACAAAAATTAATTCAAGATGGATTAAAGACTTAAGTGTTAGACCTAAAACCATGAAAACCCAGGCAATACCATTCAGGCCATAGGCATGGGCAAGGTCTTCATGACTAAAATACCAAAAGCAATGGCAACAAAGCCAAAATTGACAAATGGGATCTAATTAAACTAAAGAGCTTCTGCACTGCAGGAGAAACTACCATCAGAGTGAACAGGCAACCTACAGAATGGGAGAAAATTTTTACTATCTACCCATCTGAAAAAGGTCTAATGTCCAGAATCTGCAAAGAACTTAAGAAAATTAACAAGAAAAAAATCAGACAACCCCATCAAAAAGCGGGCAAAGGATATGAACAGACACTTCTCAAAAGAAGACATTTATGTAACCAAGAGACACATGAAAAAATGCTGATCCTCACTGGCCATCAGAGAAATGCAAATCAAAACCACAATGAGATACCATCTCGCACCAGTTAGAATGGCAATCATTAAAACGTCAGGGAACAACAGGTGCTGGAGAGGATGTGGAGAAATAGGAATGCTTTTACACTGTTAGTGAGACTGTAAACTAGTTCAACTATTGTGGAAGACAGTGCAGTGATTCCTCAAGGATCTAGAACTAGAAATACCATTTGACCCAGACATCCCATTACTGGGTGTATACCCAAAGGATTATAAATCATGCTGCTATAAAGACACATGCACACGTATGTTTATGGTGGCACTATTCCCAATAGCAAAGACTTGAAACCAACCCAAATGTCCATCAATGATAGACTGGATTAAGAAATTGTGGCACATATACTCCATGGAATACTATGCAGCCATAAAAAATGATGAGTTCGTGTCCTTTGTAGGGACATGGATGAAGGTGGATACCATCACTCTGAGCAAACTATCACAAGGACAGAAAACCAAACACTGCATGTTGTCACTCATATGTGGGATTTGAACAATGAGAAAACTTGGACACAGGGTGGGGAACATCACACACCGGGGCCTGTCATGGGGTCGGGGCATGTGGGAGGGCTAACATTAGGGAATATACCTAATGTAAATGACCAGTTAATGTGTTCGGCACACCAACATGGCACATGTATACATATGTAACAAGCCTGCATGTTGTGCACATGCACCCTAGAATTTAAAGTATAATAAAATAAAATAAATAAGTGAATAAATGTATGTGTAAATGTGTTAATGTTGGCAAGTTAAAATAAATAAATAAGTAAAGGAAGACTCAGTAATGCAGTAATGCTGTAATTCTTTAGTTATGGTTCTGCCAGGAACAGTGTTATTAGGGATATAAGTACTGCATTAGATCCTGATCGTGACACAAACTCCACCTGTAAGAAATTCAAAACCTAATAGTGATAAAAACAAAACCAGCTAAGAACCCAATTTTTTAAAAGGCAAAATATTTTAATAATACGAATTTTATTTTAATATTTTAAAATTTTAAAAAATTTTAATAAGAAGACATATAAATCTCAATAAGTATATAAAAATAGCAAGGCCAGCAACCTAATATTAAATCCAGGGAAGGATAAACACATACAGACACAGACACAAGCAGACAACTACAGACCAATGTTTATTATAAACAGAGATGCAAAAATATTCAACGAAATAGTAGTAAAAAAAGTTCAATAATATATTAAAAGAATTTATTTGCTATGGTTATGTAACATTTATCTCAGGGATAAAAAATGGTTCAATGTACCCCATTACATAAATGAATACGCCATATTTATAGGACAAAGACAGAAAAATCGTGTGATCATTTAAAAATATTTGAACAAGCATTAACATAGTTAACCATATTTTTATGTTTAAATATCCTCAAGGTACTACATATAGAAGGAATGTATATGATCACAATAAAGGCTGTAGATGATGAATTTCTAATTGGAAGTTTTTTTCTAAGATTAGAAACAGAACAAGAATATCAATACATTTTTCAGTATAGTGCTGGAATTCCTAGCCAGAGAGTTTAGAAAATAGTAACAAGGAAAATATATTCTAACAGAAAGGAATAAGTGAAGTATATTCTAGTTGCTGATGACATAATCTTATATTTAGAAGCTCATGATTTTGTCAGAAAAACCCATGAGAGTTTGAAAAATAAACTTAGTAAAGTTACAGGTTATAAGATCAACATACAAAAAAGTCATGCTTTTTTTAAATTTTAAGTTGTTTTTAATTTTATTGTGGGTATGAAAGAGATAGATATATTTACAGGGTATATAAGATGTTTCAATACAGAAATGTAATATGATATGAACACTTCTATGGAGAACAGAGTAACCATCCCTTAAAGCATTTATTGTTTGAGTTACAATTTAATTACATTATTTAAATTATATAAAAATATACAGTTATTATAGACTATAGCCACCCTATTTTGCTATCAAATATCAAACTATTTAGAAACAGCTAGTGTGCATGACTCTCATGGAAAATAACAAAAAAGTGAGTAAATACAACACCTTCAACAGAAATATCCAGGAGCCAAGAGAACCTCCCCCACCCAGGGAAGTGGTAAGTGAATATGTAACCCCGAAAAATCACACTTCTTCCACAAACGTTTGTAACCCTCAGATAAGAAAATCTCTTTGCTAACCCATTCCACCAGTGCATTTAGTGTAACAGACAGAGCTAAGCAGAGTCTCCACAAAGCAGCCATTCTAGCATCAATAAAGACCCTGGAGACTTAGATACTCAGGCTTTCCAGCAAAAACAGCTATAGCTTCAGTACAGTGGGAGGTTAGGACCTGGCATGGTGGTTCATGCCTGTAATCCCAGAACCTTGGGAGGCCGAGGCACATGGATCATGAGGTCAAAAGATTGAGATTATCCTGGCCAACATGGTGAAACCCCTTCTCTACTAAAAATACAAAAATTAGCTGGGTGTGGTGGCATGTGCCTGTAATCCCAGTGAGGAAGAAAGCTCAAAATCCTAAGGAAATTGAACACTCAAAACAAAAGATTCTTAGCAAAGCAATTTTACTTCTGCACAGATGGGTGCCTCCTTGGCTAGTCATGATGAGCGCACACCTGAACAAAGGGGCGTGACAGCCTTTATTTCTGATGCAAGCCCTGCCCCTGTACCCTTTCTCCATTGGCTAGGTCTGGGTCATACAATCTCAGCTAATTCCAGTTGGCTAAACATTTGATTTTTTTAGATAAAGTGGGCACGTAAAAGAAAGCAGAGAAGAAAGGGGAAGGGGTGTCTGTAATAAGCTAGAAAGTTAGAGTCCTCTTTACAAATAAGGAAAGGAATGTGAGCTGGTACTGATAACGCCTGGTACTGTGGTGTGCCTGGGCATCTAACCAACGCAAAAAGAAAAAAAAAAAGGAGAAAAAAGAAAAAGAGCAGGAGGTACTATGAATTAGAGAATAAAAGATTGATCAGGTTATTTGAGGAGAAACCACATCATATCCCAGAGCTTCCCTTTCTTCCTTTTTTTTGTAACTCTTTCTCCTCAAATCTTTCAGCATAGTTTGGCTTCATTGTTCTACTTGGTCTTCTAGAAGGAAAAGCTTATTTGAATCAGGGGGAGGAGGATTGTAAGAGGTTTCAGTGAGAGCTGTTTTAGTATGTCTTTTTGTTAATCTTTGGGCACAGGGTATGATGCAGCATCTTACGAGAATAAGCAATCCCATTCCAATGGCCAGAGAAATGAAGATTGAGGATGTAAGTCCCTTCCATCTACAGAACAATTTCCAATGAAATTTGTGAAGGGATCTTTTAGTCCAGAATTTTTGGCTAGCCCATTTGACAGAGCAGTAAGACCCTGTAATGCTTTAGTTATGGTCCTGCCAGGAGCAGTATCATTAGGGTAGGGATATAAGTACAGCATTGGGTCCTGATCATGACACAAACTCCACCTTGTTTTGCTAGTATCATGTCTAATGCTATCCTATTTTCCCGGGCCATTTGACTGATGGGTCCTAATTATTCAGCTAGCTATTCCTTTAATAGCATCTCTAGTAGTATTAATAAATCATTGCTGATTGTATTGAATGTAATTTATCCAATTCACATTTTTATTTACAGTTAACCACCAGAAGAACATACATTCAAATCCAGCAATTATTTGATTTTGGGGCTTAAATTTATTTGGCACTCCTCTTGGGACCCCAATGGCATCTATATAAACATGAGAATTGAAGGACCAATGTGGGGGCCTCTCTTATTTGATGATATTTTGTTCCTACCCTTTCCGGTTGATGAAATGCCAGGGCAAAAGGGATGGCCAATTGAATTAGAGCACACATTCTACTCCAGTTACTTGGCAGAGCATCTAGTATTGGTCCACCACAATACCAGCACACATCCCCTCAAGGATGGCTAAGAACAGTCTGTTGGGTAAGCTCTTAGAAGGGATTAAGCTCACTGCATCCCATTAAGGATACCGGCAATGCCAAGTTCTCTCCCTGTCGTCACAGACACAAAGGAGAATGGTCATTGGGAGATGGAGGCTGAATGGCCCTTGGGGGCTGACCTGCAGGATGTTGAACTTTAGGGAACAGCAGAGAAAAAGCTTGGCGTGATTTGTTGCCCCAGACTGAGGGGTTTTGGAAGAGAGCTACCATACAGCTCATGCCCGGTCAGCTAGAAGACCATCCAAGTGGAAAGGGGACAATCTGGGCCTCTGGTCTACCATGCACACAAGGGTAACATTCACTGTTGTTTAAAGTGCAGAAGGAATACTTAATCCATTCCAGCCAAGCATTTGCATATTGATATCCTGTGTCTACAGCTATAGTTTGCCTTAAGTTTTCTACCTCCACAACCATTACCTTGGTTGGGTCATTTTGGAGATGGGAGGAGGATGTTGGATTTGCTATACATGGGCAAAGCATTGGGTTCCATGTGTGTCCCGGACTTTGTCTCTGAACTCCTTTATAATTGTTATCCAATGTTTTAAATAACGTTAGGGAGAAGATTCCTATAGGGTCCTGTCTTCAATGTCTGCTCCTAACCCATACCATATGAATAGAGACAGCTCTTCGGCCATCATCCGGGAATTATTTATAATCAGCAACAAGGAGTTACAGTGGAATAGCTTACAATTTGGTGGGGTGGGACAACAGACTAGTTGGAGTTTTTGTTTCAGTCCTCGTAACTTATTTGAAGTGGGGGGTTGGCTGTCCACCGTTTGTACTTAGTATTCCACCAAACATCTGCCCAGTCAACTCAGGGACTTTTTAAAGCTCCATACTTGCTTGATTCTTTGCGGTATGGACATAGATACTTATCAACATGGGATAGCTTCCTTTGAGCTTGCTCATCTCTACACAGGATGACTGAACACGTGTTGAACTGAAGAGTTAACAGATGAGTAACCTGCATTACACTGATGACAAGATGACCTTCTGTTGAAAAGAAAAAAGAGAATAAACAAGTGATTATTAAGCTCATTTTAGAGTTAGTTTGGTGGGAGTGGGCCCTGGAGTGACAGTCCATGATTCTGGAGGTGGCAGCGCCTCCTTGACTTGGGTGTGATGAGCCTATCCTCTTTCTGCTTATAGGTCTTCAGCAACTATCTATCTTGTTTGGCCAGGGTGTAAATTCTCATATACTCATAAACTCAGAGAAAGGCATTGCACATTGCTTGGGGTCCCCAAAGGGCCCCCTGATGTAATTGAGACAAGACCTCCCTCATGAGAGGTTTTGACAACATCTCCTTTTGATTTGGTAATATGCATTTCCCTTCTGCATTCTCTTTAGCTGCTATTTTTATCAAGTTCTCTTTTTCAATGGAAGAGAAAATTGGAGTTGCAGTAGGAGAAGGGAGGCATGGAGTTAAATGAAAAACAGGCATTTTGGAAGAAACAGCAACTTGTTTTGCTGTCTGATCTGCAAGATTATTTCCCTGACTTGTGAAAGACCAGTCCCTTTGGTGCCCTGGGACATCTACAATGCTATCACTGCCAGCAATTGGAGATTGTTGAGGACAGGAGTAATCAGTTCTCTGTGAACTACATCTTGGCCTCTACTATTGAAAAAACCCCTCTCCATTCAAATTTTCCCAAATGTGTGTTCCACCCAAAGGCATACTTAGAGTCAGTATAGATAGTTCCTTCTTGGTTTTGTAAATGTCCTAAAGCTTGGTTGAGTGCAAACAGTTCACACATTTGGGCAGATCAGTTACTAGGCAGCCTTCCCGATTCTACTTCTTCAAGCATCTCTCCATCAATCACTGAATGCTCATTATGTCTTTTCCTTTCAATCACCTGGGATGACCTATATTTGAATAAGTGTTGCCTTGTCTTGAAGGGAGTTTCTCCTAAGTTTGGTTGAACTTTTTTATGGCAATCAATCAGACCTAAACATGTGTGGTCTCATTTTAAGTTTGGATCCTTTGTTAAAAAGCCTGCTGGATTAAGTGAATTATCAGTAGTTTATATTAAATAATCTTTTTTCCAGTAAGAGAGCCTCCTATTTTAAAATTCTTGAGTCAGTGATCCATATCCCTGCTTTCTGATTTAATATCGTTCTAACTTGGTGGGGCATGCTTACTGTTAACTTTCCTCCAAATATTAGCTTCCTACTTTCTTTGACTAATACTTCTGTAACTGTGATGGATTGGATACACTGGGGCCATCCATTAGTGACTGGGTCTAAGACCTTTGACAAGAAGGCCACAGGCTGCCAGCAACCTCCATGTTCTTGGGTGAGCACTCCTAGGCCCACCCAGTTGTTTACATTAATGAAAAGGTAAAATGGCTTTTCTAGGGAGGGTAGAGCTAGAATGTGGCAGTTATGAACCTCTCTTTTAATCCTTCAATTTGCTGGATTTCCTGGGAAGTCCATGAGAAATAATCAGGCTTCCACTGGGCAAGTTTCTCATATAGATGTTTACTTTTTAATGCATATGAGTCAATCCATAAACAACAATATCCAATTAGCCCTAAGAATTTCCTGAATCCTGACAAGGTGTTTTGGCTCATGCCTACAATCCCAGGACTTTGGGAGGCTGAGGCAGGCAGATCACCAGTTCAGGAGATCGAGCATGTCCTGGCTAACATGGTGAAACCACATCACTACTAAAAATATAAAAAAATTAGCTGGGCATGGTGGTGGGCACCTGCAGTCCCAGCTACTCAGGAGGCTGAGGCAGGAGAATGATGAGAACCCAGGAGGTGGAGCTTGCAGTGAACTGAGATTGTGCCACTGAACTCCAGCCTGGGTAACTGAGCCAGACTCCATCTATAATAATAGTAATAATAATTTCCTGAGTTCCTGTTTAGTTTGAGGCAGGGGCAGGGAAACAATTCCCTCCACTGTTTCAGGTCCTATTCTTTGTTTACTTGCACTTATTAGGTGGCCTAAGTATTTAAGTTTAGATTCTACATACTGAAGTTTCCCTTTTGAGACCCACAACTCCTCACATTGCAAGTGATTGAGAAAGTGTGTGGAGAAGTCACCTATTTCTTTTATGTTTTTACCAGATATAAGAAGATCATCCATGTACTGAAGCAGACATATTTGTTTAGGGACTGTAACTTTCTCTAGTACTTGTTCTAGGATGTGACTAAAGAGGTTGAGGAAATCTGAGAACTCCTGGGGCAAGACTGTCCGTTGATATTGTTGTCTCTGCCCTGAATAGGGGTCTTCCCACTCAAAAGCATATATATCTTGGCTATCCTTAGCCAAGGGCATGCCCAGAAGGCATCCTTCAAATCTATCACTGTAAACCACTGATGATTGTATGGAATTGTGCTAAGAATGATGTAAGGGTTAGGAACAATGGGGTGAGTGGTCTGTATTATTTGATTAATAGCTCTAAGGTCTTGCACCAATTGATGTGACCCATCTGATTTCTTGACAGGCAGGATTGGGGTATATACAGGGCTCTAGAAGCTCATCTTTAATGAGACCCTCAATTACAGGCTTTAGACCTACTCTGCCCTCTAAAGGAAATGGGGTATTGCTTTCTCCTTACTATTTCCGCAGGAGTTTTTAGTTTGATATGTATTAGAGGGATTTGGAGTTTCCCTCTATTTCCTTCTTTTGACCAGACATGGAGATTAATATATTTCTCATCCACAGCAGTGAGTAAATGTAGTGAAGTAAGGAATTCTTTAGGTCCTACTTGAAGTCCTATGCCTAGATTTAACATTAAATCCCTTCCTAATATATTTGTTCCCACTTCAGGAATTAATAAAAATTAAATATGAGTAAATCAATTTTGATATCTGATGTCTGTGCTTTCTAAAATTTTTGCCTTAAATCCTCCTCCTTTTATCCCAGAGACTAAAAGTTCCTCTGAAGACCAGGTGAGACCAGGTGGAGGGAAACAGAGGAGCATGAAGTCCCTGAATTGACTAAAAAGGTGATAAATTCACATTTAGGTCCCACTTTCAAATTTATCAAGGGCTCCTGGTGGGACTCAAAATAAAAGCGGCAGAGCTCCTGACTGCCCTATTGTTCTTTAAAACTCATGAGTGTGAGAGTTTCTGTCTCTCTCTCTAGTTAAGGACGCTCCCTCTTGAAGTGGCCTGTTCTTCCACATTGGTAACATCTATCTTGTCCTTCTCCCTTCTCAGTCTTAGCATTGTCTGTTCTTGCCCCACTATACCCCTTAGGAGGCTTATTTGTTGAGGACCTCAGCCCTCCAGACGGAGGCTTGGGACCTCTCAAGATGGGTGTAGGCCCCTTGGAAGCCCTGCTTAGAGATATATGGATTTGGATTTGGAGCCATGTGCTGGAAGGCAGGTAACATAAGTTTTGTCTTTTGTTTTTGCTTTTCCTTGTCTCTCCTGACCTATACCTTTTGAGCCTCCCTGAGCAGTTCACATAGGGGACTGTCCTCTCAATTATCTATTTTTTGTAATTTTCTTTAAATGTCTGGCCAACTTTTAGTAACAAAGTGAAGTTTTAACATTCCCTGTCCAAGGGGATTTTCCAGATCAAGGCCTGCATACTGTCTCATTTGCTCCCTCTATCTAAGAATCTAGGAGGTCCCTCATCTTTTTCCTGTTGAATATCAAATGCTTTGGAAATATTTTGATTTCGGGGTACTGACTCTGAAATTCCTTTTATTATCATCTCTCTTAGATCTTGCATGTTTTCCTGGTGATTTGCATTGTTATTGTCCCACTGGGGGTCCTCGGGCTGGAAATTTATGGCCTGCAGGAGGAACATTTTGACCAGGATGGGGCTCATGTTCCCAAACCTCCATAGCAGCCCGCTGAATCATACTTCATTCTTCTCCTGAAAAGAGAATGCTGAAGATGGACATCAACTCAGTCCAAGTGTATATCTGAGGCCCTAAAAATTGATCAATTTGATCTGCTACTCCATAAGGATCATCCAGTAATGGCTTAAACTTCTTTTTTAAATTCCAGACCTCTGAAGTAATCAAGGGAGGGTTTACAAAGCCAATAGCCCCTCCACCCTGTGGTACCTCTCTTAAAGGAAAGAAAGTTGGATCTGGCTCTTTGGGTGTGAAGGGAAAGGGAAAGTTTTGGATATCTTTTTTACATTGCTCTATTTCATGTTGAAGCCCCTTTAAATAGGGATACTTAATAGGTTAAGAAGGGGCAGGCTCACAAGACGGTAATTCTGCAAAGTTGGGAATATAAGGAGGGGGAGCAATATGAGCAGAAGCACCACAAGTGGAGGAGGGATCCACGGCAGCAGCTGGGGTAATAGAACAGGCTGGGGCCTGCCTGAAACAGCTGGGGAGTAACCCCAAACCACAGCCAGAGGGATGGCCTAGGCTGGGGCGTGGCCTGAAATGGCTGGGGAATAATCGGAAACCACAGCTGGAGGGAGGGCACAGGCTGGAACATGGCCTGAGATGGCTGGAGAGTGACCCAAAACTGCAGCTGGAGGGACAGGATAGGAGGCAGCCGAAAGAGTGATGCAAACAGGGGAGGAACGTAAGATGGGAACTGGAAGGGCGGAATCACAGGCAACCGGAAGAGTGACACAAGCAGGGGAGGAACCTGAGACGGGTACCAGAGGGGCGGAATAGGGGGGCAGCTGGAAGAGTGAGGGAAACGGGAGGGACCTGAAACGCGAACCAGACTGGCGGGTTAGGGGGCGCTGAATGAAGGAAGATGATTTAAAGGATCCCACATGTTAGTTAGTAGTTGTGGGTTGTCTAGCTATGGGAACTGTTTCCCTTTTAAAAGAGTTGGCTTCTGACTTTCTCCCTCCAGAGTCTAAAGGTTAAAGGAGAACTGGTCCCTGCTGCCAGCAGAGGGTGTAATCGATTTGTTCGTGGGAGACAGGGTTCTTATCATTAACACGTTTGATTAACAGCTGACAAATCTGTTCTTCATTAGACCCAAATTTTGGCCAGAAAATTCAGGGTTTAAGGATGGGTTGTCGAACCCAAATCAAACAACATATTTTATTGTCTGCTGTTTTTCTTTATACTTGGTTCTCTCATTATCTTTCCAATACTTTAGCATAAGCCCCAAGGGGCTATCTGAAGGAATTTCATCACTCTCTAGACTCTTTGGTTTTCCTGTATTATTTGAAACTTTCCCCGTCTTATGGGTTATTGGGGGACAACCCCTCCTCTTAGAGATGTCTACCCTCACCCTTCCTGGAGGCTTACTGAGGCTTTAGGGAAAAGCTCCAACCCCACCTGTCAGAGGTTTCTACCCTCCCCCTTCCTCTTTGTCTACTTTGTGTTTTCCTGCCTCTAGTCGATAGATGGCAACATGAGACTGAAAAGAAGACTCATTCACTCCACACAACCACGATGCTTACTCCCATTCACACATTCTCAGCCTCCATCTCATCCTGACCACCCAGGAAATACTTTGTCACCTTCGTGAAGTCTCCTACCTTATTCCATGCACAATAATTGCCTGGTCCTCTTATTGCCACGGTATTGCAAGCCTCTCCTCCCCGCTTTGCTGCGAATCCAGATTTATTCATTACCACAGGTGGGCCTGATCTCCTTCACCCTAGGGCCACCCTAACGAGACAGTAGGATGCGTCTCCCTTGGGAAGGGTAACCGAAGGCCCCCGTACCTAAGGAGAATATTGGAGCCCCAAAGTTGGGTGCCAGAAGTGTTAGGAATAACAGTCAAAATCCTAAGGAAATGGAACACTTGAAAAAACGATTCTTAGCAAAGCAATTTTACTTCTGTGCAGAGGGGTGTGCCTCCTTGGCCAGTCGCCTTGAGAGCACACCTGAACAAAGGGGCACAAGAGAGCCTTTATTCCTGATGCAAGTCCTGCCTCTGTACCCTTTCCCGATTGGCTGGGGTCTGTTCATACAATCTAAACTAACCCTGGTTGGCTACATATTTGATTTTTTTTTTTTTTATAAAGGGGGCACATAAAAGAAAGCAGAAACGAAAGGGGAAGGGGTGTCTGTAATGAGCTAGAAAGTTAGTCCTCTTTCCAAATAAGGAAAGGAATGTAAGCTGGTACTGATAACGCCTGGTACTGTGGTGTGCCTGGGCATCTAACAAAGGCAAAAAGGAAAAAAGGAGAAAAAGGAAAAAAAAAGAGGGGAGGTACTAGGGGTACTATGAGTTAAAGAATAAAAGATTGATCAAGTTATTTGAAGAGAAACCTTATCATATCCCACACCAGCTACTTGGGAGGCTGAGGAGGGAGAATTTCTTGAACATGGGAGGTGGAGATGGCAGTGAGCCAAGATCCAGACACTGCACTCCATCCTGGAGACACAGCAAGACTCAGTCTCAAAAAAAAAAAAAAAAAAAAAAAAAAAGTGGGATGCTAGATCCCTGTACATAACCCTGTGAAAGAGGTTGAATGCAAGGGTCTGAACTATGACAACCTGCAAGCCCCACTTCCAAAGCACCTCAAAAGATAAGCCACACTGACGTGGAATTCCAGCCAGTCACTGTGAAGTGACCTCACTGTCTGGCAGTGATACATGAGGTTCATTGTCTCATGGTCATGAAAAACTATAATTCAAACACAAAAAGAGTGAGCTTCAGAGTGGACTTTAATAGGCAAAAGAAAGAGAAGAGCTCTCTGCTGCACAGAGAGGGCCTGAAAAAATGGGTTGCTGTTTCCATGGTGAAATGCAGTGGTTTTTATAGATAAGCTTAAGGATTAAGTGTCTGATTGACATAGGGAACAAAAGATTGGATGAACCATTTGCATATGGCATAGGAAACTGGTTAGGTCTAGGAGTGCCACTTGCAGAGGGTGCAAAAAGCTGGCCACCTCTACTCTAATCTTTTACTATGCAGATAGGTTTTCTGCCTGGTTAGTGCCATGTTGCCTGTTTCTTTACTGTATACATGGTAAAAAGATAAAAGATAATGGGGACTTCTTGGTGGTCATGTCTGCTGCCCAGGCAGCCCTTTTCTATTGGCACAGCTGCTGGCATTCACCCATGTAAGCTTCAAGCTTTTTAATCTATGTTTGCAGCTCTATTTGTTAGGCTCCTCCTTGTTATAGCAGATAATTTATTGGGCTGCTTTTTGCTAGAAGGGAAGCCTTGCTGAGAACTCTTTTATCCTCACTACCTGCCTAAATAATTTCTTTTTATCCCCTGTGTCAACTGTTAGTGTCATTGCACCTCCTTAAGAAGGAAATCTCAAAGGGAAAGTCCCAACCATCTTTGTTGGTTGCACACCTTAGCAACTTTAGGTATCAGGCTGTGGAGACTCTGAGCCAACTGGGGGGTGGGGTATGAATCCCCCAGTGCAGCACAGTTGCCCTCCCAAAATGTTGACAGACTGCTGCTTTAAGCAGGTCCTCATCCTGTTCCTTCTCACTGATTGGGATCTCCCAAGTGGGACCTCTAGCCTCCCTTATGCAAGTTCTTCAGCCAAGAAAGTCTTGACTTTCCCCTGGGACAGCACCCCCCGAGTGAGAGTTGGGCTACCATCTTTGTTCTTGGGGTTACTTAGCCAATCCAGCCTTTAGGTTTTGATCATTCTGAGCCTACTAGAGATGAAGGGGGTCCCTCAGCACAGCACAGCTGCTCTAGCAAAATGTGCCCAGGCTGCTTTTTAAAGCGGATCCCTGATCACATTTCTCTTGGTTGAGCGAGGCCCAATCGGGCCCTCCAGCCATCCACGGTGGTGTTCTCCAGCCAACAGATATTTGTAATCTCCCTGAAATGGTGCTATAAGAGAGAGTGGTGGGCCACAAATTTAGTTGTTTAGGTGATTTAACTGTTTCAGACTTCAAGCTCTGAAGCATCTGAGGCAACCAGGGCTGAAGCAAACCCTTTAGCACAGCACAGTTACATTATCAAAGCGGGGAGATAGCTTTTTAAAGTGGGTCTCTAACCCCATTTTTATTCACTGACCGGGATTTCTCAACCAAGGTATCCAGTCACGTCGTACAGGAGCCTTCGTGTCAGCAATAGACCTATACCTCCCTGGGATTAAGTTCCCGGAGACAGAAAAAAGGCTGCCATCTTTGCTGTTTTTCAACCTTCTCTAGTGGTACCTCAAGGTATCACTGTTCAAGAGAACAGTCTGACATGACTAGAGGCTGGAGTGAGCTACAACATATTGCAGCAACCCTGTATAAAAGTAGCCAAACTATTATGTAATAGCCCAGTCCTGTACGTCCCATTAGCAGGTCCTCCAGACCTGGGCCTTCAGAGCTAAGTAGAGTCTCTACAGAGTCACACCCTTCAGAGCTATCACCCAGTAGCAACTTGGCAAATCCCTGGACAGGAGCCTCAAGAAGTAACTAAAAGCCTTCCTGCCACAGCCTGTGCAGTGAAACTGCCCTTGCCACCCTGAAACTAACAAAGGAGAAAAGACCCTAAGTGCCTTATCTACACCTCCAACAAACTGCTGTTGACTCAAGGAGAAGCGACCAGTCCATCTCCCATAAGTCTCACACACCCCATATTGCTAATTATCAGACAGAGAATCCCTGGCTTGGTCCTACAACACAAAATATCCTTCCAGGGCTGGTTGCATTGAGAGATTGCTGACCTGCATTTCCCTTGGATGGAGGCCCCAGGAAACAACCAAAAGACACTTGACCGCAGTCACTACTATGATCTTTTCTTCTGCTGCCTCCAAGTTGAGGAAGAAATAAAAACACAGAGATGCCTTCAGGGCAGCACAGTGCAGTGCAGGAATGCAAAGTCATGATCTACACTCAAAAGTTGACAAGGATAAAAATGCATATTTTCAGATAATTGAGAGAAAACACAGCTGCAGTTGTGAGAAAAAAAAGGAGAGCCGTATAATTAAGCAAGAGTCTACCAAGTCATCAGTAAGCTCAGGTGCTTCCTGCTGAATAACATTCCAATCCTTCAACACCAAAATTTTCTCAGTAACATATCCTCTCTAAAACAAGAGACAAGAAACCAGCTTTAAATAAAGACCTCGCAAAAAGCATTGGTCCAGTGAAATTCAGAATACGTCTATGGACTGTACTCAGTCTACACTACAGTTCAAACAATAACCACATGCAGAAATAAGAAAGAACACACAGATGAGCTCTGGTAACTCAAATGGCCAGAGTGTAATATGTCCCTCAAATGACAATGCCAGTTCTCCAGATGGTTTTTAACTATGATCATTTGGCTGAATTGACAGAAATATAATTCAGAATATAAATAGAAATTAGGATCATTGAGATTCAGGAAAAACAAAACCCAATCCAAGGAAACTAAGAATCACAGGAAGGCAATATAGAAGTTGAAGTACCAAGTAGCTGGTACAATAAAGAACCTAATGTGTCTGTCAGAGCTGTATAACACTATACAAGAATTTCACAATGCAGTTACAAGAATTAAAGCAGAAAAAAACAAGTTGAGAAAATCACCTCAGAACGTGATGCCTGGGTCTCTGAAATAATACAGTCAGACAATTTTTTTTTTAAGAACAGAAATGAATAAATAAAACTCTGGGAAGAATGGGATAAACTAAAGAGGCCAACTTTATAAAACATTAGCATTCATGAAAGGGAGGGAAAGAAAGTAAAAAACTTGAAAAATGTTTTAGAATATTATTCATGAAAACTTCTGCTACTTTGCTAAAGAGGCCAACAGTCAAATTCAGAAAATACAGAGAACCCCTGCAAGATTCTACACAAGATTATTCCCAAGACACATAATTATCTAATTTTTTAAGGTCAAAATAAAGGAAAGAATGTTAAAGACATCTAGAGAGAAAGGGTATGCCACCAACAGAAGGAATTCAATTAGGATAGCAGCATAACTCTCAGATAAAACCATACAGCCAGAAGAGATTGGGGTCCTATAGTCAACATTCAAAAAGAAAAACTTCAATCAAGTATTTTAGGTAAAGCCAAACTACGCTACCTATGTTAAAGAGAAATACGATCCTTTTCAGATAAACAAATATTAAGGGAAATTACCTCCACCAGATCTACCTCACAAGAGATGTTAAAAATAGAACGAAATATAGAAAAAAACAGATCACTGCCAGGAAATATAAAAACACACTTAAACACACAGATCAGTGTCACTGTAAAGCAACTATACAAACAACAAACATAATAACTCCATTTATGTAACTATGTTTACAAGTTAACAGCACAATGTCAAGATCAGATATACATATTAATACTAATCTTACATGTAAATGACCTAAATGTCCCATTTAAAAGGCACAGAGAAGAGTGGCAAGCTGGATAAAATTGCAAGACTCAATTGTATGCTCTTTAAGAGGGCAATCTCACATGTAATGACACTTACAGGATTAAAATTAGGAAATGGAAGGAAATCTACCAAGCAAATGGATGACACAAAAAAGCAAAACTTGCAGCCTGGAGCGGTGGCTCATGCCTGTAATCCCATTACTTTGGAAGGCTGAGGAAGGCAGATAATGAGGTCAGGAGATCGAGACCATCCTGGTCAACATGGTGAAACCCCATCTCCACTAAAGTACAAAAGCTTAGCTGGGCATGGTGCTGCAGGCCTGTAGTCCCAGCTACTGAGGAGTCTGAGGCAAGGGAATCACATGAACCCTGGAGCCAGAGGTTACATTGAGCCGAGGTCACACCACTGCACCCCAGCCTGGTAACAGAGTGAGGCTCTGTCTTAAATAAATAAATAAAATAAAATAAAATTAAAACGCAAAATTGGCAATTCATATTTCAGAAAAAAAACAGACTTCAAACCAACAAAGATAAAATAAAACAAAGAAGGGAATTACATAATGGTAAGTAGTTAAATTCAACAAGAAGACCTAACCTTTTTACAGTCTGTTCTTAATATGTGCACCCAAAACAGGAGCATCTGAATTCATAAAACAAGTTCTTAAAAACCTACAAAGAGACATAGACTCCAATACAATAATAGTGGGAAACTTCAAAACTCTACTGACAGATAAATCATTGAGGCAGAAAATTAATAAAGATATTCAGAACTGAAATTCTATGTTAAACCAAATTAATCTGATAGATCTTTATAGAACACTCCACCTAAAAGCAACAAAATACACTTTCTTTTCATTGCCACGTGGCACATACTCTAAAATTGATTATAATTGGGCATAAACCAATCCTCAACAAATGTGAGAAAAAAAATCATACAAAACAGAGTCTTGGACCACAGTGCAACAGAAACAGAAGTCAAGACTCTGAAAAATTACTCACCATCATGCAATTATACATAAATTAAACAACATGCTTTTGAATGACTTTTAGGCAAACAATAAAATTAAGAAAGAAATTAAGACAATTTTGAAAATAACTTTAAAAAATTTTAAAAAAGATACAACATCTTAGGATCTCTGGGTCACAGCTAAGTCAGCATTAAGAAGAAAATTTATAGCACTAAATTCCATATCAAGAATTTAGAAATAAATCAATAATAACACTGACAACTGAAAGAATTAGAGAAACAAGAGTGAATCAACCTCAAAGTTAGCAGAATGAAATGACAAAAATTAGAACTGAACTGAAGGAAATAAAGGCACAAAAAAATATTTAAGAGATCAATGAATCCAGGAGTTGATTTTTTGAAAAAAAATAATAAAATGGATAGGCCACCAGTTGGAGTAATAAAAGAAATAGATACAATCCAAATAAGCACAATTAAAAATGATAAACAGAATGTTACTCTTGAACCCACAGAAGTCAGAACGATAATCAGAATCTACCTCATTACCTCTATGCACAAAAACTAGAAAACCTAGAAGACGTAAACAAATTACTGGACATGTGCATCTTCCCAAGACTAAGCAAGGAAGAAAGTAATTTCTTGAACAGACGAATAACAAGCTCCAAAATTGAATCAGAAAAAAATAGCCAGCCGGAAAAAAAAGTCCAGGACCTGATAAATTCACACCCAAGTTCTACTAGATGTACAAACAAGAGCTGCCACTCACAGTTGAGGAGAAGAAAAATTTTTCCAACTCACTCTATGTGGCCAGTATTATCTTGATACCAAAACCTGGCAGAGACACAATAAAAACAAAGAAAATTTTAGGCCAACAAACTTAATGAACATCAAGGCAAATATCCTCAATAAAATGCTTGCAAACTCAATCCAGTAGCACATTAAGTAACAAACCCAAAGTTATCAAGTAGGCTTCAATACCAGAATGTAAGGTTTGTTCAAAATGCACAAACGAATAAATGTAATATACCACATAAACAAAACTAAAGACTAAACCCACCTGATAATTTCAATATATGCAGAAAATACTTATAACAAAATTAAATATCACTTTGTGTTAGTAACTCAATAAACTTGATATTAAAGAATACATTTTTGAATAATAAAAGCCATCTATGACCAACCCACAGACAACATTATACTGAATGGGCAAAAGCTAGAACTATTTCCCCTGAAAAACAGCACAAGACAAGGATGCCCTTTGTCACCACCTTTGTTCAATGCAGTATTGAAATTTCTAGGCTACTGGAACTTCAACAAGAAGTTCTGGGAGTTGAATCCAACAAGCCAAAGAAATAAGCATCAAAATAGAAAAAGAGGAACCGAAACCACCCGTTTGCATTTGGCATGATTCTATAACTAGAAAAGCACATAGCCTCAGCACAAAAGCTGCTTTAGCTGATTAACAACTTCAGAAAGTTGCAGATTAAAAAATTAATGTACAAAAATCACTAGCATTCTTACACATTAATGACAATGGAGAGCCAAATTAGAAAGGCAATCTCATTCACATTTGCCACAAAACAATAAAATATCTCAGAATATATTTAAGAAGGGAGGTGAAAAATCTCTAGAAGAACTATAAAACTCAAAGAAATCAGAGATAATAGAAACAAACAAAAAAAAATCATGCTCATGGATAAGAAGAAATAATATTATTAAAATGGCTACTTTGTCCAAAACAATTTACAGATTAAATGCTATTTCTATCAAACTATCAATGACTTTTTTTTACAGAACTAGAAAAAAATATTTAAAAAATTTATTTAGAACTAAAAAAGAGCCAAAATAACCAAGACAATTCTAAGTACAAAGACAAAATTAGAGGCATCACATACTTGGCTCCAAATTACACTACAAGGCTACAGTAACTAAAACAACATGACACTGGTACAAAAACAGGAACATACACCAATGGAACAAAATAGAGAGCCTAGAAACACATTTGTACCTCTGTGTCCATTTAATCTTTGGCATACCTAACAACAAATAATGAGAAAAAGAATACTTGTTTAATACATGATGCTGAGATAATTGGCTAGCCATATGCAAAAAAATAAATAAATAAATTAGACACATTTTAAGACCATAAAAAAATCAACTCAAAATGAGTTAATGACTTAAATGTAAAATCCAACACTATAAAAACTCTGGGAGGTAATCTAGACAATTTCATCTTAGACATAGAAATGGCAAAATATTTTGTGACAAAGACACCAAAAGCAAGTGTACCAAAAGTAAAAATTGACAAATGTCATCTAATTAAAGTAAAGAGTTTCTGCACAGCAAAAGAAACATCATCAGAGTGAACAGACAATCTACAGAATGGGAGAAAAATTCTGCAAAATACACATCTGTTAAAAATGCACAAAGGACATGAGCAGACACATCTAAAGAGAAGACATACATGGAGCTAACAAGCATATGAAAAAAAGTTTAACATCTCTTGATATGTACTTGTGTGTGTGTATATATATATATAATCATTAGATAAATGCAAATGAAATCCACAATAAGATACCATTTCACACCAGTCAGAATAACTATTATTTAAAAGCCAAAAATCAACAGACTCTGGTGACCTTAAAAGAAAATGGAATGCTTATACATTATTGGTCAGAGCGTAAATTATTTTAACCATTGTGGAGAGCAGTCTGAGGATTACTCAAGCAGCTAAAAGCAGATATGTAATTCAATCCAGCAATCCCATTGCAGGTATATACCTAAAGAAATATAAATTATTCTGTTCTAAAGATTCATTCATGAAAATGTTCACTGCAGCATTATGCACAATAGCAGAGATATGGAATCAAATTACATGCTAATCAGTGACAGATTAGATTTAAAAATGTGATACATATCCACTATGGATTACTACGCAGCCAATAAAACAAACAATAACTTGCCCTTTGTGGGAAGTGGCTGAGCTGGAGGCTATTATTCTTAGCAAACTAATGTAGAGTCTGAAGACCAAATGCCACATGTTTTCACTTGTGAGTGGGAGATAAATAGAAAGTACTTAGGAAAACAAAGAAGAAAGTAGACATTGTGGTGTACTAGAGGGAAATGGGTGAGAGAAAGGAGAGAAGACAAAATAACTACTGGGCATTGGGCTTAATATCTGTGTGATAAAATAATATATGCAACAAACCCCTGTAACATGAGTTTACCTGTACAACAGACCTTCACATGTACATTTTAACCTAAAATAAAAGTTAAAAAATTACATATAATGCAATAAATGTCAAAATTTCTAATGTTTATGAAATGATAAAAATATTATTAATAAAATATTCATATTGCTTTACATGATCTACAGATCTAAGCCAACTTGTATAATACTTCAGTGACATTTTTTACAAAAATAATAATTTTCTAAACAGACAGAAACACACACAAGAAAGAATAGTCAAAAATATTGAAGAACTGAGCTTGTGGATTTTACAATCTAACTTTAAAATATTCTACAAAGCTATCATAAATAAACCAGCACATAATTTACATTAAACAGACACAAAAATTAATGGAATAGAATGGAGAGTCATCACATATTTCCATGTATTTTTGGTCAAGTATTTTTGACAAAGTGCCAAGAAGACACAATAGAAAAAGGACAGACTCTTTAAAGTATAAGGTTTGAAATTTTGATGTATACATGCAGAACAGTATGATTCTACTCTTATCTCACATTATGTATTATAATAATTCAACTTGTAATTGATTAAAGGCTTAGATATGAGACCTGAGTTTGTAAGACTATTAGAAAATAATAGAAAAAACTCCATGAGATTGTATGTGCAATTGTTATTATATATACTGAATAATGGAGGCAACCAAAGCAAAAATAGAAAAATTAAATTACAATAAACTAAAGAGCTTCAGCACAACAAGGTAAAAATAAATGATAAAGGAAATAATATCCAAATAGAGAAAATATTCACAATTCATACTTCTGATAAAAAGTTATCATAATTATTATTAATATTAAGTATTTGTAGGGAACTCAACTAAATAGCAATATTTAAAGTGTGTATTGAACTCAACTAAATAGCAAAAATCAAATTATTAATATTATTAATATATTAATTAATATTTTAATTAAAAATGTGTATTGAACTCAACTAAATAGCAAGAAAACAAATTATTAATTAAAAAAGGGACAAACAACCCAAATGAAAATCTCTTACAAAATCTCACAGAAATAGCCAACATATATATGAAAAGTGCTGATTAGTACTCATTAGAAAAATGCAAATTGAAACCATGATTAAATATTACCTTATACAATTTTCAAAAGTTCTTATTTAAAAGACAAAAAAAGTGTTGATGAGGATATGTAAAAAGTTGAATCCTTGCATACTGCTGGTGGCAATGTAAATTAGCACAGCTATTATAAAAAACAGTTTACAAATTCTTCAGAAATTTTAAAATAGAACTACCATAGTATCCAACAATCTCACCACTGGGTATACATTTATGGGAAATAATATTAGTGTGTTGAAATACCTGCACTTTCATATTTATTGCAGAACTATTTGCAATGGGTAAGGTGTAGAAAAAGCTCTCTATCAGCAAATAAATATTTATAGAAAATGTGCCATATATATAATACATATATATAATATTCCAATGGAATATTATGTAAAAGCCTTAAAAGCAGGGGAAGTTCTGTTATTTATGGTAACATGTTGGAACTTGAAAGACATTATGTTAAATTAGAAAAGATGGGTACATAAAGAAAAATTCCACAAAATCTCTCTCATGTGAAATGTAAATAACATATATCATATATATAATTGAAAAATAAAAATTATCAACTGTACAGAAGTCTAACTTCAAATAGAAAAGCAAAGATACCAGCTTTTAAATCAAGAATTGAGCTATTTTAAGTTACTGAGAAAGATAGCAGTTAGGAGACAGAGCTAATGTGCACCTCACACCTGGATGGAAAGAACAGTGTGAAGTGTTTGCATCAGAAAACACTGCAGCAATGTACCAAGAAAACAGAAAGAGTTATCAGATCATTTGAAAGAAGCAGCATACCACTATGAATTTTACAAGACAGGTTAAAAATGAGTTCCCAAAATATGAGAGGTAAAACAAGAGCTTGCTCTTGAACGTCAGTTGTGTTTTAATGAGAACAACTTCATCTTGAATAGATGCCGAGCAATAAGGCTGAGACCTGCTAGGCTGCATTCCCAGGAGGTTACTCCTTTTTAGTCAAAGGATGAGATAGAAAGTAGGCATAAAGATACAGGTCACAAAGCTCTTGCTGAGAAAACAGGTTGCAGTAAATAAACCAGATAAAACCCACCAAAACCAGGATGGGAATGAGAGTAACCATTGGTTGTCCTCACTGCTGTAGTCCTGTCAGTGCCATGACAGTTTACAAATGCCATGGCAATGTCAGGAAGTTACCTCATATAGTCTAAAAAGGGGAGCTGCACCCATGTATACATATGTAACAAACCAGCACATTGTGCACATGTACCCTAAAACTTAAAGTATAATAATAATAATAATAAAAGGTTAAATAAATAAATATAAAAAATAAAAAAATGAAAAGGGGAGGCATAAATAATCAATGCTTATTTAGAATATAATCAAGAAATAACCATAAAAACAGGCAAGCAGCAGCCCTTGAGGCTGCTTGGCCTATAGAGTAGGCATTCTTTATTCCTTTACTTTCTTAATGAAGTTGCTTTCATTTGACTGTATGGATTCACCCCAAATATTTTCTTGTGTGATATCAAGAACCCTTATCAGGGGAATCTGCCCCTGATAGTCACATAGGTTCTTTTCTATTTTCCCTAAGTATTGGCTGATCTGAGAAATAAAGGGACAGAGTATAAAAGAGAAATTTTAAATCTGGGTGTCCAGGGGAGACATCACATGTCAGCAGGTTCTATGATGCCCCCCAAGCCACAAAACCAGCAAGTTTTATTAATGATTTTCAAAAAGGGAGGGAGTTATGAATCTGGTGTGGGTCACAGAGATCACATGCTTCACAAGGTAATAATATATCACAAAGCAAATGGAGGCAGGGTGAGATCACAGGACCACAGGACCAGGGTGAAATTAAAATTGCTAATGAAGTTTCGGGAATGCATTTTCATTGATAACATCTTATCAGGAGACAGGGTTTGAGAGCAGACAACCGATCTGACCAAAATTTATTAGGTGGGAATTTCATCATCCTAATAAGCCTGGGAGTGCTATGGGAGACTGGGGCTTATTTCATCCCTACAGCTGTGACCATAAAAGACAGCCACCCCCAAAGCAGTCATTTCAGAGGCCTACCCTCAGGGACACATCTGTTTCTCAGGGATGTTCCTTGCTGAGAAAAAGAATTCAATGATATTTCTCCCATTTGCTTTTGAAAGAAAAGAAATATGGCTCTGTTCCACCTGGCTCACCAGCAGTCAGAGTTTACAGTTATCTCTCTTGTTCCCTGAACATTGCTGTTATCCTGTTCTTTTTTCAAGGTGCTGAGATTTCATATTGTTCAAACACACATCCTCTACAAACAATTTGTGCAGTTAACGCAATCATCACAGGGTCCTGTGGTGACATACATCCTCCTCAGCTTATGAAGATGATGAGATTAACAGATTAAAGTAAAGACAGGCATAGGAAATCACATGGGTATTGATTGGGGAAGTGATAAGTGTCCATGAAATCTTCACAACTTATGTTCAGAGATTGTAGTAAAGACAGGTGTACAAAATTATAAAAGTATTAATTTCGTGTACTAATAAATGTCCATGAAATCTTCACAATTTATTTTCTTCTGTCATGGCTTCAGCTGGTCCCTCCATTTGGGTTCCCTGACTTCCCACAACAAACCCTCTCTTGTAGTCTTGATCTGGACCCCTTTCCAGTTAGACAAACACACATCCCAATTGGGGACCCTGAAAATCCAGATTACAAGGGAAGAATTTTAATCTCACCTAGAGCTTAAATGGATTTAGTGCAAAATATAAAACTAGAAACAGCAGCAAGAATAGCCTTGTAGGCATTCTGATTCTCCAGCTCAAGAACTGCTCAAAACCATCCTAACTATACCTCACATAGACCTTTAGAGAGGGAAGCAGGTAAAATTTGACAGGGTTCATAGGGTAAAAGAGGCTTCCAACTCAATATAATAATATTAACTGGCACAAACTACCAAGAAAATCTGGGAAGTGAAAGGAAACTAATGCAGGAGGAAGCACAGAGTCCAGTGAAATAGGTTAAGGTCACTGGTCTCATTGTCTAAGGTGTTTTCTGAGCTTGTTATCTCACAATCAAGAAAACTAAGCAGTGTAGACACAAAGGATGAGGTTGGATAAAATGTTTAAAAAGTGAAAAAAGAAAGCTCTTTGCAGCCAAGATGAGAACCAGAGTGGGTTGCTGTTTTTACAGTTGAATCCAAGAGATTTTATGAGAAACTCCTCTCATTTCTGTAGCTGTTTATGTAACTTATAAGGAAGGCTGTCTGTACAAGTCCCCTTTATGTAGTGGTGGATATGTCTCTAGGCAAGCACAAAGGGCCAACTCTCTTGTTTTTTAAAGTTACAAAATCTTCTTCTGTGAGTTTGTGTTAGGTAAGCCCTGACCTCCCTGTTCAAGTTCCCCTGGAGCCCACCATGTATATGCCTGAAAACGGAAGGAAACTTTTTCCTGGGAGCCTGCTAATTCCACAAAGAACTAAAGTGTTCTGTGCTGGGCTCTGCTTTCTTCTCTAGCAGATGGAGCCTGAGTTTTCCCCAGTCTGCTCTATTTTTACCTATAGATGTGATTTTTTTTAGGCAGGTTTCTTCTCTGAGGACTAGCCTTAGTGGACTACCTAACCGATTTTTTCTTTTCTTCTCCATCATTATGCCCCCTCTCGAGTAGAGACCCTTATCACTCTTTGGGAAATTGAGCACTGATTTTTCTGTCTGTTTCCTGCTGGAGTGGGTCTCTGTGTGGGAAACAGCATCCAGGATTCCACCCAGGGCTCATTTAAGAATTTTTGGAAGAAAATTATTCCACATTTATGTATGGTTTCATTTGCATTGCCATGTGGAGCTTGATAGCCTCTAGGTAAAAAAAAAAAAAAAAAAAAAAAGGAGGCTATCAAAGACATTTATTAAAATGGGAGAAGGAGGGTAACAACAGTTCACAAATTTTGAAGCTGCTAACATGCTCTAATTACTGATGGCTATAGTTATTCCTGTTAAGATTTGTGTGTATGGGGCTTGGCTCTGGTTAGCTTCCTTGGCGTTACTTCCCCAAAAAGAAAACCTCTTGGTTATGGGTACTCTATTTACCTTATTACCTAGCAGGATTTGTAGAATAGTTGCCCAGAACTAGAAGGTTGTTCCAGATTTTTACATTCCCATCCCTTTCTGTCTCTTTTGAGCTACAGCCAGAGACTGCTGTTTAAAATGTAGTTGGAAACTTAAAAACCAGTAATGAGACTACAAATTAATGACAGATGTATGATATGATTGTAAACATAATTTCTCTATCTCTAGTCTTCATTTTTGTTAAAAGCAAATCATAATAGGACTGAGATTTTTGAAAATTAGGCCTTGGTCTTATGCTTGTTCTGCTTATTTGCATTAAGCACAGCAAGAATACTTATTTTTTACATAGGCCTTTTAGACTGGCTTTGATGGAACTCTATTTCATAAAAAATCTAAGATAGGACTTTCTAAAGCTGAACTTAACCATGGATTTGTACCCTCCAATATCTGTGAGTTGGGTAAATTTCTCTCTCCTTGAGGTCCCAAGAGCACATAGGTTTTCATCCTATTGTAAAGTCACATTCTTTACTCACTGGAGCTTACTGTAGGGTCCAGCCCCAAAGGGTCGGTGGATTTTCTCCCTGTGTGCAGAGATGAGAGAGTGTAGAAATAAAGACACAAGACAAAGAGATAAAAGAGAAGACAGCTGGGCCTGGGGGGCCACTGCCACCAAGATATGGAGACTGGTAGTGGCCCCGAATGCCAGTCTGTGCTGATATTTATTGGATACAAGACAAAGGGGCAGGGTAAGGAGTGTGAGCCATCTCCAGTGATAGGTAAGTTCATGTGGGTCAAATGTCCACTGGACAGGGGGCCCTTGCCTGCCTGGCAGCTGAGGCAGAGAGAGAGAGAGAGAGAATTTATGCCATTATTTCTGCTTATCAGAGACTTTTAGTACTTTCACTAATTTGCTACTACTCTCTAAAAGGCAGAGCCAGGTGTACAGGATGGAACATGAAGGTGGAATAGGAGTGTGACCACTGAAGCACAGCATCACAGGGAGATGGTTAGGCCTCTGGACAACTGTGGGTGGGCCTGATGTCAGGCCTTCCACAAGAGGTGGAGGAGTAGAGTCTTCTCTAAACTCTCCCAGGGAAAGGAAGACTCCCTTTCCCAGTCTGCTAAATAGTGGGTGATTTTCCCTGACACTGACACTACCATTAGACCACAGTCTGCTTGGCAACAGGAGTCTTACCAGATGCTGGAGTTACCAGTAGACCATGGAGGCCTCTGGTGGCCCTGTCTGGGCATAACAGAAAGCTTGCACTCTTGTCTTCTGGTCACTTCTCACTATGTCCCCTCAGCTCCTATCTCTGTATGGCCTGGTTTTTCCCAGGTTATGATTGTAGAGCAAGGATTATTATAATATTGGAATAAAGAGTAATTGCTACAAACTAATGGTGAATGATATTAATATATAATCATATCTAAGATCTATATCTAGTATAACTATTCTTATTTTATATATTTTATTACACTGGAACAACTCATGCCCTTGGTCTCTTGCCTTGGCACCTGGGTGGTGCCCACAGCCTACAAACCTTGTACAGGGACTGTGTAGACAAGGTTCATTTTTCCAAGGGGCTTTCATTGACTTTGTAAGTGAAGGTTCACCCCTTAAAGGGAAACACATCCTTCCAGTCAAAGCCTTTGTAAAACAGCCAGTTTTTCCAGTTTTGTGTTGTTGCAAAAGAAAATGGATTCTTATTGCTCTGATTCAGACCACTATATTTTTGTAAGTCAGGAATACTCACAACTAGTTTCTGAGTACTAGAAGAACCAGGCAGTGAAACACAAATATGTTCCAAATGTTGTTCACAAGAGTGTACCTTACTCAATTGATAAAAGCTATAGCTAGCTCAAAAGCCTAACCTGAAAAAAACAAAACAATGATCAGCAATGTTCCAAGCAAAAGTCAAAAAGATTATTTAACTTCATATATTTGTTTATTTTATTTAGTTAACTCTTGTTCTGTTTGATATACATAAATACTTCAGCTTTTCATGAGTCCTATATATTTTCCTGTTATCAGAAACCTGAATTTGACAGCAACTCTTATAGTTCTAGAGCTGATAATAGATCATCCTTTGAAGAGGATTAAAACATGAAAATTTTCTGTTATGACAAAATGGCTAGTATAGTTATAGCCAAGAATGTAATTGACATAGAAACTTAGGTATTTCTGTGGTTTACAACAGCTTAACATAATAAATTTAATTATGACTGATAGCAAAAAATCAGACATTAGAACCTGAGACATTTCATCCAGTTTTAGAACATACGTTAACATTATTTACTGAAATATACCTGAAGAAATTAGGTATAATTTAGGCAAAGTCATGTATCTAAAAAAGTTAAATAATCCTGTTTTCCTCTCATTTGAACATTCTACTGGCCTCTGTAGTATCCAGAAGCAAGGGTGTCAGGGAAGATGACATTGAAACTGTAGTTTTTACTTTGGGAAGTCTGTTAAATATGTTAGAGTTTTAAAACATTTGATGTTATGAAACAGAATTCCATATTACCATAGGTTGTTTATTTTGCTAAAATGTGACTCAAAAATTTGAAAAAGCAAAAACCTTTCATTAACCTTCAGTATTACATAAAAATTCTGTTCAAGAAAGGAAAAAGCCAATTATCATGTCTGCATTTTTCTACTATTAATTTTTAATCTAATTTTTAATAAAATATTACAGACAATTCTACTCAGTCTCAACCAGTTTGATAAGGAGGATAAATTTTCACAAAACTTTTACAACCCCTTCAAATTTTTTTCTTTTTCTGTCTTTTTTTTTTTACCAGTCAAAGAAGCATTTATTTATTTATTTTTATTACACTTGAAGTTTTAGGGTACATGTGTGCAACATGCTGCTTTGTTACATATCTATACATGTGCCATGTTGGTGTGCTGCACCCATTACCTAGTCATTTAACATTAGGTATATCTCCTAATGCTATCCCTCCCCACTCCCTCCACCCCACAAAAGGCCCCAGTGTGTGACGTTCCCCTTCCTGTGTCCATTTGTTCTCATTGTTCAATTCCCAACTATGAGTGGGAATATGTGGTGTTTGGTTTTTTGTCCTTGTGATAGTTTACTGAGAATGACGGTTTCCAGCTTCAGCCAAGTCTCTACAAAGGATATGAACTCATCATTTTTTATGGCTTCATAGTATTCCATGGTGTATATATGCCACATTTTCTTAATCCAGTCTATCATTGTTGGACATTTGAATTGGTTCCAAGTCTTTGCTATAGTGAATAGTGCCACAATAAACATATGTGTGCATGTATCTTTACAGCAGCATGTTTTATAATCCTTTGGGTATATACCCAGTAATGGGATGGCTGGGTCAAATGGTATTTCTAGTTCTAGATCCCTGAGGAATTGCCACACTGACTTCCACAATGGTTGAAGTAGTTTACAGTCCCACCAACAGTGTAAAAGTGTTCCTATTTCTCCACATCCTCTCCAGCACCTGTTGTTTCCTGACTTTCAAATGATCACCATTCTAACTGGTGTGAGATGGTATCACATTGTGGTTTTGGTTTCCATTTCTCTGATGGCCAGTGATGATGAACATTTTTTCATGTGTCTTTTGGCTGCACAAATGTCTTCTTTTGAAAAGTGTCTGTTCATACGCTTCACCCACTTTTTGATGGGGTTGTTTTTTTTTTCTTGCAGATTTGTTTGAGTTCATTGTAGATTCTGGATATTAGCCCTTTGTCAGATGAGTAGATTGCAAAAATTTTCTCCCATTCTGTAGGTTGCCTGTTCACTCTGATGGTAGTTTCTTTTGCTGTGCAGAAGCTCTTTAGTTTAATTAGATCCCATTTGTCAATTTTGGCTTTTGTTGCCATTGCTTTTAGTGTTTTAGACATGAAGTCCTTAACCATGCCTATGTCCTGAATGGTATTGCCTAGGTTTTCATCTAGGGTTTTTATGGTTTTAGGTCTAACATTTAAGTCTTTAATCATCTTGAGTTAATTTTTGTATAAGGTGTAAGGAAGGAATCCAGTTTCACCTTTCTACAAACAGCTAGCCAGTTTTCCCAGCACCATTTATTAAATAGGGAAACCTTTCTCCATTTTTGGTTTTGGTCAGGTTTGTCAAAGATCAGATAGTTGTAGATATGCAGCATTATTTCTGAGAGCTCTGTTGTGTTCCATTGGTCTATATCTCTGCTTTGGTACTAGTATCATGCTGTTTTGGTTACTGTAGCCTTGTAGTATAGTTTGAAGTCAGATAGTGTGATGCCTCCAGCTTTATTCTTTTGGCTTAGGATTGACTTGGCAATGTGGGTTCTTTTTTGGTTCCATATGAACTTTAAAGTAGTTTTTTAGAACTCTGTGAAGAAAGTCATTGGTAGATTTATGAGGATGGCATTAAATCTATAAATTACCTTGGGAAGTATGGCCATTTTCATGATATTGATTCTTCCTACCCATGAGCATGAAATATTCTTCCATTTGTTTGTATCCTCTTTTATTTCATTGAGCAGTGGTTTGTAGTTCTCCTTGAAAAGGTCCTTCACATCCCTTGTAAGTTGGATTCTTAGGTATTTTATTCCCTTTGAAGCAATTGTGAATGGGAGTTCCCTCATGATTTGGCTCTCTCTTTGCCTGTTATTGGTGTGTAAGAATGCTTGTGATTTTTGCACATTGATTTTGTATCCTGAGACTTTGCTGAAGTTGCCTTCAAATCAGCTTAGGGAGATTTTGGGTTGAGATGATGGGGTTTTCTCGATATACAATCATGTCATCTGCAAACAGGGACAATTTGAATTCCTCTTTTCCTAAGTGAATACCCTTTATTCCTTCTCCTGCCTGATTACCCTGGCCAGAAATTCCAACACTCTGTTGAATAGGAGTGGTGACAGGGGCATCCCTGTCTTGTGCCAGTTTTCAAAGGGAATGCTTCCAGTTTTTGCTCATTCAGTATGATATTGGCTGTGGGTTTGTCATAGATAGCTCTTATTATTTTGAGATATGTCCCGTGGATACCTAATTTATTGAGAGTTTTTTAGCATGAAGGTTGTTGAATTTTGTTAAAGGCCTTTTCTTCATCTACTAAGATAATCACGTGGTTTTTGTCTTTGGTTCTATTTATATGCTGGATTACATTTATTGATTTGCATACGTTTAACCAGTCTTGCATCCCAGGAATGAAGCCCACTTGTTCATGGTAGATAAGCTTTTTGATGTGCTGCTGGATTAGCTTTGCCAGTATTTTATTGAGGATTTTTGCATCGATACTCATCAGGGATATTGGTCTAAAATTCTCTTTTTTTGTTCTGTCTCTGCCAGGCTTTGATATCAGGATGATGCTGGCCCCATAAAATGAGTTAGGGAGGATTTCCTCTTTTCCTATTGATTGGAATAGTTTCAGAAGGAATGGTACCAGCTCCTCCTTATACCTCTGGCAGAATTCGGCTGTGAATCCATCTGGTCCTGGACTTTTTTTTGTTGGTAAACTATTAATTATTGCCTAAAATTTCGGAGCCTTTTATTGGTCTATTCAGAGATTCAACTTCTTCCTGATTTAGTCTTGGGAGGGTGTATGTGTTGAGGAATTTATCCATTTCTTCTAGATTTTTTAGTTTGTGTAGAGATGTTTATAGTATTCTCTGATGATAATTTGTATTTCTGTGGGATCAGTGGTGATATCCCCTTTATCATTTTTTATTGCATCTATTTGATTTTTCTCTCTTTTTTTCTTTATTAGTCTTGCTAGCATTCTATCAATTTCCTTGATCTTTTCAGAAAACTAGCTCCTCAATTCATTGATTTTTTCAAGGTTTTTTTTTTTATGTGTCTATCTCCTTCAGTTCTGCTCTGATGTTAGTTATTTCTTGCCTTCTGCTAGCTTTTGAATATATTTGCTCTTGCTTCTCTAGTTCTTTTAATTGTGATGTTAGGGTGTCAGTTTTAGATCTTTCCTGTTTTCTCTTGTGGGCAATTGGTTCTATAAGTTTCCCTCTACACACTGCTTTGAATGTGTCCCGGAGATTCTGGTATGTTGTGTCTTTGTTCTTATTGGTTTCAAAGAACATCTTTATTTCTGCCTTCATTTCGTTATGTACTCAGTAGTCGTTCAGGAGCAGGTTGTTCAGTTTCCAGGTAGTTGAGCAGTTTTGAGTGAGTTTCTTAATCCTGAGTTCTAGTTTGATTGCATTGTGGTCTGAGAGACAGTTTGTTATAATTTCTATTCTTTTACATTTGCTGAGGAGAGCTTTACTTCCAACTATGTGGTCAGTTTTGGAATAGGTGTGGTGTGGTGCTGAAAAGAATGTATATTCTGTTGATTTGGGGTGGACAGTTCTGTAGATGTCTATTAGGTCACTTGGTGCAGAGCTGAGTTCAGTTCCTGGATATCCTTGTTAACTTTCTGTCTTGTTGATCTGTCTATTGTTGACAGTGGTGTGTTAAAGTCTTCCAGTATTATTGTGTGGGAGTGTAAGTCTCTTTGTGTATCTCTAAGGACTTGCTTTATGAATCTTGGTGCTCCTGTATTAGGTGCATATATATTTAGGATAGTTAGCTCTTCTTGTTGAATTGATCCCTTTGCCATTATGTAATGGCCTTCTTTGTCTCTTTAGATCTTTGTTGGTTAAAATTCTGTCTTACCAGAGACTAGGATTGCAACCCCTGTCTTTTTGTTTTCCATTTGCTTGGTAGATCTTCCTCCATCCCTTTGTTTTGAGTCTATGTGTGTCTCTGCATGTGAGATGTGTTTCCTGAATAGAGCACACTGATGGGTCTTGACTCTTTATCCAATTTGCCAGTCTGTGTCTTTTAATTGGAGCATTTAGTCCATTTACATTTAAGGTTAACATTGTTATGTGTGAATTTGTTCCTGTCGTTATGATGTTAGCTGGTTATTTTGCTAGCTAGTTGATGCAGTTTCTTCCTAGCCTTGATGGTCTTTACAATTTGGCATGTTTTTGCAGTCGCTGGTATTGTTTGTTCCTTCCCATGTTGAATGCTTCCTTCAGGAGCTCTTTTAGGGCAGGCCTGGTGGTGACAAAATCTCTCAGCATTTGCTTGTCTGTAAAGGATTTTATTTCTCCTTCACTTATGAAGCTTATTTTGGCTGGATATGAAATTCTGGGTTGAAAATTCTTTTCTTTAAGTATGCTGAATATTGGCCCCCACTCTCTTCTGGCTTCTAGATTTCTGCAGAGAGATCCGCTCTTATTCTGATGGATTTCCCTTTGTAGGTAACCCAACATTTCTGTCTGGCTGCCCTAACATGTGTTCCTCCATTTCAACTTTGTTGAATCTGACAATTATTTGTCCTGGAGTTTCTCTTCTTGAGGAGTATCTTTGTGGGATTCTCTGTATTTCCTGATTTTGAATGTTGGCTTGCCTTGCTAGATTGGGGAAGTTCTCCTGGATAATATCCTGCAGAGTGTTTTCCAACCTCTTTCCATTCTCCCCGTCACTTTCAGGTAAACCAATCAGACCTAGATTTGGTCTTTTCACATAGTCCCATATTTCTTGGAGGCTTTGTTCATTTCTTTTTATTTTTTTCTCTAAACTTCTCTTCTCTCTTCATTTCATTCATTTGATCTTCCATCACTGATAACCTTTCTTCCAGTTGATTGAATTGGCTACAGAAGCTTGTGCATTTGTCATGTAGTCCTTGTGCCATGGTTTTCAGCTCTACCAGGTCCTTTAAGGACTTCTCTGCATTGGTTATTCTAGTTAGACATTTATCTAATTTTTTTCATGGTTTTTAACTTCTTTGCCATGGGTTCAAACTTCCTCCTTTAGCTCGGAGTAATTTGATCATCTGAAGCCTTCTCTCAACTCATCAATTCATTCTCCATCCAGCTTTATTCCATTGCTGGTGAGGAGCTACATTCCTTTGGAGGAGGAGAGGCACTGTGATTTTTATAGTTTCTGGTTTTTCTGCTGTTTTTCCTCCATCTTTGTGGTTTTATCTACCTCTGGTCTTTGATGATGGTGACATACAGATGGGGTTTTGGTGTGGATATCCGTTGTGTTTGTTAGTTTTCCTTCTAACAGTCAGAACCCTCAGCTTCAGGTCTGTTGGAGTTTGCTGGAGTTCCACTCCAGACACTGTCTGGATATCAGCCTGGGTGTCAGCAGCAGAGGCTGTAGAACAGAGGATATTGCTGAACAGCAAATGTTGCTTCCTGATTGTTCCTCCAGAAGTTTTCTCTCAGAGGAGTACCCGGCCATGTGAGATGTCAGTCTGCCCCTACTGGGGGTGCCTCCCAGTTAGGCTACTCAGGGTCAGGTATCCACTTGAGGAGGCATTGTGTCCATTCTCAGATCTCCAGCTGTGTGCTGGGAGAACCAATACTGTCTTCAAAACTGTCACACAGGGACATTTAATTCTGCAGAGATTTCTGCTGCCTTTTGTTTGGCTATGCCCTGCCCCCAGAAGTGGAGTCTACAGAGGCAGGCATGCCTCCTTGAGTTGTGGTGGGCTTCACACTTTTGGAGCTTCCCAGCTGCTTTGTTTACCTACTCAAACTGCAGCAATGGCAGGCGCCCCTCCCCCAGCCTTCCTGCCATCTTGCAGTTTGATCTCAGACTGCTGTGCTAGCAATGAGGGAGGCCCCGTGGGTGTAGGACCCTCTGAACCAGGAGTGGGATATAATCTCCTTGTGTTCCATTTGCTAAGACCATTTGAAAAGCACAGTATTGGGTGGGAGTGACCCTATTTTCTAGGTGCTCTCTGTCACCCTTTCTTTGAATAGGAAAGGGAATTCCCTGACCCCTTATGCTTCTAAGGTGAGGTGATACCTCACCCTCCTTTGGCTCATGCTCACTGCACTGCACCCACTGTCCTGCAACCACTGTCCAACCCTCCCCAGTGAGATGAACCCTGTACCTCAGTTGGAAATGCAGAAATCACCTGTCTTCTGCATCGCTAATACTGGGAGCTGTAGACTGGAGCTGTTCCTATTTGGTCATCTTGGCTCCAACCACCCCTTCAAATATTTTTCTAAAGAGCATATTAACATCTTAAGAAAGCCTTGTTTTGCTTTTATTTAATACTAAATTTATGAAAAATCCTCTTGAATTTATTCAATAAATCAATATACAGAGTTTCCTGTGCAAAATTAATTTTTACAATCTTTCTACAATTTTTTAAATATTTTACTTATTTTATCTAATTTAAGACAATCCTTTATCCCTAGGCAAAATTAGGGTTTCTATGCCTTCTTATGATCTTTTACTAAAAACACATTTTACTGTATTTACATACCTTGCATTGAAATCTATTTTCAATAGTTTCAATTACATGTCATAATGGCAATTCTTAGCAACTTTCACATTAATGTAAAACCTGGTAGGTTGTTTCAATGATACCTTAGCTGCAGAAAAAGTTTGACTCCTTCCAAAATAATTAGAAACATCATTATTTCCGTATGTTCCCAGGCCTTATCCATTGTGAAGTAAGTAAAATCAACAGTTCCCCAAGAGGAAAGAAGCAGTTTACATTCTTGAAACATTTAGCAAACCTAGTATTTGACTTGTGTAATTTAGACCACATCTTTATGTCTAGAAAACACTTGTATATTACCAATAATCTCCAAGATTTTTTATTTATTTTTGAAAATTGATGTCACATAAAGTAAGAGGCATTACAGCTTTTATTTTTTCTAAAATATTGTAGGCCAATGAATTACAGCTTTTTTAAAAGAGACATCATACACATAATGCATATATGACTACACAGACAGAAGAAGATCCAGTAGCTCAGGGTATACCCTTTTAAGAATAGTGCTAGGAAATCATGTAGTTTTTGGGACCTAACAAACAGGCATAGCTGGAAGATTAAAACAGATTTTCATAGGGATTTAGCCACCACTAATTCCAGGGGTTCCCTGAGGAAAATAGAGATTTTTTTCCTCAAAATGGAATCTGTAACACCTTTTCTGTTTTCATAAGGAGTCCCAGGTCACCAGACGTCATCTTACACTCTTTCAGGCATGCACCAACATTGGCAAGGCAGAGTGGAGAAAAGTAATTCAGCCAAATATGTTTTTTCCAGAAAAACAACACTAATTAAGAGAAAAACATAGAGGCCTTTAAACTATACCTATAGCTTATATATTCATTTTTAATTAAGCTGAGTGCTTTTTAATAAAGTCCTTTTTTATTAATCAAAACTTTACAAAGAATAAATACTGTAATTCTTATCTTTTTCTTTAACCAGAATTACTTGTTCACAATCATGTTCAGTTTCCTCAGTGTTTTCTAGGAGGAAGTGGCTGAATTCAGGCAACGATACGTTTTTAACTAGACTGTAGACTGGACTGTAGATTCCTCTAGGAGCAAAATAGGATATTTGGGGGAGGTGATATTGTCTGTTAGCCAGAGACTCTATTTTGAAGGTAGCAGTACCCTATATATTGTGTGGTATGTAAGTAGTTGAGTTATTCCCCATGGTTATCCTACTGGCCTCTGGCACCAAGAAAGCCATCACTGCAAATGCTTGAAGGCAGGCTGCCCATCCTTTACTCACCGATTTAAGTTACTTGCTTATCTAATTCACTGACTATTGAGCTGGACCTCCAGCCTGAGATAAAACTCTCAGTGCCATTCCCTTTCCCAGTTTCATAAAGACTGAATGCCTTACCTATGGGAACACTGAGAGCTGGTGTTTTTAGTAAGAGTTACTTTAGATAGTTAAAGACATTTTGAGCCTCAAGTTTCCAGGTCAAATAATGACTTTTAACTGCTTGAGTTTCTTTTATGAGGTGGTGTAAATCAGAAGCTATTTCACCATACCTGGGTACCCACAGTCTGCAAAACCCTGCAGTGCCTAAGAATCCCCTGAACTGTTAAAGAAAATGGGATTAATTCTCATATGGTGCTCTTGTCCCTTCTGATAAGACCAGACCTAGGTATTTTAATAAATCTGAGACAGGTGAGCTTTAGATTTTAACACTCTATATGCCCTTTCAGCTAAGAAATTGAGGAGAGCCTCAGTGTCTTTGTGAAACTTCCTCCAGTGGGGCACATAGGAGAGTGACATTTAAATACTGCAAAGTTTCTACTTGGGGATGAGAAAAAATAAAAAGATATTCAGGTATGCTTATTTCTGTAACTTTCTTTTGATATCAGGGGCTGCCTAAGTAATAAACCTATTCATTGAATTGGGAGACAGGGAGGTGTAAGTAATAAACCTGTTTTTTTGTTGAATTGGGAGACAGGGAGATGTATTTCTCTAAGACCTCTTTTAGCCTTTTCATAGAGGCTGAGGGGTTTCCATCTGGTTTTTGATCCTATTTTGGAAAGCTTGGAGTAGTTAATACATTTACTTTAGTCTCTTGCAAGTCCTCCAGTACACAAATTTGAAAGAATTTCCTTCTCCATTTTTGATTGTTATCACTGTGGTCTCATTTATGGTCCTCCAATTCACTGTTGGCTTCCCTGTTGGCTTCCCCTTCCCTGAAACATTCTTCCAAGAGACTTTAAATACTTGGATTAAATTCTAGAATGCCTCTATATATCTATCAGGGAGATGAGAGAATTTGCCTAGGTCCTCCTTTATTTGTCTAGGGTTCTGCAGTGAGCAGGGAAATTTAACTCTAGTAGCACCATGTCCATTGGACATTTTCTGCAGATGCAAAAATGCAGTTGGGTATTACTCAAAGTAAACTTCAGAGTCTGAGAGATGAAGGAGATTCAGGCTGCACTGAAGGGGACTGCAGGCTTAAAGATTACTGATCTGGAAAAGACAGAAGAAAAGGCATTGGTCAGTCTTCTGAGTGACTTAGGGTGGAGAGAAAGGCTGAAATAGCATCTCTCCTCACCACTTTTATCTGGTCCTCTGTGTTCTGGCACCTGTCAGAGGTGCCACACATGGATGCAAGCATGACCTTCACCCATGGATTGGGAGAACCTAGTCAGCAGAATTAGTCATGTTTACCTCTGCAGGGACATAGCCTTCCATGCTGCTTGTTTCCTAGACCCTGTTGGCCCATAAAGTTCCCAGGGTGCCATAGGGGTCTTGGGAAATATTGAAATTCCAGAGAATTGGACCGACTCACTTTCAAACATAAAATCCCCTTTTTGTTAAAACACTAATGTAGTTGGATGCAGAATAGGTGCCTCAAAAGAACATAAAGATTGGCTGTTTTCTTGACCTTTTTTTTTTTTTGAGATGGAGATTCACTCTTGCTGCCCAGGCTGGGGTGCAATGGTGTGATCTTGGCTTACTGCAATCTCCACCTTCCAGGTTCAAGTGATTCTCCTGCCTCTGCTTCCCAAGTATCTGGGACTACAGGCACCTGCCACAACACTGGCTAATTTTGTACTTTTAGTAGAGATGGGGTTTCACCATGTAGGTCAGGCTATTCTCAAATTTGTGACCTCAGGTGATCCACCTGCCTTGGCCTCCCAAAGTGCTGGGATTACAGGCATGAGTCACCATGCCCAGTGTTTCCTGACTGCTAAAGGTAGAGATTCACTGTTTACAGAAAGAGCATGGAGCCTGATCTCTAATAGATGGAGGTAGGAGGGTGAGGAATTGGGGAACTGAAGGGTCCACAACAAGGATAAAAATATTTCATTTGACTTGGTGCTGTAAGATCTGAGATATAATAACTCAAATTCTTTAAATTCTTTCCAGCAGAAGTTAGAAAGTGAGGTTTGTGGTTTAATCAGGAATTCACATGATATGCCTCCCAGTGAAGGGAAATTAACTTTTCTCATTAAAAAAACTGTTTAAATTTATTGGGTAGTGCTCAGCTTTTACATGGAGAAAAAAAAACAACCCAATTGGACAGGGAGGAGAGCATTCATTTAGTGTGAAATATTCTCCTATGTAGTGTACAAATGTGTATAATTGGAGACAAAAAGTACCCACTAGATGAGGTTTACACTGAAATTCTGAGGTCTTCTTGACCAAGGAAATCACAGAAGCAGCAATTCTTCAAGTTACATTCCTGATTACTAAGGCACTGGCTAACTTTACCCAACAATATTACATCCTTAGGCTGTAAAAAAACACCCACAGTATTGCACAGAAGAAGGGATAGTAGACATGAAAGCTGTGAAAAGAAAAAAAGTGCAAAAAAATTCTGAAATTCCTGGTGCTGATACAAGACAGGCTGTCAGAGTCTGGAGTTAGCCCAAGGAACTTCAGGTAACACTGAGGTGTATCCTTGGTCAGAAATCTTTCTTTGCTTTATGACCTCCTTT
The DNA here is from genome assembly GCF_000001405.40 of Homo sapiens. Taxonomy (NCBI): domain Eukaryota; kingdom Metazoa; phylum Chordata; class Mammalia; order Primates; family Hominidae; genus Homo; species Homo sapiens. The sequence continues at coordinate 19,844,471 of NC_000024.10, forward strand.
CAAATTCACATGATGGTTAGATCCTCCATGAAAGCAAACTGGACTGAAACAGACTCAACATTCCCAAAACCCAATGACAACTGGGCACAAAGAGTGAGGTTGAAGTGAAAGTTTAAAAAGCAAATAGGAAGGCTCTTTGTACTGTAAAGAGGAGCTGAGGGGGCTGTTATTCTTAGAGTTAAATCCAAAAGCTTTTATGAGAATCTCCTCTCATCTTTGTAGCTGTTTGGATAACTTTTCTAATTTGAAAAGCTTTCTATACAATTTTTCTCTTATTTATGTAGGTGTTAGCATGTCTCTAAGCAAGCACAAAGAGACACTTCTCTTGTTTGTATAACTGGTTTTGTTTTAGGGAAGCCTTCTTCCTCCTTGTGCAAGTTCCCATGGAGCTGATTATGTATATTCCCAAAAATAGAAGGAAAGTTTTTCCTGGGAGCCTACTAATTCCACAAAAAGAAGTCTTTTCTGCTGGGCCTTGCCTGCTTATTTTTGCTTGTAGATGTGACTTTTTTAGGTAGGTTGCTTCTACAAGGACTAGCCTCAGTGATCTACCTGATTTTTACTCATGTTCTTCCTCACCATGGCCAACAATGTGGGCAGATGAGAATGAGAAACGCCTGAAAGCTATGCTTGCTTTCTTGCAGGGGAAGCTTATAACCTGGAACAAGTTTTGAATCTGACGTGTGCACATTGTCTGTAGATAAACTTGGTTCTGTGAGTGCAGCACAGAGAAAGTGAGACTGGCCTCACCAACTGCCTGGTAGCTGGGCAAGATCTATTTCTACTGGCTTGCCCCCACTTTCCTAGTGACAGAGGCAGCCATACTACCCTCTGGAACATAACCTCATTTGCCCATGAACCACTCCTATTTCTCACTGGCTAATTTTATACTTTTAGTGCAGACAGGGTTTCACCATGTAGGTCAGGCTATTCTCAAGTATTCTCAGCAAGCCCTGTCCAAGCAGTGTCTGATCTCAGACCTGCCTAACTCTGACCCCATCTGATTTAAATTTTCTACCTACCATGGTAGCTGAGTACAAAAGACATAAATTTGTGGAAACTTTTATTGCTCTGTCCATCACATGAGTTACCAGCATACTTATCTTGGCCAACTTAGGGAGCCTTTTATTTTCTTGCCACTATTGCAGTTGGTGCTCTCTTGAAAGTGCCGCCTCCTCGCTGGTGGCCAATTAACTAAGGAAATTACAGCAACTCATGACAGAATAACCTTGCTTCAAGCAAGGATAAAACAACAGCTAATTCCAGTGCCTGCAACAAGCTGACTAATGAAAGTCTCTGAGCCTGCCCACATGAAACTCTACTGCTAGCATAATTAGTATTTGAGACAGTCAGCACACTAAACATATCTATAACAAAGGACTCTCTCAGAGTCTACTTCACACCCAGGCTACCTTCACCAGAGCAGGTGTTGATTTTGCTGGGAGAACTGAAGATAGATCACATCACAATATTCTTTGAAAAATTCTCAATCACAAGTCCAATGCCTGGCAGTCACACTGGGTGTGGGTGGACCCAAAAATGCCAAAACATTAACTGCCACCTAGCTCTCACAAAACTCCATTTCTAGGGGAAGGAGAAGCACAACACATCAAGGGATCATCTTGTGTTACAAAATAACTTAATAGCATCCCGTGAGTTCCAGATTTTTTTCAATGAAGTACTCTACACAATTGAAAAGGAAACATAAAAATAATTTGGTATTATGACAAAACAAGGTTCTATAACATCCACAAAAGACCATACTAGCTACCCAGTAATGGATTCAAACCAAGAAGAAATCTCTAAATTGCCAGCTTAAAAATTTGGAAGGTTGATTATTAAGCTACTAAAAATGATACCAAAGAAATGTGAAAATGAAATTAAAGAAATAAAAAAGATATGGATAAAAACTAATCTCCAGAAGTTGATACTTTAAAGAAAAAAGAACCACAATTTCTGGAGATGAAAGACACACTTAGAGGAGTACAAAATGCACTTCAAACTGTCAATAATAGACTAAAACAAGTAGAATAAAGAACCTCAGAGCTCAAAGGCAAAGTTTTTGAATTAACTCAATGAAACAGAGACAAAGAAACAAGAATATTTAAAAAATCAACAAAGCCTCCAAGAAATTTGGGATTATGTTAAAGAGCAAACCTAATAATAACTGATATTTCTGAGAAAGAAGAGAAATCTAAAAAAATTGAAAATACATATTTGAGGAAATAATTAAAAAATAATTTCCTGGCTTCACTACAGATCTAAATACCCAAATACAAGGAGCTAAAAAGAACAATTGGGAAATTTATTGCACAAAAAGTTAGTCATCAGGTTATCTACAGTCAAGGTAAAGAAAAGAGCCTTAAAAACTGTTGAGAAGAGTTAGCTAGCTTGTCTTAGGTACACAGCAATGAAAGGGTCCCCAGAAAGCCTCTGACCCACAGGTCAGTGCCTAGTCCCCACATAATATATGAAGTATCCTGTGAAAAAAAATCAAGCTGCAGGCACAGCTAAAAAAAAACTAGTACAGAAGGTTGTGCCTGGAGATATGCCCACAGTTGTGCAGAGAGGAGAACCTCCAGCCCATTTAGAATAGAACTTGCATAAACTTCTGACCTACTCAGATAAGGGAACAAGACCTGACATAGAAATGCCTTTGGCCTCCGTATAATTAGTTGACTTCCAGTAGAAAGTTTCTTCTCCTTTTATGGGCATAATCACATGGGCTTTAGTGGGTTCTGGTGGCCACTTTGCTTTTCTTTTTAGACTGTGAACCCAACTTCTATGAATTATCACTTTGGCTCCTGGTTGGTCCCAGGCCAAGGTTCCCAGCCCAGCTTTCACTTCTGCTCCTGACAGGTTGCTGGTCAAGCTGAGTAGCCCCAATGTATCATCATTTCAGCTCCTAATTGGTTCCAGGACAACGTCTGGGGTCAAGCAAGCTGAATCATGCTTTGTCTCAGAGGGCTTACAGAAAAAGTACATTCTTTTCTATTCCCAGTCCATAAAAACCCCAGACCTCAGCATAATTGTGGACAATTCATTTGGGCCCCTTCTGCACTGGTGGAATCTTTCTTCTTTTGCTTATTGAACTCTTCCTCCAAGTTCACCATTGTTTCCATATTTCTTACTTACATTGGATGTAATACAAAGAACTCTGGTATTATCTCAGACAACGAGAGACTGTTGCATCTTCATGTAGTGGTGAATATACAACAAGAAATACCTGGGAAATGTAACACAAAAATATCATCATCTTGGCACATATCATCAGGTTACCTAAATTCAAGATTGAAAAGAGCTCTGAAGTAAAAGCTTGAGTTAACCTATAAAGGAAAACCTATCATATTAACTGCAAATTTCTTAGCAAAAATCCTATAAGTCAAAATGGATTGTGGTCGTACCTTACCTCCTCATACAAAATAATTGTTAGCCAAGAATTTTTTATTCAGTAAAACTAAGCTTGATAAATTAAGGTAAGATTAAATCTTTTTCAAACAAATGCTGTGACAATTCACCTCTATCAAGCCAGCAATATAAGAAATGCTAAACTGTAAGTTGTAAATCTTGAAACAAATTCTCCAAATACATCAAAATAAAACCTGTTTAAGCACAAATTTTACAGGACCTATTACAAAACTTATTCAGGCAACACAACAAAAAGGTATTCCAGAAACAACTAGCATTATGAATAAAACAGCACCTCACATCTTAATATTAATGTTGAACGTAAATGTCCTAAATACTCTACTTAAAAGATACAGAATGGCAGAATAGATACAAATTCACCAGCCAAGTGTCTGCTGTCTTCAAGAGATCCACCTGTCCAGGTGCGGTGGCTCAGGCCTGTAATCCCAGCACTTTGGGCAGCTGAGGCAGATGGATCATGAAGTCAGGAGTTCAATTTTACCCTGGTCATCATGGTGAAACCCCATCTTTACTAAAAATACAAAAATTAGCTAGGCATGGTAGTTCACACCTATAATCCCAGCTCCTCAGGAGGCTGGGGCAGAAGAATTGCTTGAACCCAGGAGGCAGAGGAGGTAGTAGTGAGCTGAGATCATGCCACTGAACTACAGCCTGAGTTAAAGGTGAGACTCCATCTCAAAAAAAAAAAAAAAAGGAAAAAAAGTGGGAAGGATTAGTCATTCTTAGATTAAACAAAACAGACTTCAAGATAATTAAAAAACCCAAAGAATCACAATATGCAATAATGAAAGGACAAATTTATCAGGAAAATATCACAGTCCTAAACACTTACATCTAAGACTGAAACTCCTGAATTTATTTAACAATTATTACTAGGCCTATGGAATAAGTTAGACAGCCACACAATAATAGTGGAGAGACTTCAGTACACCATTGATAGCACTAGACAGTTCATCAAGACAGAATGTTAACAAAGAAATAATGTACTTAAACTATACCCTAGAACAAATGAACTTAACATGTATTTCCAGATTTTTCTACCCAAGGACTGTAGAATATATCTTTTCATTAGCACATGCAACTATCTCCAATATGGACCATATGATACAACACAGATCAAATCACAATATACTTAAGAAAGTCAAAATTATATCAAGTACCCTCTCAGACCATAGTGGAATAAACCTAGAAGTCAACTACAAAAAGAACCCTCAAAGCTATACAAAAGCACAGAAATTGAATATTCTTGTGATGGAAAATATTGAGTGTCAACTTGATTGAACTGAAGAATGAAAAGTATTGTGCCTTAGTGTGTCTGTGAGGGTGTTGCCAAAGTAGTAGAGAAGATCCAAATAATCTCACAGAGGGTTAACATTTGAGTCAGTGGACTGGGAGAGAAAAATTCACCCTCAATCTGGGTGGGCAGCATCTCATCAGTGGCCAGCATAGGCAGGATAAAAGCAAGAAGAGAAATGTGAAAGAACAAGACTGTGCCAGGTGCAATGGCTCATGCCTGTAATCCTAGCACTTTGGGAGGCTGAGGTGGCTGCATCACAAGGTCAGGAGATCGAGATCATCCTGGCTAACACAGTGAAGCCCTGTCTGTACTAAAAATACAAAAAATTAGCCGGGCATGGTGGCAGGCACCTGTAGTCCCAGTTACTCAGGAGGTTGAGGCAGGAGAAGGCCATGAACCCGCGATGCAGAGCTTGAAGTGACCCAAGATCCTGCCACTGCACTCCAGCCTGGGCTACAGAGTGAGAATTTGTCTCAAAAAAAAAAAAAAAAAAAAAGAACAAGACCGGCTGAGTATTTTTCCTCCATCTTTCTCCTATGCTGGATGCTTCCTGAACTCTAACCTGAGATTCAAAGTTCTTCAGCTTTTTTACTCTTGGACTTACAACAGTAATTGCCGAGGGGATAATAGGCCTTTGACCACAGACTGAGGCTACATTATCAGCTTTCCTACTTTTGTGATTTTGGGACTCAGACTGGCTTCTTTTCTCCAAAGCTTGTAGATGGCCTATTGTGGGACTTCAACTTGTGATCATGTGGGTCAATTCACATAATAAACTCCTTTTCATATATTCATCTATCCTATTGGTTCTGTCCCTTTAGAGAACCCAGACTAATACAAAATCTTGTAAATGATCCTGAGTTGACTATGGAATAAAGATAGTAATTAAAAAACTCTTTGAGTGGGGAGGAGCCAAGATGGCTGAATAGGAAGAGCTCTGGTCTACAGCTCCCAACATGAGTGACACAGAAGACGGGTGATTTCTGCATTTCCATCTGAGGTACTGGGTTCATCTCACTAGGGAGTGCCAGACAGTGGGTGCAGGTCAGTGGGTGCATGCAACATGTGTGAGCTGAAGCAGGTTGAGGCATTGCCTCACTCAGGAAGTGCAATGGGTCAGGGAGTTCCCTTTCCTAGTTAAAGAATGGGGTGACAGATGGCACCTGGAAAATCGGGTCACTCCCACCCGAAGACTGCACTTTTCTGACGGGCTTAAAAAATGGTGCACCAGGAGATTATATCCTGCACCTGGCTCGGAAGGTCCTATGCCCATGGAGTCTCAATGATTGCTAGCAGAGCTGTCTGAGATCAAACTGCAAGTCAGCAGTGAGGCTGGGGGAGGGGCGTCTGCCATTGCCCAGGCTTCCTTAGGTAAACAAAGCAGCCGGGAAGCTCCAACTGGGTGGAGCCCACCACAGCTCAAGGAGGCCTGCCTGCCTTTGTAGGCTCCACCTCTGGGGGCAGGGCACAGACAAACAAAAAGACAGCAGTAACCTCTGCAGACTTAAATGTCCCTGTCTGACAGCTTTGAAGAGAGCAGTGGTTCTCCCAGCACACAGCTGGAGATCTGAGAACAGGCAGACTGCCTCCTCAAGTGGGTCCCTGACCCCTGACCCCCAAGCAGCCTAACTGGGAGGCACCCCATAGCAGGGGCAGACTGATACCTCATATGGCCGGGTACTCCAACAGACCTGCAGCTGAAGATACTGTCTCTTAGAAGGAAAACTAACAAACAGAAAGGACATCCATACCAAAAACCCATCTGTACATCACCGTCATCAAAGACCAAAAGTAGATAAAACCACAAAGATGGGGATAAAACAGAGCAGAAAAACTGGAAAGTCTAAAAAGCAGAGCACCTCTCCTCCTCCAAAGGAATGCAGTTCCTCACCAGCAATGCAACAAAGCTGGATGGAGAATGACTTTGATGAGTTAAGAGAAGAAGGCTTCAGATGATCAAATCACTCTGAGCTACAGGAGGACATTCAAATAAAAGGCAAATAAGTTGAAAACTTTGAAAAAAATTAGAAGAATGTATAACTAGAATAACCAATACAGAGAAGTGCTTAAAAGAGCTGATGAAGCTGAAAACCAAGGCTCAAGAACTATGTGAAGAATTCAGAGGCCTCAGGAACCGATATGATCAATGGGAAGAAAGGGTATCAGTGATGGAAGATGAAATGAATGAAATGATGTGAGAAGGGAAGTTTAGAGAAAAAAGAATAAAAAGACATGAACAAAGCCTCCAAGAAATATGGGACTATGTGAAAAGACCAAATCTACGTCTGATTGATGTACCCAAAAGTGACGGGGAGAATGGAAACAAGTTGGAAAACACTCTGCAGGATATTATCCAGGAGAACTTCCCCAATCTAGCAAGGCAGGCCAACATTCAGATTCAGGAAATACAGAGAACGCCACAGAGATACTCCTCGAGAAGAGCAACTCCAAGACACATAATTGTCAGATTCACCAAAGTTGAAATGAAGGAAAAAATGTTAAGTGCAGCCAGAGAGAAAGGTCAGGTTACCCTCAAAGGGAATCCTATCAGACTAACAGCGGATCTCTCAGCAGAAACCCTACAAGCCAGAAAAGAGTGGGGGCCAATATTCAACATTCTTAAATAAAATAATTTTCAACCCAGAATTTCATATACAGCCAAAATAAGCTTCATAAGTGAAGGAGAAATAAAATCCTTTACAGACAAGCAAATGCTGAGAGATTCTTTCACCATCTGGCCTACCCTAAAAGAGCTCCTGAAGGAAGCGCTAAACATGGAAAGGAAAAACTGGTACCAGCCACTGCAAAATCATGCCAAAATGTAAAGACCATCGAGACTAGGAAGAAACTGCATCAACTAATGAGAAAAATAACCAGCTAACATCATAATGACAGGATCAAATTCACACATAACAATACTAATTTTAAATGTAAATGGACTAAATGCTCCAATTAAAAGACACAGACTGGCAAATTGGATAAAGAGTCAAGACCCATCAGTGTGTTGTATTCAGGAAACCCATACACGTGCAGAGACATGCATAGTCTCAAAATAAAAGGATGGAGGAAGATCTACCAAGCAAATGGAAAAGAAAAAAAGGCAGAGGTTGCAATCTTAGTCTCTGATAAAACAGAATTTAAAGCAACAAAGATCAAAAGAGACAAAGAAGGCCATTATATAATGGTAAAGGGATCAATTCAATAAGAAGAGTTAACTATCCTAAATATATATGCACCCAATACAGGAGCACCCAGATTCATAAAGCAAGTCCTGAGTGACCTACAAAGAGACTTAGACTCCCACACGTTAATAATGGGAGATTTTAACACCCTACTGTCAACATTAGACAGATCAATGAGACAGAAAGTTAACAAGGATACCCAGGAATTGAACTCAGCTCTGCACCAAGCGGACCTAATAGACATCTACAGAACTTTCCATCCCAAATCAATAGAATATACATTTTTTTCAGCACCACACCACACCTATTCCAAAATTGACCACATATGTGGAAGTAAAGCTCTCCTCAGCAAATGTAAAAGAACAGAAATTATAACAAACTGTCTCTCAGACCACAGTGCAATCAAACTAGAGCTCAGGATTAAGAATCTCACTCAAAACAGCTCAACTACATGGAAACGGAACAACCTGCTCCTGAATGAGTACTATGTACACAACGAAATGAAGGCTGAAATAAAGTTGTTCTTTGAAACCAACAAGAACAAAGACACAACATACCAGAATCTCTGGGATGCATTCAAAGCAGAGTGTAGAGGGAAATTTATAGCACTAAATGCCCAGAAGAGAAAGCAGGAAAGAACCAAAATTGACACCCTAACATCACAATTAAAAGAACTAGAAAAGCAAGAGCCAACATGTACAAAAGCTAGCAGAAGGCAAGAAATAACTAACATCAGAGCAGAACTGAAGCAAATAGAGACAAAAAAAAAAAAACCCTTCAAAAAATTAATGAATCCAGGAGCTGGTTTTTTGAAAGGATCAACAAAATTGATAGACCACTGGCAAGACTAATAAAGAAAAAGAGAAGAATCAAATAGATGCAATAAAAAATGATAAAGGGGATATCACCACAGATCCCACAGAAATACAAACTACCATCAGAGAATACTACAAACACCTCTACACAAATAAACTAGAAAATCTAGAAGAAATTGATAAATTCCTTGACACATACACACTCCCCAGACTAAACCAGGAAGAAGTTGAATCTCTGAATAGACCAATAACAGGATCTGAAATTGTGGCAATAATCAATAGCTTACCAATCAAAAAGAGTCCAGGACCAGATGGATTCACAGCCAAATTCTATGAGAGGTACAAGGAGGAACTGGTACCCTTCCTTCTGAAACTATTCCAATCAATAGAAAAAGAGGGAATCCTCCCTAACTCATTTTATGAGGCTAGCATCATCCTGATACCAAAGCCTGGCACAGACATGACCAAAAAAGAGAATTTTAGACCAATATTCTTGATGAACATTGATGCAAAAATCCTCAGTAAAATACTGGCAAACCGAATCCAGCAGCACATCAAAAAACTTATCCACTGTGATCAAGTGGGCTTCATCCCTGGTATGCAAGCCTGGTTCAATATACGCATATCAATAAATGTAATCCAGCATATAAACAGAACCAAAGACAAAAATCACATGATTATCTCAATAGATGCAGAAAAGGCCTTTGACAAAATTTAACAACCCTTCATGCTAAAAACTCTCAATAAATTAGGTACTGATGGGATGTATTTCAAAATAGTAAGAGCTATCTATGACAAACCCACAGCCAATGTCATACTGAATGGGCAAAAACTGGAAGCATTCCCTTTGAAAACTGGCAAAAGACAGGGATGCCCTCTCTCACCATTCCTAATCAACATAGTGTTGGAAGTTCTGGCCAGGGCAATTAGGCAGGAGAAGGAAATAAAGGGTATTCAATTAGGAAAAGAGGAAGTCAAATTGTCCCTGTTTGCAGATGACATGATTGTATATCTAGAAAACCCCATTGTCTCAGCGCAAAATCTCCTTAGCTGATAAGCAACTTTGGCAAAGTCTCAGGATACAAAATCAATCTACAAAAATCACAAGCTTTCTTATACATCAAAAACAGACAAACAGAGAGCCAAATCATGAGCAAACTCCCATTCACAATTTCTTCAAAGAGAATAAAATACCTAGGAATCCAACTTACAAGGGATGTGAAGGACCTCTTCAAGGAGAACTACAAACCACTGCTCAAGGAAATAAAAGAGGATACAAACAAATGGAAGAACATTCCATGCTCATGGGTAGGAAGAATCAATATCGTGAAAATGGTCATACTGCCGAAGGTAATTTACAGATTCAATGCCATTCCCATCAAGCTACCAATGACTTTCTTCACAGAATTGGAAAAAAACTACTTTAAAGTTCACATGGAACCAAAAAAGAGCCTGCATCGCCAAGTCACTCCTAAGCCAAAAGAACAAAGCTGGAGGCATTGCGCTACCTGATTTCAAACTATACTACAAGGCTACAGTAACCAAAACAGCATGGTACTGGTATCAAAACAGAGATATAGATCAATGGAACAGAACAGAGCCCTCAGAAATAATGCTGCATATCTACAACTATCTGATCTTTGACAAACCTGACAAAAACAAGCAATGGGGAAAGGATTCCCTGTTTAATAAATGGTGCTGGGAAAAGTGGCTAGCCATATGTAGAAAGCTGAAACTGGATCCCTTCCTTACACCTTATACAAAAATCAGTTCAAGATGGATTAAAGACTTAAACGTTAGACCGAAAACCATAAAAACCCTAGAAGAAAACCCAGGCATTACCATTCAGGACACAGGCATGGGCAAAGACTTCATGTCTAAACACAAAAAGCAATGGCAACAAAAGCCAAAATTGACAAATGGGATCTAATTAAACTAAAGAGCTTCTGCACAGCAAAAGAAACTACAATCAGAGTGAACAGGCAACCTACAAAATGGGAGAAAATTTTCACAACCTACTCATCTGACAAAGGGCTAATATCCAGAATCTACAATGAACTCAAACAAATTTACAAGAAAAAACAAACAACCCCATCAAAAAGTGGGCAAAGGACATGAACAGACACTTGTCAAAAGACATTTATGCAGCCAAAAAACACATGAAAAAATGCTCACCATCCCTGGCCATCAGAGAAATGCAAATCAAAACCACAATGAGATACCATCTCATACCGGTTAGAATGGCAATCATTAAAAAGTCAGGTAACAACTGGTGCTGGAGAGGATGTGGAGAAATAGGAACACTTTTACACTGTTGGTGGGACTGTAAACTACTTCAACCATTGTGGAAGTCAGTGTGGTGATTCCTCAGGCATCTAGAACTAGAAATACCATTTGACCCAGCCATCCCATTACTGGGTATATACCCAAAGGATTATAAATCATGCTGCTATAAAGTCACATGCACACGTATGATTATTGCGGCACTATTCACAATAGCAAAGACTTGGAACCAATTCAAATGTCCAACAATGATAGACTGGATTAAGAAAATGTGGCACATATACACTATGGAATACTATGCAGCCACAAAAAATGATGAGTTCATGTCCTTTGTAGGGACATGGATGAAATTGGAAATCATCATTCTCAGTAAACTATCGCAAGAACAAAAAACCAAACACCGCATATTTCCACTCATAGTTGGGAATTGAACAATGAGAACACATGGACACAGGAAGGGGAACATCACACTCTGGGGACTGTTGTGGGGTGGGGGAGGGGGGAGGGATGGCATTGGGAGATATACCTAATGCTAGATGACGAGTTAGTGGGTGCAGCGCGCCAGCATGGCACATGTATACATATGTAACTAACCTGCACATTGTGCACATATAACCTAAACCTTAAAGTATAATAAAAAAAAAATTCTTTGAACTGAATTACATTAGTGACACAACTTATCAAAACCTCTGGGATACAGCAAAAGCAGTACTAAGAGGAAAGTTTATGGCATTAAATATCTACATCAAAAGTTGGAAAATGCAAAAATAGACAATATAAGGTCGCATTTCAAGGAACTAGAGAAATAAGAGCAAGCCAAACCCAGACAAACAAAGAAAAGAGATAACGAAGATAATAGCAGAGCTAAGTAAAATGGAAACAAAAGCAATACAAAAGATAAATGTAACCAAAAGCCAGTTATTTGAAAAAATAAAAAGATTGATAGACTGTTAGTGAGACTAATTTAGAAAAGAGAAGATCCAAAGAAGTTCAATTGGAAACAAAACAAGAGATATTATGACCAATACCACAGAACTCCAAACATCTGGGACTACAGGCTCATGCCCCCATACCTGGCTCATTTTTTGTATTTTTATTGGAGACGGGGTTTCACCATGTTAGCCAGGCTGGTCTCCATCTCCTGACCTTGTGACTTGCCTGCTGCGGCCTTCCAAAGTCTGGAGTTGCAGGCATGAGCCACCTCTTCTGGCCTTCAATTTGTTTTGGTAGTTGCTGATAAGAGTATATCCTTTTAATCTTTAATGTTTTTTTAAAGACCTTTTATAAGGGAGTTCCAGTGGTAATGAATTATCTCAGCATACACTTGTCTGAAAAATATCCTATTTCCACCTCAGAAAGCTTAATTTGGCTGTATATAAAATTTTTGTCTTTTTTTTCTTTAAGAATGGTGAACACTGGGCTCCCAATCTCTTCTGGCTGGCAGGATATCTGCTGAAACATCTTCTTTTAACCGAATGTGGTTTCCTTTGTACTTACATGCCCTTCCTCTCTAACTGCCTTTAGCATTTTAAAATTCATTTAGACCTTGGAGAATCTGATTACTGTGTTTCTTTGGGATGATCTTCTTGTGCAGTATCTCATGTGGGTTATTTGCAATTCCTGAATTTGAATCTTGGCCTCTCTAGTGAAGCTGGAAAGTTCTTCTTGAACATGTTTTCAAAGTTGTTTGCTTTCGCCACAATTTTTTCAGAATGCCAGTGTATTACAGGTTTGGTCTTTTTACACAATTCCATACTTCTCAGAAGTTTTCTTTGTTCTTTTTAGTTTAATTCTGTCTAAGTTAGTTAGCAGAATGTGTTGTCAAGCTCTGAGATTCTTTCCTCAGTTGGATTTTTTTTTGCTATTAATACTTACGATTACATTATACAATTTTTGTAATGTGTTTTTCAGCTTTATTACATCAGTTTAGTTCTGTCTTATACTGGCCAGTTCATCTGCCAGCTCCTGTATCATTTTATTGTATTTCTTAGGTTTCTTAAATTACACACAGATTTTACTTTAAATCACAGTCATCTTCATTTCTATCCATATTTTAAATTGTATTTCAATTTTTGCAGCTATTTCAGCCTGCTTAAGAATCCTTCCTGAAGAAGTTGTGTGATATTTTTCATGAAAAGAAGACACCAAGGACTTTCGAGTTGCCAAAGTTCTTGAACTGGTGTTTGATTACATAGTATTTTAAAATATTTTTCTGTATTTATACATTTATATGTATATATAATTTTGTGAACATCTATAGACCTATTTATAGGATGTTTTAATAATCAAGTTATTCACCAACATTAAGAAATCACTATTTTCATGTTGGTTGAACAATTATTTCTATATGCAAAGCAAACTTGGGCAAAAGAATTCAGTAGAAAAAGCAAAGTACAGTAGGATGTTTGCATAGGTTATCTATAAATAGAAAAAAAAAAGGTGAAACCAGAAACAATTAAATCAAACAAACAAACCTGAACTGAAAACCCATTGAACATTTGTCAAGTGTATTATGTATTAGAAGATATATGACAACAGTGTGTTAAGTCTAGTTCTTTTCTGAGGAGTGTGTATCCAGACTTTTCCTTTTTAGACAACTTATTTCTTTACACTTGGGATGGCTTAAGGGAAAGAAGGCCGTATATCAATACCTACTATTTCTTCACTAACAAAAGAAACAGTATGAAAAGACTTTAGAGTTTATATTCTCCAACTGTCTAGTGATCAAATCCCTTCTCAAGATGGTACTTGTCTTTACTAGGCAGAAGCAGGGAACTTCTCCCATTATGAGGCATGCCACATTTTAGCTTCCACTGTTTATCAGCCTTTTTAAATATTAAGCTGAATTGTTTCTCCATATTCTAACTTTGTCATATGAAGCAAACCTCTTCTAATACCTCTTCTGTATAATGAGTTTTATTAATTTTTTACATACACACATATTTTTAAAAAATATTTGAAAATTTATTGCTTTAGGTTTACATACTTCAAGACATTTTAATTCTACATACTTGAATATATATCTTAAAGGAACAAGAGATTATCCTCATTTCCACAACATATAGTCAAGGAATTTAACATTGACATAACATTATTCTCTCATGTAATTTTACACATTTCTTTTAAAAAGTTCTTCAATTGTCCTTATGCATTCTACTATTTATTTATTTATTTTTTTTAAGACCGAGTCTCGCTCTGTTGCCCAGGCTGGAGTACAGTGGCTTGATCTCAGCTCACTGCAAGCTCCTTCTCCTGGGTTCACACCCTTCTCCCACCTCACCATCCTGAGTAGCAGGGACTATAGATGCCTACCGCCACACCTGGTTGATTTTGTTTTTGTATTTTTACATTTACATTGGAGTTTAGTTCCTGTTTGGTTCTCAGCATGAATGTTATTGAAATATGAAAATATTACTAGCTTTTGTACATTTATTCTGTACAGTGAAAGTCTGCATGGGTTTTCACCATGTTAGCCAGGATGGTCTCGATCTCCTGACGTCATGATCTGCCCTCCTTGGCCTCCCAAAGTGCAGGGAATACAGGTGTGAGCCCCTGCACCCAGCCTACTTTTTTAAAATTTCAACATATTTTTGGGTAAAAGTGATTTTTGGTTACATGAGTAAATTATGTAGTGGTGAAGTCTGAGATTTTAGTGCAGCCATCACCTGAGTAGAGCACATTTTACCAATTTCGTAAAATATTTTTTATTTTTATAGATTCAGGTTTATGTGTACGTGTCTGACAGGTAACTCTTCAACAGTCATCTCCTCTGACATCCTCCCTTTTGAAATTTCCAGTGTCTATTATTTTTCTCTGTGTGTCCATGTCATCTCACTGTTTAACTCACAGTTATAAGTGAGAACATATAGTATTTGATTTTCTCTTCCTTAGCTATTTTTGTTACTGGTTTAATTTTGTTACTCATTATATGTCTGTTTAGGGTTCATAAGTATACCTTGGTCAATTTTGGGAGGCTGTATGCTTTCAGGAATTTAATTATTTTGTTCACTTTTCCAGTTTGTTCATGTAGAAATGCTCATAGTCATTTTTAATAATCTTTCGTATTCCTATAGTATCAGCTACAATGTTACCTTTATTCTTTCTGATTGTGCTTACTTAAATCTTCCTTTTTTCATATTTAATCTTACTAGCAGTCTATTATTTTGTTTGCTTTTTAAACAATTTTTTGGTTTATTATTCCTTTGTATTGCTTTTCTAAATTATCTCAATTCTATTTAGTTTCTGATGTTTGTTATATATTTATTTCTGCTAACTTTGGGTGTTCTTGTAATTTTATTTTCTTGGGGTAAAATAAATGATTGTTAATTGGAGATATTTCTAACTTTTTTACGTAGACATTTAACACTATAAACTTTTCTTTTTTGCACTTCTTGCAAGGGTTTCCACACCACAAAGAGGGTTTTGTGTGTTGTGTGATAATTTAAATTTCAAAATTTTTTGATCTCTGCTTTAATTTTCCCATATACTCAAAGGTTATTTAGAAGCAAGTTATTTAGTTTCTATATAATCACATAGATTTGAGTTATTATTGTATAGATTTGTAATTTTATTATTTTATGATTATTAAGAGCTTTAGTACTCACTGTGGTTTATTTTATAATTTTTTATTTTGTGGGTTTATATTTGATGTATATATTTATGTGTTAGATGAGATACAGTCATGCAATATTTAGTAACCACGTAACGGAAAATTGGGTATCCCCCTCCTCAAGGATTTATTCTTTATGTTATGAACAATCTAATTATGCTCTTTTATCTATATTAAGGTGTATAATGAAAGTACTAATGACTATAGTTTCCCTGTTGTGCTATCAAATACTAGGTCTCATTCATCTTTTCCGACTTGTTTGGTACCGATTTGCCATGTCCATATTCTCCCCAACTCTCATCTATCCTTCTCAGTCCCTGGTAATTATCTCTTTCCTCCTTATCTCCATGAGTTTAATTGTATTGACTACTTTAGCTCTTAGACATAAATGAAAAAAACAATGTCAATCTTTTTGTGCCTGGTATATCTCATTTTAACATATTGACCTTCAGGTCCACCAATGCTATTGCAAATTACAAAACCTCATTCACTTTTATGGCTGATTGGTACTCCATTGATCTTATGGATCACAGTTTTCTTCTAAATCTTGGCTATTGTGAACAGTGCTCCAAGAAACATGACAATGAATGTATCTTTGATATACTGATTTTCTTTCTTTTGTATATATAGCCAGCAGTGGTATTGCTAAATTATATGATAGCACTATTATAATTACTTATTTTCAAAAATGAATAATAAACTGTCTTTAACATTATACTTTGCTTTTTGATGTTTTGTTGTTTTTATTCATCTTTCTGTACTATGTCTTTCAAAGTTGTTGTAGTTATTTTTGATTGGTTGACTATTAAGTCTTTCTACTTAAGAGTAGTTTATACACCTCAGTTACAGTGTTATAACACTCTGTGTTTTTCTGTGTACTTAGTGTTAACAGTGAGTTTTTCCACCTTTGGAAGTTTCTCATTGCCCATTAATGTTATTTTATTTTAGATTAAATAACTCTTTTTATTTATTATTTATTTATTTATTTTTTAACAGATATGTGTTGATGAAGTCCCTCAGTTTTTGTTTGGAAAAGTCGTTATTTCTCCTTTATGCATAAAGAATATTTTCATTGGGTATACTATTCTAGCATCAAAAGTTTTCATTTCTCTTCAGCACTTTAAATATGTTATGCCTTTCTTTCTTGGCCTGTAAAGTTTCCACTGAAAGACTGCTGCGAGATGTATTGCATCTCCATTGCATATTACTTGTTAACTTTTTTCTTGTTGCTTTTTTTTTTTTTTTTTTTTGAGACGGAGTCTCGCTCTGTGGCCCAGGTGGGAGTGCAGTGGCGCAATCTCGGCTCACTGCAAGCTCCGCCTCCAGGGTTCACGCCATTCTCCTACCTCAGCCTCCCGAGTAGCTGGGACTACAGGCGCCCGCCATCACGCCCGGCTAAATTTTTTGTATTTTTAGTAGAGACGGGGTTTCACCTTGTTAGCCAGGATGGTCTCGATCTCCTGACCTCGTGATCCGCCCGCCTCGGCCTCCCAAAGTGCTGGGATTACAAGCGTGAGCCACCGCGCCCGGCCTTCTTGTTGCTTTTGAATCCTTTTTCAGTCTGGCTTTTGGGAGTTTGATTATTAAATTCCTTGAGGTAGTCTTTTTTGCATTAGATCTGCTTGGTGTTGTATCACTATCTACTTGAATGTTGATGTATTTCTGTAAGTTTGAAAAGTTCTTGTTATTTTCCCTTTGAAGAAAGTTTCCCCGTTTTTTTTTTTTTTTTTGCGATGAGGGGGATGGAGTCTCACTCTGTTGCCCGGGCTGGAGTGCACTGGCATTATCTTGGCTCACTGCAATCTCCACCTCCCGGGTTCATGCCATTCTCCTGCCTCAGCCTCCCAAGTAGCTGGGACTACAGGCACTTGCCACTACACCCAGCTAATTTTTTTGTGTTTTTAGTAGAGAGGGGGTTTCACCATGTTAGGCAGGATAGTCTTGATCTTCTGACCTCATGATCCTCCCACCTCGGCCTCCCAAATTGCTGGGATGACAGGCATGAACCACTACACCTGGCCCATGTCTCTTTTTCTACCTTCTCCTTAAAGTAAAAGCTAGTAACTCTTAGATTTCCCCTTTTCAGCTATTTTCTGGATCTGCTAGCCATGCCTTATTATTTTTTCTTTCTTAGTAATCCTCTGTATATATTCATATAGCCTGTCTTCATACTCACTAATATCCTCTTATGCTTGATCCGTTATGCTGTTAATAGACTCTGATGCATTCTTTAACATGTCAGTAGCATTTTCAACTCAATTTCTAATTGCTTCTTTTTCATGATTTTAGTCTCTTATGTAAATTTACTTAATGCATTTTACTTAATTTACTTATGTAAATTTACTTATGTATTTCCTTATGTAAATTTAGTTAATGACTTTCCCCTCTGTTATTTTGAATTTTTTTGCGTTCCCTCAAAACTGCTATTTTGAGTTCTCTGCCTGAAAAATCACATAGCTGTCTCTCCAGGAGTAGTCCCTAGTACCTTCTTTAGTTTATTTGATGAGGTCATGTTTCATGGATGGTCTTAATGCTTGTAGATGATTCTCAGTGTCTGTGCATTGAAGATTTTCCAATTTTGTTCATAAAAAGCATTCGAATAAATCCAAAACTTAACAAAATAATACCAAGTATCTTCTCACATCAAAGTTGAATAAAATTACAAATCAAAGGGATAGAGCAAGATGGCAGAATAGAAGCCTACACTCTTCATCATCCCACTGGAAAAGAAAATTTGTACAACTATTGTCACACAGGAAAGATCATCACAAGAATCAAAAAATTAAATAAGAAATAACAGTACCTGGTTTTAACCTCACATTGCTATAAGGGACACTAAGGAGGGCAAAAGAGATAATCTTTAATCACCAGTGCCACTCCTCCGGCACCAAGTCCATTCAAGTACTTGGGAAGTCTTCCCAAAAAAATACAGGCACAGAAAAAAAGCCATCTATGAAGACTTCAATACATACCTAGCTCTTCAATGCTCTTAATTTTTGGATTTATTGGAATGCTTTTTATGAAAAAGTATATGGTCAATTTTGGAAAATATTCAATGTAAACATGAGAAAAGCATATATTTTATAATAGTTGTTCACTATAATTAGTAAATATCTATTAGGTTTGAGTCCAATTTAATTCAAGTATTTATTTGTTATTTTTTCTCTTGATGATTTCTATTGTGTTTCAGTGGAATGCAGTAGTCTTATAGAATCCTATTGAATGGAACACTTTATATAACAAACTTTCTCTTTTTATTGCTGTTGTTGATTTAAAGTATCCTTTGTTTGAGATTATATAATAGCTACTCCTGCTACCTTTCTCTGTTTGCATAGTGTATTATTTTCTACCTTATTATGTCAAGTTCTGGAGTGTCTACCTGTTAGCTGTGTCTCTTTTAGGCAGCAGAGATTTGGAGCATGTGTTATCCTACAAGTCTTTTAAGAGGGGTTTTTAAACAATTTATATTTCAGGTTAATGTTGATATACAGGGTCTTTTTCCTCTCAACGTTACCTACTTGTTTTGTGGTGTCAGTTGTGCAGTTGCTTTATGGGATCTGTTAGCTTTGTATTTATGTGCCCTTTCATAATGCTGAATATTGTTCTTTCATTCCCATATTTAGAACTTCTTTGAGAATTCCTTGTAGAATGATCTCATGGTAACAAATTCCCTTCACATTTGCTCATTGGAAAAATAATTAACTTCTCCTTTACATGAGGCTTTATTTATCAGCATACAAAATATTTGGCTGCACTTTTTTCTTTAGGAAGACTGAAAATAGAATCTTATTCCTTCTGGCCTATAGGTTTTTCTACTAAATAAAGTCTATTGTCAATTTGATTGACTTTATTTTATATATGATTTGATTCTTCCTTCTTATTTCTTTCAGAATTTGTTCCTTCACATTTACTTTTGAATACTCTGATGATTATATGCCTTATTGATAATCATCTTGCAAAGCATCTTTCAGGTTATACTTCAGCTTATTTTAAAAGATCTAAATGGCTACAGTGATCAGAGAAGAGAAACTTTTTTTTCTGGATTATATTATCAAATGAGTTTTTCAAACTTTTTACTATTTATTGTTTTTTTCTCAAGGGTGCTTTAAGGGATACAAGACTTTAAGGTATAAATGGAAAGAGAAAAAGAAAGCCTGTAACTTATAGCATCTATCACTATGCACTCCCATATTTCTCGAAGCCTTTTCCCAGTTTTTATATTTTTTCCTTTTTTCATTTGTTTTTAAAGTTTTATATTTTTCTACTGGGATAGCTTAAAAGTCTTTTCTTCAAGTTCTGAATCTTTTTCTTCTGCTTGGTTTACTTTATTATAGCTTTCAATTGTATTTTGTAACTTGTGAGTAAATTTTTCTAGGTTTTTGTTTGGCTATTACCAGTTTATCTCTTCTTTCATATTTGCATTTTTTTTCTGATTTATTTGTGTTGATATCTGACTTTCTCATGGATCTCACTGAGCTTTCTTATAATCCATATTTGCACTTTTAAAAATCTGTTTTTACATAATTTTTATTTTAGTTAGAATCCATTACTGGAGACCTAATATGAATTTTCTCTTTACCCATAAGTGCAGAAATAACTGGGTCCTCTCCTACAAGAGCTTTACATGTATGTACCTTCAGCCCTCTGGAACATTTCAGGGTAACTACATCCCCACAGGAAGAGCATTCTTCAGGTTCAAGCATGCATGAAAGGTGGAGTAAAAATGCATCCCTACTTGGAATGTCAACGTACCTATAGATAAAAATGGTATTTGCCCAGTTTGAGCAGCCAGACCCTTGTTCAGAAGAAAGTCTGAGAGGTGGATCACTTTCCTGCAGGCCTGGCAAGGGAGATGAGGTTGTTTCCACCCTTTCCCTGATAAGATGTCAGTGTGTTTTACTGAGATCTCCCAAAGCAATCTCTGCCAACCTTCTGCTATTAAGTATTTCAACTATTAACCTGCTTTAGCTACAACCAATTTCTACCCAGAGAGACCTCCCCTAAAACCATGAAGCCTAAACTTTTAAATACAGTAAACAAAATGGAAACAAAATAAATAAATAAAATGTGCATGTAATGGGGGAACAAGGTGAGCTTAAAGAGACCTCTGTCATTTCAAACTTATAGGTAACAGTGAACTTGCTCTCACACTCAGTACACTTCTACTACAACCAGCATCTGAGAAAGCTATTACATAAAAATTTTCTCAGTCTGCACCCCTGAAAGCAGAAAGTGCCAAATTAGTCTAGAATAAGCTATAAGTATTAAAAAATATCATCCTTAAGGTGAAAAATTTCAAAACAGAAAATTTAGAAAATTAAAAATATGTATAACTTGTCTACCCAAATGAGAAGGAACCAGAAAAATAACTTTGGTAATATTAAAAAAAAAAAAAACAGGTTCTAAAACACTCCAAAAAGTTTACACTAACTCCTCAGCAATAGAGCCAAATCAAGATCAATATTCTCTGAAATACTGTGTCCAGAATTGGCTCCTTCTGGTGGGTTCTTGGTCTTGCTAACCTCAAGAATGAAGCCGCGGATCCTCACGGTCAGTGTTACAGTTCTTAAAGATGGTGTGTCTGGGGTTTGTTCCTTCAGATGTTCAGATGTGTCTGGTGTTTCTTCCTTCTGGTGGGTTCATGGTCTTGCTGACTTCAGGAGTGAAGACGCAGACCTTTGCGGTGAGTGTTACAGCTCTTAAAGGTGGCGTGTCAGGAGTTGTTCATTCCTCCCAGTGGGTTCGTTGTCTAACTGACTTCAGGAGTGAAGCTGCAGACCTTCGTGGTGAGTGTTACAGCTCATAAAAGTAGAGTGTAGCCAAAAAGTGAGCAGCAGCAAGATTTATTGCGAAGAGCAGAAGACAGTGTGGAAGCGGACCTGAGCAGGTTGCCACTGCTGGCTTGGGTGCCCAGCTTTTATTTGCTTATTTGGCCCCACCTATATCCTGCTGATTGGTCCATTTTACAGAGCGCTTATTGATGCATTTACAAACCTTTAGCTAGACACAGAGTGCTGATTGGTGCATTTTTAGAGTGCTGACAGGTGCATTTACAAACTTTTAGCTAAACACAAAGCACTGATTGGTGTGTTTGCAACCCTTTAGCCAGACAGAAATGTTCTCCAAGTCCCCACTCTACTCAGAAGCCCAGCCAGCTTCACCTTTCAATACTCAATATAATAAATATGTGATTTATAAAATGGCTGAACCTAAGAATAAGTGGTGTTGCCGATGGAGAAGAAAGAGAAACATATTTGGAAAACTTATTTGAGGGAATAATTAATAAAACATTTCTTGGCTTTGCTAGAGATTTATATTTGCAAATATAAGAAGCTCAAAAATTTCCTGAGATATTTATTATAAAAAGGAGTTCACCAACGCATATTGTCATTGGCCCTCTAAAGTCAACCTGAAAAAAAAAAAATTCTGAGACTAGTGAGATAAAAGAATCAGGTAACCTATAAAGGAAAATCTGTCAGAATATCAGGAGAATTCTCATAAAAACTCTTATCAGTCATAAAGAATTAGGGTCTCATTTAACTTTTTAAAACAGAATTACTATCAGTCCAGAATTTTTTATCTAGTAGCACTAAATTTTCAGGCTGGGCACAGTGGCTCATGCCTGTAATCCCAGTACTTTGGGAGGCCGAGGTGGGCGGATCACCTGAGGTCGGTAGTTCAAGACTAGCCTGATCAAGATGGAGAAACCCCCTCTCTACTAAAAATACAAAAAATTAGCCAGGAATGGTGATGCATGCCTGTAATTCCAGCTACTCAGGAGGGTGAGGTAGGAGAATCACTTGAATCTGAGAGGCAGATATTGTGGTGAGTTGAGATAGTGTCATTGCCCTCCAGCCTGGGCAACAAGAGTGAAACTCCATCTCAAAAAACCAAGCCAAAACAAACAAACAAAAAAAACCCAAAAACTAAGTTTTCTATATGAAAGATAAATAAAGTTATCTTCAGACAAATAAACATTGAGGAAAATAATTACTACCAGACCAGCTGTTCATGAATGCAAAAAAGTTCCAAATCCTAAAGCAAAAGATTGATATGCACCAGAATAGAACCTCTTGAAAGTACAAAACTCACAGGACCTATAAAACAATAACACAATAAAAAAGACCAAATATCTAGGTCACTAGTAACATAATGATTGCAACAGTACCTCACATCTCAATATTAATGTTGAAAGTAAATTGCCTAAGTAAAAGGCTGGAAAAAGTTATTCCATGCAAATAGAAATCAAAACTGAGTAGCAGCATCTATTCTTATATCAGGTGAAAAAATCTTTTAAGCAAAAACAGTAAAAAAAGACAAGATTATCATCTAATGATAAAAGTTTTAATTGAATAAGAAATTACAAGCCTAAATGTATATGTACCCAACACTGGGCTCATAAAACATTTACTTCTATACTTAAGATAGAGAGCAACAGAATAATAATAGGGAACATCAATACTCCACTGACAACATAGAGCAACATAGTTAATTGAGACAGGAAGTCAGCAAAGAAACAGTAGACTTAAAGTACACTCTAGAGCGAATAAATCTAACAGATACTTAAATAACAATCTAGCCAAGAATTGCAGAAAATACATTCTTCTCATTAGCATATAAAACCTTATCAAAGATATGCCATATGATAGGCCACAAAACAAATCTCAATACATTTAAAAATATTAAAATTATATCAATTGTCAGACAACAAAAATAAAAGTAATAAACATCAGAGAAACCCTCAAACTATATAAACACAAGAAAATTAAAACCACCTGCTTCTGAATAATTTTTTATCTAACTATAAAACCAAGTGAAATTTAGAAATTATTTGAATTAATAATAGCAACATAAACTATCAGAACTTCTGGGATTCAAAAAAAGTAGTGCTAAGATGAAAGTTTATAGCACTAAATGTCTACATCACAAAGTCTGAAAGATTACAAATTTACACCCTAGTTTTACATCCCATGAATAACAGGAACAAATTAAACTCAAAGCTAACAGAAAATAAGAAATAACATTGGTCAGAGCAAAACTAAATAAACTTAAAAATACAAAAGATTAGTAAAAAAAAAATAAAGCTGGTTATTTGGAAAGATAAACAAAGTTTATAGACTATTAGCGAGACTAACCAAGGAAAGAAGAGACACGATTCAAATAAAGTCAATTTGGAATAAAATGAAATATTACAATCAGCACCACAAAAATAGAAAAAATTACTTGAGACTGCTATGAAGACCTTCACGCATATAAACTAGAAAATCTAGGGAAAACAAATAAGTACTTAGGAACATAGGATCCTTCTAGATTAAATTAGAAAGAAATATAAAGCATAAACAGATCAATAACAAGCAATGAGACTGAAACAGTAATTTAAAAATTGCCAACCCAGAAAACCTGGAGCCAGATAGATTTACAGCTGACATCTACCAGTGTGGGGGTTCAGTCAGGCTGGTGGGAAACATTATGGTTATAAAGAACATACACAAGACCTTTTGGAAGGCCTGAAGGATTTTCTATACATTACTTGGCTGAAAGCAGCCTTGTCCCTTAGTTAAATAAATTAGAGTAGAAACAAAGGAATGTGACGAGTTTGTCTAACTAATTTGTTTACTAATGTGAGCCTAAGACTAAACTTTGATCTACCACAGGTGCTTAATTGCTTTCTACTGGGGAGGTCTGCTATGTCAATTACCCTCTAGTGGTGTGGACTCAAGCCTTTGTTAATTAATCTTTACTGAACAAATGCGAGTCTCACTGGCTAGCTGGTCGCGGCGGCTGTCACAACTGTTTACAGCACTCTGCTTGGAGTCTCTAAGAGGCCAGGATGCTCAGCCGGACTGACAAAGCAGAATATCTGTCTGTCAGTGTATTTTATTGATCCCTCGTTGGGTCAGGGTATGCAGGATGGACCTCTGCAGCTGTTGCCCCTGTGTAAGGATTGCTGAGAATGGAGCCCAGTGGACCCCTGGAAAACGAAGGTGAAGAGGAGCAGGCAGTCAAGTCAGTAAAACAGTAAGTCATTGGTGTCCACTTGGGATCTCCAAGTTCAGGGGGGATTGTTCAGGCTGAGGTTTCATCATGGGACAACAGTTATTAGCACAGCAAAAACAGTATCTAAAAGTGTTAAAACAGCTGCTTAAGGCCAGCAGAGACTCAATTTCACAGGCTCAATTAAGAGACCTAAGCTAAACTGTTTTCTCACATAATCCGTGGTTCCCAGAAGAAGGAATGCTAGACGTAGTCTGGGACAAGTAGGGAGACATCTTAAACAACATTATGCATAAGGGCAGTGGGTTCCGGTAACAGCTTTAATGCTATGGGCTTTAATTAGAGCAGCCCTGGTTCAGTAACACACGGAAGAGCCTAAAAAGCGGAAGGAGGAGGAGACGTCATCTACTTTACCGCCTTCCCATTCCCCAGCCCGGATATCACTGGGTCAAAATAACAAAAAGGAAACGGAGGTTTTGCCTGAGCCCTCTCCTCCAATAGCTAGGAAAAAGGACAGGAAATACGCTTCGGCTATGAGACCCTGAGTTAAGCAAGGGGCAATAGAAAGCGAGCTTTTATCCTGCTGGGTGATGCAAGATCAGCAAGGCAATCAGGTACATAAAGAGTTAAGAAAAAGCACTGGAGGTCGGAGCCCTGAGGGCAAGGAAGCCCTAGGCAAAACGGAAGGCTTGGCAGCCGGGAAGCTCGCAAACCTGGAGCCAGCAAATACTCCTGGGAACTCAGCCTTCGTGGCAGTGGTGGCATCGGACAGCTAGGCTCAGTGGGCTGGAACTGGTCTCCTAGGGAGGGGCAGGAGGTGTACGTGGGAAGGTCTGCCCAGCCGGCAGCAGCCACTGGCTGCGGCTGTGGGGAGGGAGTGGCACACAAAGATAAAAAAGGGAAAAATGCGGTGCAGACAAAGCGACAGCCCCTAAGCAAGCATAATGAGCCACCGCCCCGGGACCTCCCTGCTTAGCTGCCTTACAGCTTCACAGGTGCCCGATGGCAAAATTTCATGTATTTATGGTATACAAGTGACGTCGCAGATTATAATCATCTGCTAAGATTTAAATAAAATTTAAAAATTTAAAAGACCTTTTTCTAGTAGTAGCCACTGTAATCTCTCTCGCCTATAACATGACTCTCTTCTAATCCAATTTAAGTAAAACAGTGACCTCTAAAGGGAGAGAGATTACCAAAAAGCCCATGAGTTAGTTAAGGAGAAGTTAAAAGTGGAAAGTTAAACATGGAAAAGTGACAGTTTGGTGGAGACCATATAATGTAATCACTCAATCCGTATTTACTACCACTCAGAGAGCTGAGATGGTGGCTCTGATATTATCAAGTCCACAGCTCACTGCCTCGCCCATTAGCTTATAGCAATAATCAAGCTGACCTTCAGGTTATGACATCACTGCTGGACCACGCCACCCAATCGCACCTATTTTTCCATCAAAGTTGGAGAAACTTATCTATGCAGTATCTACTTATCCAGAGACTGGCTAAACAAATTATCCTACAATGCCCAGATTGCCAGCTCACAGGCATGTCCCTCCTTCAACAGGCGTTAACCCTAGAGGATAAGAACCTAATCAGTTATGACAAACAGTTGTTATACACATCCCTGAATTTATAAAACTAGGATATGTACATGTATCCATTGATACCAACACTCATTTAATTAGTACATAGGCTCTGCCTGGCTAGTCAACTCAGTATGTCATTAAACATCTTCTTTTAACTTTTGCATTTATGGGATGGCTCACAAAAATTAAAACTGATAATGGGCCAGCTTAGGCCAACTCACAATTTCAACAATTTTGTCACACGTGGAATATCCATCATTCCACAGGCATCCCATATAACCCCCAAGGACAAGCCATGGTAGAACATGCCCACTCCACCCTTAAAAATATGCTCAAAAAACAAAAGGGAGAGTAAGGGGAAAGACCCTGCAACAATATTGGCACAAGACTTATTTACTCTTAATTTTTTAAATTTAGATGACACATTTCAATCAACTCCGGAAAAGCACTTTGCTAAAACCTCTCAAGGCATAAAACCTTCAGTTTTATGGAAAGATGTAAACAGTAATGTATGGGGTCATCCAAGTAAAAGAAGAGGGTATGCTTGTGTCCTCACCCCCTCAGGTTCTTTTTAGATTGCAGCACAACGTGTCAAACCATACCATGGCATGGCTAGGACCAAACCCTGTATCAGAAATGAAGGAATTAACACTAAGACCCATAGCCCTGGACAATGTGGCTTCTGAGGATGACATTACTTGGGGGATGCTGAAGGCTGAATGGATCCTGCTCTGGACACAGACACCACTTACTCCAGATAATTTGTTTCTTGCTATGCTTTCTATTGTACATTGCAACTCACGTAGGGTATTGATCCTTCTTATGCTCTCACTTTGTCTGCTGCCTGTATCTGCTACACTCTACTGGGCTCATATCTTAGATCTGCCTTTCTTTTGCTCTGTCCCCTGGGCAGATACTCCCTTCCCAGCCTTTAATACCATAACTTCTTGGCTAGGAGGGATAGATTTACCCCCACTGGGGTCCCTCAACAATGGCACACATTGGACTAAGGTGCCAGATAACACTACATATCACTCCACTATCCTCCCACTCTGTGCAAGTTATAAAAGTTCTAACCCTTACTGTATACCTGACCAAAAACAAGGATGGCTACATCATGACAGAGGAACTGCCTTAACATTCTTAGCTGCAGGTAACCTCAAACCGGGCAATGCAATCAATGCCACTTTCCCAAACATTCCTTCCTGTGCTAAATAACAAATCTGGGAAAGTGATGTACACTTTAGCTGGGAGTTCTGTCATGGGAAACAAGCCCATAGCCTCCAGTTAGGTAATTATAACATCTTAGACCACAGACCAAATGGCTGCTTGCAGGGCAGCCTTGCTAATGTCTTCATCCATCGTAGCATCAATCACAATTTCATAGCCATGTCTCATTCCCCTATAATTTGGGCCAATAGGGAGATGGGCTATCCTAGACCCCGAGTAAATTCCATGCCACCCCAAGGCACTTTATGGCACCTGGGACATCTTAGCACCTCCCTTAACACCTGGCATGGGGCATATCATAATTCCAATCGCAACTATACTATAGCCTTTATTCATAATCACACAGATCAGTGCCTGATTTGCACCACCCATCCATATGTTTTCTTCATGGGAACTAACATTTCCATTATACCCTGGAACTCCACATTTGTGACAAGCTTAATTTGCTTCAAGTATCACTAATCACAATATATCTAATTTAAAAATTACTCATGTCATGGTATTAAGGAAACAATCTAAGGTATTTATACCAGTCAATTTGACACTTGATTGGCAAGGTTTCTCTACCCTTGCCACCTTAAAACATGCTCTGTCCCCAGTCGGACAAAAAGATTCATAGTTACACTTAGGGCCTTTTTAGTCTCAGCCACAGTCATTCTGGCAACTGCTAGTGTTACTGTGGCATCTATTCCTAAATCAGCACAAACAGCTGCTTTTGTAGATAATATGTCCAGAAATGTGTCTAATAAACTTCTCTTACAGCAAATATAGATCAAAAGATTCTTACTTGACTGCATGCCCTTGAGGCTGCCTTAGAATATGTGGGGGAGCAATAAGATGCACTGGGATTTTGACAGCAGTTAAACTGTGACTGGGAACATAAAAATATCTGTGTCACTTCTCTACCATGGAGTCAATCAATACATAGTTGGGATGAGGTGAAACATTTAACAGCACATGTAAAGCAACTGAAAACTAATATTTTAGAATCCCTTCACACCATAGATCTACACACCCAACAAACAGCCATATGGAAAGGTGTGCAAGATCCTTTCTCTTTGTTAGACCACCCACTCCTAGGGGTCACTCTTTGACTGGAAAAGAATGTTGCTAATTTTGCTCATGATTGTTTTATGTTATTTACTAATTCTAGATGCAAAGTCAAAATAAGAGCAATGACCACCACACCTGAAAAACCTGTTGCTCCAGATATTTATGGTTTCCAATCCAAAAGACCTAATGCTGAAAACATAAAAGAGGGAGGTAGGAGGGTTCAGTCAGGCATGTGGGAAAAATTTTACTTATAGAGAATATACACAAACCCTTTTGGAAGGCTTAGGGGTTTTTAGGTGTAGTACTTGGCTGAAGGCAGCCTTGTCCCTTTAGTTAAGTAAATTAGACTAGAAACAAAGGAATGTGTGGAGTTTATCAAACTAGCTTGTTTACTCATGTGGTCCTAACACTAACATTTGATCATTGCTGGTGCTTAATTGCTTTCTACTTGGGTAGTGTGCAATGTCAATTATCCTGTAGCGGTGTTGACTCAAACCTTTGTCAGTTAATCTTTACTGAATAAATGCAATTCTCACTGGCTGGTCAGGGCCATGGTCACAACTGTTTACAGCACTCTGCTTGGAGTCTGTGAGAGGCCTACATGCTCAGCTAGACTGGCAAAGCAGAATATCTGTGTGTCAGTGTAATTTATTCATCCATCATTGGGTCAGATTCTGTGGGATGGACCCTCGCATACCAGAAATTTTAAGAAGGATTAGTGCTAATCCTATTGAAACTATTTCAAAATGCTGAGAAAAAAAGAATTTTTCCTAACTAATTCTATAAAGCCAATATTATTACTCTGATATCCAAACCAGGAAAGGATATAAAAACAGAAAGCTACAGACAAATATTCTTTATCAACATGATTGCAAAAATTCTCAGGATACTAAGTTAACTGAATCCAAGTGCACATCAATAAGATAAATACACCATAATCAAGTGGATTTTATTCAGGGATGCATAAATAATTTAACATACATTAACAGAAGGCAATAAAATAATACCTTGCATAAACAGAATTAAAAACAAAAACCATATGATTATTTCAATAGATACAGAAAAGCATTGATATAATCCAGCATCCCTTTATGATAAAAACACTTAACAAAGTAGGAATAAGAAAGATTTATCTAAAAAAAAGGGCCATATATGACAGGCCCACAGTAAACATTACATTGAATGGGGAAAAGTTGAAAGCATTTCCACTAGAACAAGACAATATGACCACTTTCATCACTTCTATTTAATATAGTACTGGATGTCATAGCCACAACAATCAGGCAAGTTAAATAAATAAAGGGCTTCCAAATTGGAAAAGAGGAAGTCACATGATTGCTTAGTTAACTATATGATTTTATACCTAGAAAACCATAAAGACATGATCAAGAGTCTGCTAAGTTTGATAAACAAATTAGGGAGTCTCAAGTTTCAAAATCAATATGCACAAATTGGTAGTACTTAAAAAGCAGTATGGATATGTATTAAAGAACTAAAAGTAGATCTACCATTTTATCCAGTAGTCCTACTACTAGATAGCTACCCAAATGAAAATAAGTTATTATATTAAGAAGACAGCTGCACATGTATGTTTATTGTAGCACAATTCACAATTGCAAGGACATGAAACCAACCTAAGCATTCACTGAGTCCATGAGTAGATAAAGTAAATATGGTATATACACACTGTAAAATACTACTCAGCCATAAAAAAATAATGTCTTTTGCAGCAACATTGATGGAGCATCAGATTTAACTTTCAGGCTATTATTCTAACTAAAATAACTCAGTAATAGAAAAAAATGCCATATATTCTCAGTTATAGGTGGGAACTAAGCTATTGATATGCAAGGAAATACAGATAAATATAATGAATTATGAAAACAAAGAAAATGGAGGGTGAGAAACAAAACAAACTACATAATGTGTACAATGCATACTAATTTGGTGACGGGTACACTAAAATCTACTTCACCACTGTACAAGTCATTTATGTAGCAAAAAACCTCTTGTACCCCCAAAGTTATTGAAATTAAAAACTTTTTAAAAAATAAAATGTATACTATACTACAAAGCAATAATATCCAAATGGCATACTAATACAAAAACAGACACATAGTTAAAAGAAACTTAATAGCAAACTCAGAGTCTATGCATTTACAGTCAAATAATTTTGACAAAGTACTCAAGGGTATACATTGAGGAAAGGACTATCTCTTAAACAAATGGTGCTGGGACAGCCAGTATTCATAAGCAGCAGAATGATACTAGATTGCTATCATTTGCCATATACAAAAATCCAGCTAAAAGAAATAAATACTTAAATTTAAGACACCAAAGGTAAAACAATAGAGGATCACATAAGAGAAACACATCACGACATCAGTCTATGAAAAGATATTGATAAGATTAAAAAGCATAGCCAAGAAAAAAATACTCATGTAGGACCATATCAAACAAAAAGCTTCTACACTACAACAATTGACAGAAAAAATAAACCACTTACAAAATGGGAAAAATATTTTCAAAGCAAAAAAAAAATCCTTTAAATTAAATATAGGAAAAAGTTTGAGCAGACTTTAAAAAAAAAAGGCAAATGTTTAACAAGTTACATAATTTGCTTCTGTGTTCCCACCCAAATCTCATTTTGAATCCTAATCCCCATGTGTTGAATGAGAGACCTGGTAGAAGGTCATTGAATTTTAGGAGCATCTTCCCCATGCTGGGTTCTCGATATTGAGGGAGTTCTCACAAAATCTGATGGTTTATAAGTGGCAGTTTCCTTGGCACTTGCTTCTTTCTACTGCCACCTTGAAAAGAATGTGCCAGCTTCCCCTTCCCCTTCTGCCATGATTGTAAGTTTCCTGAGGCTTCCCCAGCCATGTGAAACTGTGAATCAATTAAACCTCTTTCCTTTATAAATTACTTAGTTTTAGGCAGTTCCTTACAGCAGTGAAAAAAAGGACTTATGCAAGAAAGTACTTTAAAATTGATCAACATTATTATCAGGGAAATGCATATTAACACTACAATAAAATATCTGTGTTAAAATGTGATATCTAAAAGTCAGACAAGAATAATAACTGTTGGAGAAGATGCAGAGGAAAGATAATTTTTATATATCTTTGGTGAAGTAAATTAGTAAAGCCATTTTTTAAATGAGTAAAAAAATTAACCCCCAAAATCAAATAGCATTAATATACAATCTAGCAGTTACACTAATTGGTATTTAACCAAAGGAAAAAAATAGTATTTTGAAGTGATAGCTGCATCCCATGTTTATTTTAGCAATTTACAATATTTATAAATATTTACAATATTGCTAATATATGGAATCAATCTAAATGCCAATCAAAAGATGAATGAATAAAGACAATGTGGTAAATACACATAATGTGATACTTTTCTGCCATTAAACAGGAATAAAATCTGTTCATTCATGGCAACATGAATGAGCCTGGTGGAAATACAATTAAGTTACATAAGTTTACCTACATATGTAGGAACCTTTAAAAAGTTGAGCTTATTAAAGTAGAGAGTAAATTGTGGCATGAGAAGAGTAGTGAGGAAGAAGAGATAGAAAAAGTTGTGTTAGTAAACACACAATTATAGGTAGATAAGAGGAATTATTCTAGTGTTCTATAGGGATATAGAATGAAAATAGTTAATAATATATTGTATATTTTCTAATGTCTGGAAAGTAAGATTTTATATATCAATAGAAACACATAATAAAGGTTTGAGGTGAAGAATTATGCTAATTTCCAGGATATAATGTTGGACATTTTGTATGTGTACTAAGACATCCTTCAATACGTAAAAATATGTACAATTAGTACATGTCATGTAAAAATAAAAAACCTATGAAATAGATCTAAGAAATGTATAGAACATTTTATCCAACAGCTGTATAATGGACATTCTTCTATTCTGTATACAGATTATTATCAAGAATAGACCATATGTCAGGCCACAAAAAAAGTCTTAAAAAACTCAAAACATTGAAATTATATCAAGTATGTTCTCTAACTGCAGTGAAATAAAACCAGAAATAAATAACAAGAGGAACTGTGTAAAGTATAGGAACATGAAAATTAATATGCTTTTAAATGAGTGGATTAATAAAAATGTTAAGATAAAGTACAAAATTTTTTTGAAGCAAATGAAATGGAAACTAGTATACAAAAACCTATAGAATACAGTGAATGCAGTATGCTATAAAATAAAAAAGATAGTAATAAGCACCTATATTTAAAAAGTAGAAAAGTTTCAAAGAACCTAATGATGCATTTTTTCTTTTATTTTAGATTCAGAGGGTAAATGTATAAATTTCTTATATGGATATACTGTGTGATGCTGAGGTTTGGGGTTCAAATAATAATGTGACTCAGGTAGTAATTACAGTACCCAGTGGGTAGTTTTCCAGCCCTTTCCCCTCTCCCTGACTCCTTTCTTTAATGGCCTCCAGCGTCTAATTATTCTTCTCTTTATGATCCTATGTACTCAGTAATAAGTTGTGACCTATAACTGAGAATACACAGTATTTAGTTTGCTGTTTCTGCAATCATTTATTTAGGATAATGGCTTTCACTTGAGGCATCTTCAAGAACTAGAAGAACTAGAGCAAACCAAACAATAAAAACAATTGATTCTTTAAAACATGAACAAATATGATAACTGTTTACCTGGACTAAGAAAAAATAAAAAATACTCAAATAAAATGAAAAAATTAAGAAAAAGACATCTAATACCACAGAAATTTTAAAAAATTTCTTTGAATTTCAACAAGATATGCTGAATTTCAGCAGAATACATTGAAGTACTACATGCCAACTACGTAGAAAACTTAGAAAAAAATTGATAAATTACTAGACACCTAAAACCTACCAAAACTGACCAATGAAAAAATCCAAAACCTAAAGAGTAAATATTTTATAAAAGCTGTAGTGAAATGTCTTCTAGCAAAAGAAACAAACAAAAAATGAAAAAGCTGGGCCCTGATGGCTTCACTGCTGAATTTTACTAAACATATAAGAAATAACAATTCTACTCAAAGTATTATTAAAAAAAGAGAAGAAAATATTTTCAAATTTATTCTCTGAGGTTAGTATTACACTGATACTAAAACCAAAGGCACTCCATATTGAGAAAACTACAGATCAACATCTCTGATAATTATTGATACATAAATTTTTAACAAAATATTAACAATTCAATAACACATTGTAAAATTATTCATGCACAAGTAGAATTAATCCCATATTAATAATAATGATTCAAAATAAGCAAATCAATTATGTGTTGTATCAGATTAACAGAATGAAGGACAGAAACTATATTATCATTTCAATTGATGCCAAAAAATTAATAAAATCCATTGCTTTATCATAAGAAAAAAAAACCTCAAAAACTGTATATGGAAAAACATAACACTGAAAGCCACACACAACAAATCCACAACTAATATCATAGTGAATGGAAAAAGACTTTCCTCTAATATGTAAAAATAGGAAAAATGTCCATATTCACCACTCTTATTCAAAACAATACTGGAAAGTCCTAGATAGAACAATTAGACAAATGAAAGAAATAAAGGATATTCTAATTGAAAAGTAAGTCACATTTTCCTTGCTTGCAGGTGGTATAATCTGATAGTTGGAAAAATCTAAACACTCTACCAAAAATAATTAGAATTAAAAACAAACTTAGAAAAGTTTCAGGAACAAATCAACATTCAAAAATTAGTGGCATTTGTATATGTTGATGATGAGGCATTTGAAAATCGAATTAAGAAAGTGATCAAGGTGGGGCATGGTGGCTCATGCCTGTAATCTCAGCACTTTGGGAGGCCAGGGTGGGTGGATCACGAGGTCAGGAGATTGAGACCACCCTGGCTAACATGGTGAAACCCCATCTCTACTAAAAAATAGAAAAAAAAACTAGCTGGGCATCGTGGCGAGCACCTGTAGTCCCAGCTACTCGGGAGGCTGAGGCAGAATGGCATGAACCTGAGAAGCAGAGCTTGCAGTGAGCTGAGACTCCATCTCAAAAAAAAAAAAAAAAAAAGAAAGAAAGATCCAATTCATTATAGCTACAAACAAAATTAAGTACCTAAAAAATTTAACGAAAATAAGAAAAGAATCTCTACAATGAAAGCTCATAAAATATTGATGCAATAAATTGAAGCAAACACACACACACCACACACACACACACACACATACACAAATGAAAACATTATTTCATATTTCTGGATTGGAAAAACACAATGCTATTAAAAGTAATGTACAGATTCAATGCAATACCTGTCAAAAAAAATGACATTCTTCAAAGAGATAAAAAAACTTAACATTCATATGAAATCATGAAATATCCAGAAAAATTAAAATGGTTTTAAGCAAAAATAATAATATTGAAGGAATAACATTGACTAAGTTTAAATTATGCTACATTATGGTAATCAAAATAACATGGAACTGGTATAAAAGTAGGCGCATTAGACAAATGAAAATGACAGAGAAGCTGGAAATAAATTTGTACATGTAAACTGAACTTATTTTAAACAAAGGTGCCAAGATCATGCATTGTGGAAAGGATACTCTCTTTATTTAATAGTGCTGGGAAAACTTAATATCTATATGCAGAAGAAGAAAACTAGACCTGTATCATGGTGTACAAAAATAAAATCAAAATAAATTAAATATTTACATCTCATATTTCAAATTTTAAAACTACTAAAACAAAACACTGAAGAAATCTCTTTATGGCATTGGTCTGAGTAAAGATTTCTTGGTAAATCTGAGGAAAAGTTGCCTCCCAAAAATGGAAGAATGGGATTATATCAAATTAAAGAGATTTTGCTTAATATTTCTTATTAAAATAATAAGCAATATTATTTTAAATTATGTTTAATAGGCAATATTAAGAGATAATCCATAAAATGAAAAAAATGTATTTGCAAATGATCCATTTGACAAGAAAGCTGAGAACCCTGCATGGGGCTACAATACACCAGAACTTGTTCCCAGCTCCCACAGACTCCTGGGGGAAGTGGTAAATTTAGCAAGGTAGGAGCAAACTGCTGTCATCATGGATATCAGAAATCTTGGAAGCAGAAGACTGCAGGACACACAGACACTTGAGTTGGAAAAGAGAGCTGCTTAGAGGGGTATCAGAGCAGAAACCAGAGAGTTTTTATGAGACCATCATAGTAGAGCATGACCAGTGACACTGATCCACCAAGGCTTTCCTTGTTCCCTGAGGAGTCTATAGACTTAAGGCAACTGAAAGAACTAAACAGAGTTTAGCAGAATAGAATTAATTTTGCCCATGAAATGAAGCTTGTAAAACCTAAGTGCTCCCCTTTGGTTTAATACTTACAACCTGGCTCTTCTGGGGTACCAGCATGGCTGTGGCTGCTTACATTGTGGCCTAAGGGCCCACTGCAGTGCCTCCTGGGTGTTACATAATAGCTCCAGCACTAGAAGAGCATGTCAGACTATCAGAGAGCTCCAGCACAGCATCCCCCACTGAAACACAAAAAGTCACCCACACTGTCCCTGATAGAAGCTTCCCTGTGACACTTTGCTGGCAGAAACATACTCATGGCCATCCTCTACATTGTTATGCTGGTGCACATGCATATAGGTGAACATTTTATTTCCTTCATCACCTATGTGCATGTGCAGATGCAACCCACTGTGACACTTCTGCCAGCATGAGTAAACCCTACATGCCCTGCAGCATCACCATTGCCATAGTAAACCTGTACATAAACACCAGTGCTTTCACTCCCAAGCTGCATACCAACTGGTTCCTGTGTGAATACACACATGGAGGGTGCCTGCCTCATGCCCACCAGTGCTTACATCTGTACCAACAATGCCACTGTTGTGAACATATGCACAGACCCTGGAAGCCCCACTCACACTGATGCCACATAGCTATGCTGCTGCTGAGAACACCTGCACAGAGGCTGGCCATCCTACACACATCAGCACTCTTTCTTAGCCTCTGAGCATGCACCCCATTGTACTGCTGCTATGGCTGGCACTTGCAAATAAGCAGAAATCTCACCGCCATCGTGTAATGAACTGTTTTGCCTCAGACTATCTACCAGTGTTATGACCAGTGGCCTAGGAGCACAGTAGTCCCTGCAGTACAGCAGATTCCTATCCTTGAAAGACAAGAGGAAAAAGCTGGGGCCCAATATCAGCCCTCCAGAATTACAGTATGCAGTCCAAGAATCCTGGAATAAACCTTGACCCGCTAGAATATTCTGGAAGTTAAGTCAGTGAACTAACCATACCATATGCCAAAATCAAATCCCTAGAGACACCAAAAAATATAAAAGAAAAAAGTTCAAAAAACAAGCTACTTCAAAGATTGTAGGAACTACAATCCATAAAGTTGATAAAGATCTAGTGCATTATCTCTGGCAAGTATAAAGCCACAGGCGACTTACTTTCCTACAAACACACTGATTCTCCAAAAATGGTTCTTAACCAGGCTGAAATGGCTGAAATACCAGAAATAAATTTCAGAATGTAGATAGAAAGGAATATTATCAAGATTTATTCAGCCTTAACCCCTTTAAAAACTCATTCTATTTTTACATTTCAAATCCAATGCCTTCTCAACAGTTTTCCACAGTCTTAACTTATTCCAGCATTAACTCAAAAGTCCAAGTTTAAGGTCTTAACTGAGACAAGGCAAGTCTCTTCTGCCTATAAGTATGTAAAATGAAAAACAAGTTTGTTACTTTCAAAATACAATTGGGGATACAGGCAATAAATAAATGTTTGCATTCCAAATGGGAGAAATTGCTCAAAAGAAAGGGACCACAGGCCCCATGAAAGTACAAATTTGGGCAGTCATTAAATCTTAAAGCTCCAAATCTTTGACTCTATATCTCCCATTCAGGGCATGTTGCTGCAAGGGTTGTCTCCCACAGTCTTGGGCAGCTCCACCTCTCTGGCCCTGCAAGGTATAGTTTCTGTGGCTGTTTTCACAAGCCGGTATTGAGTGTCTGTGGATTTTTTGGGTGCTTTGTGCAAGTTGTCAGATGATTTAAATTTTGGGGTCTGGGAATGGTGGCCTTCTTCTTATACTTCCACTATGCAGTGCTCCAGTGGGGACCCTGTGTGGCAGCTATGTCCCACATTTGTTTTCCTACACTGTCCTAGAAGAGGTTCTCCAAGTGAGCTCTGTTTTTGCAGTAGACTTCTGCCTAGATATCCAAGCATTTCAATTTATTCTCTGAAATCTGGGCAGAGGTTCCTAAATCTCAACTTGCCTTCTGTCCACTCACAGTTCAAACATCACATGGAAGCCACCAATTCTTGGGGCTTGCGTTCTCTGATCCACTGGCCTGAGCTGTACCTTGGCCCCTTTCAGCCATGGTTGGAGCTGAAGCAGCTGGGATGCAGGGTACAAAGTCCTGAAGCTGCACAGAGCAGTGGGGCTCTGGGTCTGGTGAATGAAACCACTTTTCCCTCTTAGGCATTCAGGTCTGTGATTGGAGACGCTGCCATGAAGGTCTCTAAGATGTCCTGGAAATATTTTTTTCCTTTTTCTTGGGTATTAGCATTTGACACCTTCTGCATGGTTGGGAGGACTTATAAATCTTACAATTATGGCAGAAGGTAAAAGGAAACAAGCATCTTCTTCACAAGATGGGAGAAGAGAAACACAGAAAGAGCAGGGGAAACTCCTACTTTTAAGCTATTATATCTCATGAAAACTCTCTCACTATCATGAAAACAGCATGGCGGAAGCAACCCTATGATCCAATCACTTCCCATCAGATCCCTCCTTTGACATATGGGCATACCTATAAAAGATAAAATTTGCGTGGGGACACAGAGAAAAGCTATATCAATTGGCATAACTGAAAGAGAGGAAGAGAAACCAAGCAACTTGGAAAACATGTTTTAGAATATCAACTAGAAATATATTTTCAACCTATCTATAGAGGACAACATTGAAATTCAAAAAATGCAGAGAACCCCAGTGAAGTACTACATAAGAAGACTATCCCCAAGATACATAGTCATTAGAATCTCTCATATCAAAATGAAAGGAAAAATGTTAAAGGCAGCTAGAGATAAGAAACAGGACACCTACAAAGAAAACTGCATTGGGCTATTACAGACATTTTGGCAGATATTGACAAGCCACACCATTTTCAGGGCCTATATTCAAAATTACTGAAGAAAATAATTTTCACACAATAATTTTATATCTAGACAAATTAAGCTTCCTTATTGATTATAATTCTTTCAGACAAGCAAATGCTAAAAGAACTCACTATCAATAGACCTGTTTTAAAAGAGGTTGTGAATAAAGTGCTAAATGTAAAAAGAAAAGGCCATAATGGCCACTCTAGAAACAAACTAAAGTTCATGTACCAGTGATACTAAAAAGCAGCCACACAAACAAGTCTGCATAATAACCAGCCAACAGAATATCAACAGGATCAAAATGAGGACTAACTTCTGATATTTTATCTTATTCAAATTCCTACCTAGGGAGTCTAGAGAGCCATGCCCTACAAACCATAAATTCGCATCATATGGGCTTTATTTGACCCTACATATTGTGGCTTACTTTTCAATCTGACTCTACCATAACATTATAAAACAAGAAAAAAATATTTAACCCCAAAATATATTTCCTTGCCATATCTTGATATTACCCTGCAAACTCCCTTGTGGGAAAAATCTGCATTCTATAGCATATTCCCTACCCCTTTGTTTTTCTTCCTTTCTTTTCAGATCCAGGAGATAATCAACTAAGAGCTGGACACCATTTTGGGTCTAATAAGAAACATTTTACAACCTGTTCTCTCTCTGAAGTCTGCTACCTGACAGCTTCCTCTGCACAATGAAACTTCTTCCCCAAAATTCTTTATCTTAACCTGAACATTCCTTTCCATTAATCCCAGGTCTTCAGATTAACTCAACCAACTGTCAAACAGAAAATGTTTAAATTTTCCTGTAGTCTGGAAACCCCTGCTTTGAAATATCCTGGCTTTCTTAAAGAAACCAATGTATTTCTTGCATGTATTTGATTTATGTCTCAGCCTCCCTAAAATATGTAAAACCAAGCTATACCCTGATCATCTTGGGCACATGTTCTCAGACCTCCTGAGGGCTTTGTCATAGGCCATGGTCACTCATATTTGGCTCAAAATAAACCTCTAAAAATATTTTGCAGAGTTTGACTCTTTTCATCAATAAAATCCACAGGTATCAATACTATGCTTGAAGGTAAATGGGCTAAATGCACCACTTCAAAGACACAGAGTGGCAAACTGAATAAGAAAAGCAAGATCCATTGGTATGCAGTGTTTGAGAGGCTCATCTCACATGCAATGACACCCAAAAGTTCAAAATAAAAAGATACAGAATAATATACTATGCAAATGGCAAACAACAACAACAACAACAACAACAACAACAACAAACAACCAATCAATACCACCACCACCAACAACAAAAAATGATGGTTTCTCTCCTAATTTCAGGCAAAATGGAATATAAATCAACAGAGATATTGAAAGGCAAAGAAGGACATTACATAATGAATGGTAAGGAGCTCAATATGAACATGACCCAGCCGTGTTAACCCCACTCAGGGGTGCCCGGATTTATTAAATAAGTTATTAGAGGTCTACAAAAAGACTTACATAACTACCCAATAAAAATGAAATATTTAAACACTCTACAGGAAGTATTAGACAGATATTTCAGACAAAAAAGCCAACAAAAATATTCAGGACATGAACTCAACAGTTGACAAAATGGACCTAATAATCATCTACAGAACTCTCACCCCAAAACAACAGATAATACATTATTGTCATCTGCTTATGACACATACCTTAAAATTGACCACAGAATTAGGCATAAAACAATAATCAGAAAATTACAAAAAAGTATTTACCCACCAGACTAAAACCACAGCACAATGAAAATATAAATTAATTCTAAGAAAATAGCTCAAAATATTATATGTGTATATATATAGAAATTAAATTACTATATTAATTAAATTAAATTACTCTTGAATGACTTCTAGGTAAATCATAAAATTGAGGCAGAAATAAGGAATTTTTCTGGAACTATGAGAACAAAGATAAGACATACAAGAATCTCTAGCACATCAGGAAAGCAGTCTTAAAAGGGACATTTATAGCACTAAATGCTCACATTTAAAAGTTACAAATATCTCAAATAAACAACTTAACTAAACAACTAGAGGAACTAAAGAAACAAGAACAAACCAGCCCCAAAGCCAGTAGAAGAAAGAAATGATTGAAATCAGAGCTGAACTGATAGAACTTGAAATGGGAAAAGCATTAAAATGAATGATAAATTTAGCAGCTGATGTTTTGAATAAATTAATAAAATTAATAAACTGTTAGCTACACTAATGATAAAAAAACAGAATATGCAAATAAACACAATAAATGACAAATTAACATTACCAGTAACACCACATAAATACTTTTAAAAATTCAAACATACCACTGTAAATACCTTCATGCACACTCAAGATAGAGCTATTAAAGCTAGAAATAGGTAAATTTCTGGAAACATGAAAACCTACAAGAATAAATGTGGAAACAATTGAAACTTTGAACTACAGTACCTTTTCAAATTAAACCAGTAATGGAAAGGCTATTAAACCAAAAAATCTAATGATCAGATGGATTGATAGCCAAATTATGCCAGATGCATAAAGAACACCTAGCACGTTCCTTTTTAAACTATAAGACAAGCATCATTTTGATACCAAAATCCTGGCAGAGAAAACAACAAAACATTATCAGGCCAATATTTTTGATAAAGATGCAACTGTTCTCAACAAAATACTAGAAAACAAATACAGCAGCACATCAAAAAGATAATCGATATTGTTAAAGTTAACTTTATCCTGAGACAATAATTTTGTTCAACATATGCAAATTGATAAATGTGATTTATCATATAACAAAACTAAAGTAAAAAAACCACATGATCATTTCAATAGATGCTGCAAAGTCCTTTGAAATAATTCAATATCACTTTATATAAAAA
Source organism: Homo sapiens (assembly GCF_000001405.40). Lineage (NCBI taxonomy): Eukaryota > Metazoa > Chordata > Mammalia > Primates > Hominidae > Homo > Homo sapiens. The sequence goes on from NC_000024.10 coordinate 19,886,031, forward strand.
CCATAGAGAAACTAGGAATTGAAGAAACATACCTCAAAGTAATAATAGCTAACTATGACAAATAGCCAACATTATACTGAATGAGTGAAAGCTGAAATATTTTCCCTTAAGAAAAGAAACAAGACAAAAATACTTCCTGTCATCCAGTGTATTCAACATAGTACTTAACATTTTAGTCAGAGTAATAAGGCAAGAGAATAAAATAAAAGGCAAGTGAAGATACAAAACCAATGTACAAAAATCACTAGCATTTGTATAAACAACAGTCAAGCTGAGAGAGAAATAAGAAACACAATTACATTTACAATTGCAGCAAAAAAAAAAAAAAATCTAGGAATATACTTCTCCAGGGAGGTAAAAGACCTCTACATTGAAAACAATAATACACTGCTCAAAAAAATTAATGATGACACACAGAATTGAAAAAATCTTATGCTCATATATAGGAAGTAGCAGTATGACCATTTTAATAATATTTATAGGCCAGGTGCAGTGAAAAATGCCTGTAATCCCAGCACTTTGGGAGACCGAGGTGTGTGCATCATGAGGTCAGGAGATAGAGACCATCCTGGCTAACACAGTGAAACAACGTCTCTACTAAAAATACAAAAAAAAAAAAACAACCAAATTAGCTGGGTGTGGCGGCAGGCGCCTGTAGTCCCATCTACTCAGGAGGCTGAGGCAGGAGAATAGGATGAACCTGGGAGGTACAGCTTGCAGTGAGCAGAGATGGCACCACTGCACTCCAGCCTGGGTGACAGAGTAAGACTCTGACTCAAAATAATAATAATAATAATAATAATAATATAATATAATAATATAATATAATAATAATATTCATTCAAGATTTTTGGCTGAGATGATGGGGTTTTCTAAATATAAAATGATGCCATCTGCAAACAGACAATTTGACTTTCTGTTTTTCTAGCTGATATCCTTTATTTCTTTCTCTCGCCTGATAGCTCTGGCCAGAACTTCCAATACTATGTTGAGTAGGAGTGGTGACAGAGGACATTCTTTTCTTGTGCCAGTTTTCAAAGGGAATGCTTACAGTTTTTGTCCATTCTGTATGATATTGGCTGTGAGTTTTTCATAATTAGCCCTTATTATTTTGAGATACATTCCATTAATGCCTAGTTTTTTGAGAGTTATTAACTTGAACGCTGCTGAATTTTATTGAAGACATTTTCTGCCTCTATTGAGATAATCGTGTGGTTTTTGTCATTGGTTCTGTTTATGTAATGGATTACATTTATTGATTTGCATAGGTTTAGCCAGGCTTGCATCCCAGGGATGAAGCCCACTTGATCATGGTGGATAAATTTTTGATGTGCTGCTGGGTTCGGTTTGCCAGAATTTTATTGAGGATTTTTGCATCAATGTTCATCAGGGATATTGGCCTGAAATTTTCTTTTTTTGTTATGTCTCTGCCAGGATTTCCTATCAGGATGATGCTAGCATAAAAATGAGTTATGGATAATTCCCTCTTTTTCTATTGTTTGGAATAGTTTCAAAAGAAATAGTACCAGCTCCTCTTTGTGCCTCTGGTAAAATTCTGCTGTGAATCCATTCCATCCTGAACTTCTTTTGGTTGGTAGGCTATTTCTTGGTGCTTCAATTTCAGAATTTGTAATTGGTCTATTCAGGGATTCAACTGCTTCCTGTTGGGAGGGTGTACATGTCCAGGAATTTATCCATTTCTTCTAGATTTTCTAGTTTATTTGCATAGAGGTGATTATAGTATTCTCTGATGGTATTTTCTATTTCTGTGGGATCATTGGTGATATCTTCTTTATCATTTTTTATTGCATCTATTTGATTCTTCTCTCTTTTCTTCTTTATTATTCTGGCTAGTGGTCTATATATTTTGTTGATCTCAAAAAAACTATTCATGGATTCATTTATTTTTTGAAGCAATACTTTATGTCTCTATCTCCTTCAGTTCTGCTCTGATCTTAGTTATTTCTTGCTTTCTGCTAGCTTTTGAAAATGTTTGCTCTTGCTTCTCTAGTTCTTTTAATTGTGATGTTAGGGTGTCAGTTTTAGATTTTTCCTGCTTTCTTTTGTGGGAATTTAGTGCTATAAATTTGCCTCTACACACTGCTTTAAATGTGTCCCAGAGATTCTGGTACTTTGTATCTTTGTTCTCATTTGTTTCAAAGGACATCTTGATTCCTACCTTCATTTCGTTATTTACCCAGTAGTGATTCAGGAGCAGGTTGTTCAGTTTCCATGTAGTTGTGTGGTTTTAAGTGAGTTTGTTAATCCTGAGTTTTAATTTGATTGCACTGTGGTCTGAGAGACTGATTGTTATGATTTCTATTCTTTGGATTTGCTGAGGAGTGTTTTACTTCCAATTATGTGATCAATTTTGGAATAAGTGCAATGTGGTGCTGAGAAGAATGTATATTCTGTTGATTTTGGGTGTAGAGTTCTGTAGATGTCTCTTATGTCCCCTTGGTCCAGAGCTGAGTCCTGGATATCCTTGTTAATTTTCTGTCTTGTTGATCTGTCTAATACTGACAGCGGGATGTTAAAGTCTCCCACTATTATTGTGTGGGAGTCTAAGTCTCTTTGTAGGTCTCTAAGAACTTGCTTTATGAGTCTGGGTGCTCCTGTATTGGATGCTTATTTATTTAGGATAGTTAGCTCTTGTTGCATTGATCTGTTTACATTTATGGAATGCCCTTCTTTGTCTTTTTGATCATTATTGGTTTAAAATCTGTCTTATCAGAGACTAGAAGTACAACCCCTGCTTTTTTTTTGGCTTTCCAGTTACTTTGTAAATATTCCTCTATCCCTTTATTTTGAGCACATCTTTGTCTTTGCATGTGAGACGTGTCTCTTGAATACAGTACACCTATGGATCTTGACTATTTATCCAATTTGTCATTCTGTGTCTTTTAATTGGGGTATTAGCCTGTTCACATTTAAGATTAGTATTATTATGTTTGAATTTGACTATTCCATTATGATGCTAGCTGGTTATTTTTCCTGTTAGTTTATGCAGTTTCTATGCATAGCGTCTATGGTCTTTACAATTTGGTATGTTTTTGCAGTGGCTGGTCCCGGTTGTTCCTTTCAATGTTTAGTGCTTCCTTCTGGACCTCTCATAGGGCAGGGCTGGGGGTGACAAGATCTCTCAGCATTTCTTTGTCTGTAAAGGATTTTATTTCTCCTTCACTTATGATGCTTAATTTGGCCAGATATGAATTTCTGGATTGAAAATTCTTTTCTTTATGAATGTTGAATATTGGCCACCACTCTCTTCTGGCTTGTAGGGTTTCTGCCATGAGATTCACTCTTAGTCTGAGAAGCTTCCCTTTTTGGGTAATCTGACCTTTCTCTCTGGCTACCCGTAACATTCTTTTCTTCATTTCAACCTTCATGTTTCTGATGATTATGTGTCTTAGGGTTGTCCTCGAGGAGTATCTTTGTGATGTTCTCAGTAATTTCTGAATTTGAATGTTGGCCTGCCTTGCTAGGGTGAGGAAGTTCTCCTGGATAATATCTTGAAGAGTGTTTTCCAACTTGGTTCCATTTTCCCCATCACTTTCAGGTGAACCCATCAAATGTAGATTTGGTCTTTTCGCATAGTCCCATACTTCCTGGAGGCTTTGTTTCTTTTCACTCTTTTTCTCTAATCCTGTTTTCTCACTTTATTTCATTGAGTTGATCTTCTATCTCTGATATCATTTCTCCTGGTTGATTGATTCTCCTATTGGTACTTGCATATGCTTCATGAAGTTTTCATGCTTTGTTTTTCAGCTCCATTAAGTCATTTATGTTCTTTACACTGGTTATTCTAGTTAGCAATTTGTCTAACTTTTTTGTTTTTCAAAGTCCTTAGCTTCCTTGCATTGTGTTAGAACATGCTCCTTTAGCTCGGGGAAGTTTGTTATTGCCCACCTTCTGAAGCCTACTTCTGTCAATTCATCAAACTCATTCTCCATCCACTTTTGTTCCTTTGCTGGTGAAAAGTTGTTATCCTTTGTAGAAGAAGAAGTATTTTGGAATGTTTGTGGAATTTTCAGCCTCTTTGCACTGGTTTCTCCCCATCTTCATGGATTTATCTACCTTTGGTCTTTGAGGTTGGTTACTTTTGGGTGGGGTCTCTGAATGTACTTCCTTTTTGTTGATGTTGATGCTATTCCTTTGTGTTTGTTAGTGTTCCTTCTAACAGCTAGGTCCCTCTACTTCATGTCTGCTGTAGTTTGCTGGAGGTCCACTGCAGACTGTTTGCCTGGGTATCACCAGTGGAGGCTGCCAACCAGCAAATATTGCTGCCTGTTCCTTCCTCTGGAGGCTTTGTTTCAGAGGGGCACCCAGCAGATGCTAGCCAGAGCTCTCCTGTATGAGGTGTCTTTTGGCCCCTAGTCAGAGGTGTTGCCCAGTCAGGATACACAGGGGTCAGGGACCCACTTTAGGAGGCAGTCTACACCTTATCAGAGCTCCAGCACTGTGCTGGTAGATCCACTGCTCGCTTTAGAGCTGCTCGGTAGGGACATTTAAGTCTGCTGAAGATGCATCCACAACCACTCCTTCCCTCAGGTGCGATGTCCCAGCGTGGTTGGGGTTTTATCTGTAAGTCCCTGACTGGGGCTTCTGCCTTTTTTTCAGAGATTCCCTGCCCAGAATGGAGGCAGTCTGGCCACAGTAGCCTTGCTGAGCTGGTGTGGGCTCTGCCCAGTTTAAACTTCCTGGCAACTGTGTTTACCCTGTGAGGGTGAATTGCCTCTACTCATGCCTCAGCAATGACAGATGGCCCTTCCTCGATGAAGCTCAAGCATCCCAGGTCAATTTCAGACTGCTGTGCTGGTGGTAGAATTTCAAGCCAGTGGATGTTTAGCTTCCTGGGCTCCATGGGAGTGGGAACCACTGAGCCAGTATACTTGACTCCCTGGCATCAGTCCCCTTTCCAGATGAGTGAACAGTCCTATCTCACTGGCATTCCCGGTGCCACTGGTGTATTAAAAAAACAAACAAAAAAAAAACCCAAAATACTCCTTCTGCTAGATTGGTGCCTGCCCTAATGGCTTCCCAGGCAGAAAACACTAAGACAAAAGATTCACAATACCACAGTTTCCTCTTATCCTAGGGGCTCCTCTCAAGTATATCAGAGTGTTGTTCATAAACCCCTTGCTGGGGATGCTGAAATTCCCAAACGAAGGCCCTTCCCAGGGAGAAGCAGTGAATTGGAATCCCACTTAAACAAGCAGTCTGACCATGAATTGTCCCAGCCACTGTGCTGTGGGTAATTGTTTCCTGTTTAAACCTCGCTAGCACTGGTGGCAGGGGAAAATGGCTGACTGGACATGCAGTGATGGTGGCCAACTCTGCCCTCCAGAAACTCAGCCTCTCCATGTCTGCATGAGTGGCCACACACAGGAGAAGCCTCTGTGAGTCTGTACAGCTCTATGCTTGAGACTGAAGGCCCTGGTGTGGGATCACGAGGGGACCTCCTAATATGTGGGTTGCAAGGAATCACAGAAAAAGTGTTGTTTTCAGGGATTAGTAGCACAATCACCACCACCTCCCTTGGCTGGGTGAGGGAGCTCCCTTAGCACCATGCAGCTCACAGGTGGGCCCTCTTTCCTGGGGGGAGATTTCCTGGAGGAAAAGAATGGCCACCATCACTTTGTCTCCAGTCAGCAATTTTCCAATCACAGTACCTAGCTTTAACATTATATTGTTGAAAGAGGTACTGAAGAGGTTGGACAGCTTTAAACTACTTACACTACCTCTCCTCCATCCTCCAGCAACAGTCACACTTCATGAAGGGAGAATCTGTACACTTTGGGAAAGGACCGCACAGTGACTGTGAATCTTGACATTGAATTCAGTGCTGCCTTGTCACAGCAGAAAGTAAGAGTAAGAGTGGCTGTGCTGCATTTGGAATAATTTATATTGACTGGGCTATTCCTATTGTATTAGGCTCAGCTGGTACCAACACACAGAGGAGAACATGCATCCACCCTAGCTAGACAGGGGTCACACACCACAGTGGTCAGAAATTGAGTTTTCTCTGCAGTCCTGATCACTGTGGGCTTAACTGCTCTGGAGTTATTGGTAAACTTGAAAGGCAGTTTTGGATACAAGGGCCACAATTTCTATCCAATTTCTAATGCTGGGCCAGGCTTACAGGCTATTTCTAAGTGGCACATGACTTAGGGAGACATCAGCTGCAGCATCTGAGTGACTGTATGTATCAATCCTCCCCCACACAAAGGCAGCACAGTCTAAAGAAATAAGTGACTCCTTTCTTTAGCTTGAGAAGAGCAAAGAATAAAGAACACATTGTGGGGAATCGGGCCAAGATTACCAACTAGAAGCAGTGATGATCAGAAGCTCCTATAAAAAAAACCACAATTAGCATGTGAATTCTGCACTAGCACCCAACGTATCCAGGTTCCCTAGGACTAAGCAGCTGGTGTGATCCACAGAGAGGAAGGAAGAGTAATGTAGTATGGGGGCAGAAGAGCCGTCATCCTCTAGCCAAGGGAGGTGGTGTGTGAGTGTGCTATCCACCTGGGGAACACTGTGCTTTTTCCACAGATCTGTACAACCCATGGATGGGAATATTCCAGTCATGAACCCATGACACTGGAGCCTAGGGTCCCTATCCTGCACCCTCACAGATTCCCAACAGCCTCTCTGCTAGAATCTACTTAAGTCTGCCAAGTTTGTGGGGGGAGGTGCCACCAGCACGACAGCTGTGGTTGCCTGCAGTCTAAGCTGTTTAAATTCTTTGAGGTGGGGCATCAGCCAGTACTGGGACTCATAACTGCCTAACATACTAAGCTTCCTGTGCAGGGGAAAGGGTGCATCTCTCTCTATAGCTCCAGGCCATGCTTTTCCCCTGCTGGAGCCAGGGAGGCTGAATGGTTTGGTTCTAAGAGGTGTCCCCCACAGCCCAAAACACTGATTCTATGGCTGACTGTGTCCAGAGAAACTTTTTAGGCCTGATCCTCACCCATCCTTTCTCATTGGGTAGGGCCTCCCTGCAGGAACCCCAACAATTCCAGCCAGGGCTCAGAGAAAGAACTCTGATCTCTCTGGGCCTGAGACCAAAGTGGGAGGGGTGGGCACAGTGTCTACAAATCAGCAGACTTAATTTTTCCTCTTGGTATTTCTAAGGAATCTTGTCAGCCCAGATGAGTACTTTCCCCCAAGCGAAGCACACCCCCTCCACAAAGAGAATCAAAGTGTTTTGTTAAATGGGTCCTGTTCCCCATGTCACCCAACTATGTGAGATCCTCCAACAGAGGTTGTCAGACACTCTATACAGAAGCAATCCTACTGGCATCAGGTTGGTGCCCCTTGAGGTTAGAAATCCCAGAAGGAGAAACAGACACCTATCTAGCCTTTTTTTCTTTAAGACGGCATCTCACTCTGTTGCCAGACTGGAGTGCAGTGGCACTATCTTGGCTCACTGCAACCTCCACCTCCCGGGTTCAAGTGATTCTTCTGCCTCAGCCTCCCAATTATCTGGGAGTACAGGCATGCAACACCACGCACAGCTAATTTTTGTACTTTTAGTAGAGATGGGGTTTTACCTTGTTGGCCAGAATGATCTCGATCTCTTGACCTCATGATCTGCCTGCCTTGCCTCCCAAAATGGTGGGATTACAGGTGTGAGCCATGGCACCCAGCCTCTCTCACCTTCTTGAGTGACATCTTCATGTGCAAGATTGAATCAAATGAATGGGGCCTGAAGCAAAACCCCAGGAAATCACAGAAGCCCTACAGAAGAGGGACCTGGCCATTTAAAGAAAAACAGACAAAGCAACAACAACATCAATGACAACAAAAGTCTCCACAAAAACCCCATTCAAAAGTCAGCAGCCTCGAAAATTAAAAGTAGACCAAGTCGTGAAAATGAGAGTCAATGAAAAAATCCTGAAAGCCTAAAAGCCAGAGTTCATCTTCTCCTCCAAATGATTGCAACACCTTTCCAGTAAGGATGCAGAACTGGACAGAGGATAAGATGGACCAATTGACAGAAGCAGCTTTCAGAAGATGGGTACTAAAAACTCTGCTGAGGTAAAGAAGCCTGTCCTAACCCAATGCAAAGCAGTTAAGAACCTTGATAAGAGGTTGGAAGAGCTGCTAACTGGGATAATCAGTTTAGAGAGGAACGTAAATAACCTGATGAATCTAAAAAATGCAGTATGAGAACCTCGTGAATCATACTCAAGTATCAATAGCTGAATCAACCAAGCAAAATAAAAGGTATCAGAATTTGAAGACCATCTTTCTGAAATAAGAAACACAGACAAGATTAGAGAAAAAAGAATGAAAAGGGATGAAGAAAGCCTCAAAGATGGACTACTTAAAAAGACTGAACCTATGATTGACTGGAGTATCTGAATGAGAAGGGGAGAATGGAAACCAGCTGGAAAACACACTTCGGAATATTATCCAGGAGAACTTCCCCAAACTAAAAAGACAGGCCAACATGCAAATTCAGGAGATATAGAAAACACCACTAAGATACTCCACAGTAATATCAACCCCAAGACACCTATTTATCAGATTCTCCAAGGTTGAAATAAAGGAAAAATATTAAGGGAAGATAGATAGAAAAGGCCATGTTACCTAGAAAGGGAAATCCATCAGACTAAACGCAGACTTCTCAGCAGAAATTCTACAAGCCAAAGAAGTTGGAAGCCAATATTAAACGTTCTTAAAAAAAATTCAACCATAATTTTCATATCCAGCTAAACTAAAATTCATAAACAAAGGAGAAATAAAATTCTTTCCAGACAAGCAAATGCCCTGAGATTTCATCACCACCAGGCCTGCCTTGCAAGAGCTGCTAAAGGAAACACTAAATATGGAAAGAAAAAGTGGTGTCAGGCACTGCAAAAACACACACAGGACATAAAGACCAATAACATTATAAAAAACTGCACCAACTAATGTGCAAAATAACAAGAGAGCATCACGATGGCAGTATCAAATTCACACATAACAATATTAACCTTAAATGTAAGTGGGCTATATGCCAAAATTGAAAGACACAGACTGGAATATTGGATAAAGAGTCAAGACCCATCAGGGTGCTGCTTCTAGGAGACACATCTCACGTACAAAGACACACATACTCTTAACACAAAGCGGTGGAGGAAAATTTGCGAGCCAATTGGAATCCAAAAAATGGAGGGGTTGCAATCCCAGTCTTTGTTGGTCTTTAAACCAACAAAGATCAAAAAAGACAAAAAAGGGCATAAAAATATGGTAAAGGGGTCAGTTCAACAGGAAGAATTAACTATCTTAAATATATATTCACCTAATACAAGAGCGCCCAGATTCATAAAACAAGTTTTGAGAGACCAACAAAGAAACTTAGATTCCACACAATAATAATGGGAGACTTTGCCACCCCACTGTGAATATTAGGCAGATCAAGGAGGCAGAAAATTAAAAATAATCAGGATTGAACTCAGCTCTGGCTCAAGTGGACCTAATTGACATCTACAGAACTCTCCACATCACATCTACAAAATATACATTCTACTCAGTGCCACAAAACACTTATCCTAAAATTGACCACATAATTGGAAATAAAACACTCCTCAGCAAATACAAAATAACTGAAATAATAACAAACCATCTCTCATACCACAGTGGAATCAAATTAGAACTCAGGATTAAGAAACTCACTCAAAATCACACAATTAGATGAAAATTAAACAACCTCCTCCTGAGTGACTTGTGGGTGAATAATAAAATTACAAAATTAAAGCAGAAATCAAGATGTTCTTCAAAACCAATATGAACAAAGAAACAGCATACCAGAATCTTTGGAACACAGCTAAAACAGTGGTAAGAGAGAAATTTATAGCACTAACTCCCACATCAGAAAGCTAGGAAGATCTCAAATTGACACCCTAACATCACAATTAAAAGAGCGAGAGAGGCAAGAGTAAATGAATCCAAAAACTAGTAGAAGACAAGAAATAACACAATAAAAAAATGATCAGGGGGATATTATCACTTACCTCAGAGAAATACAACCATTTTTTACTTCATTTTCATCACAGAATACTAAAACCACCTTTACACAAATAAACTAGGGAATCTAGTAGAAATGGATAATTTCTAGTAGAAATGGATAAATTCCTGAACACATACACCCTCCCAAGTCTAAACCAGGAGGAAGTAGAAGCCCTCCATATACCAATAACAAGTTATGAAATTGAGTCAGGATTTAATAGATTACCAAAAAAAAACAACCCCAGGACCAAATGTGTTCACAGCTGGATTGTACCAGAGGTACAAAGAGGAGTTGGTACCATTATTTTCTGAAACCATTTCAAACAATTGAATATGAGAGACTCCTCCATTACTCATTTTATGAAGCCAGCATTATCCTGATATCAAAACCTGGCAGAGACACGACAAAAAAAAAAAGAAAATTTCGGGCCAAAACATCTTATGAACATCGATCCTCAACTAAATATCCTCAACTAAATATTGACAAACAGAATCCAGCAGCATATCCAAAAACTTATCCACCATGACCACACTAGCTTTATCCTAGGATGCATGGCTGGTTCCACATACAGAAATCAATAAATACAATCCATCATATAAACAGAAACAAAGACAAAAATCATATGATTTTCTCAATAGATGCAGAAAAATTCTTTGATAAAATTAAATATCCCTTCATGTGAAAAAACCTCAATAAACTAGGCAGTGATGAAACATATCTCAAATAATAAGAGCTAGTTATGACAATCTCATAACTAGCCAATATCATAATGAATGGGCAAAAGCTGAAAGTATTTCCTTTGCAAACTGGTAAAACACAACGATGCCCTCTCTCACCACTCCTATTTAATATAGTATTGGAAGTTCTGGCCAGGGCGATCAGGTAAAAGAGAGAGAGAGAAAAAAGATGTATTGAAATAGGAAGAGAGGAAGTCAAATTTTCTGTTTGCAGATGACATAATTATATATTTAGAAAACCCCATCGTTTCAACCTCAAAACTCCTAGGTGATAAGCAACTTCAGCAAAGTCTCAGGATACAGAATCAATGTGCCAAAATTGTAAGCATTCCTTTACACTGAGAAGAGACAACCAGAGAGCCAAATAGTAAATGAACAATTGTTACAAAGAGAATAAAATACCTAGGAATGCAGCTAACAAGGGATGTGAAGAGCCTCTTCAACTACAAACCACTGCTCAGGGAAATAAGAGATGACAAAAACAAATGGAAAAACATTTCATCCTCATGGATAGGTAGAATTAATATTGTGAAAATAGCCATATTGCTCAAAGTAATTTATATATTCAATGCTATTCCCATCAAGTTACTATTTATATTCTTCACAGAATTATTTAAAAAACTTTACATTTTATATGAAAACAAAGAAGACCCTGTATAGACTATCATCCTAAGCAAAAAATAAGAAAGTTGGAGGCATATCATTACCTGACTTCAAACTATACTACAAGACTACAGTAACACAAACACCATAGTACTGGTACAAAAACAGACATATAGACCAAGGAACAAAACAGAGACCTCAGAAATAACACCACATGTTTACATCCATCTCATATTTGACAAACCTGACAAAAACAGGTAATAGGTAAAGGATTCCGTATTCAATAAATGATGCTGGGAGAAATGGCTAGCCACATGCAGCAAACTGAAACTGGAACCCTTCCTTACACCTTACACAAAAATTAAGTCAAGATGAATTAAAAATTTAAATGTAAGACATAGGAACGGGCAAAGACTTAATTACAAAAATGCCAAAAACAATTGCAACAAAAGCCAAAAGTGACAAATGGGATCTAATTAACTAAAGAGCTTCTGTTTACTCTATCACTAGAGTAAACAGGCAACCTATGGAATGAGAGAAATTATTTGCAATGTATTTAGCTGACAAACAAACAACATCCAGAATCTACAAGGAACTTGAATAAATTTACAAAAAAAGATAACCCCATCAAAATGTGAGCAGTAGATATGAAGAGACACTTCTGAAAAGAAGACATTTACACAGCCAAAAAACATATGAAAAAAAGCTCAACATTTCTAATTATTAGGGAAATGTAAATCAAAACATGAGATACCATCTCATGTCAGTCAGAATGGTGATCACCAAAGAGTCAAGAAATAATAGATGCTGGTGAGGCCATGGAAAAATAGGAATACCTTCACATGGTTGGTGGGAATGTAAATTAGTTCAAGCATTGTGGAAGACAGTTGGGTAATTCCTCAAGGATCTAGAACCAGAAATATGACCTATCAATCTCATTACTGAATATATACCCAAAGGAATATAAATTATTCCACTATAAAGACACATGCACATGTATGTTTACTGCATCATTAGTCACAACAGCAAAGTCATGGAACCAAACCAAATGTCCATCAATGACAAAGTAGATAAAGAAAATGTGGTACATATACACCATGGAATACTATGCAGCCATAAAAAGGAATTAGATCATGTCTTTTGCAGGACCAGAAAATCAAACCCCAGATGTTTTCACTTATAAGTAGGAGTTGAACAATGAAAATGCATGGACACATGGAGGGGAATAACACACACCAGGGCCACCTGGGGTGTGGTGGGTGAGGAGAGAAAATTAGAGGGTAGGTCAATAAGTTCAGCAAACCATCATGGCACACATATACCTATGTAAGAAACCTTCACATTCTGCACATGTATCCAGGAACTTAATAAAAACAAACTAATAACAACAAAAAATAACAATAAAAAAACACATTGTCTCATATTTTGGATACCAGATCAGTGACAACAGAATAGGGCACTGGGAAGAGTTGTGAGGCAGATTTTCCAGGCCATAGCTTCCAGATGACATTTTTCAATACATTCTAGAACAGGAGAAAACCAGTTACCTTGAAGGGAAACACCCACTCTTGGCAGAATTTATCACCTGCTGACTAAAGAGTTCTTGGGCCCTGACAGCAATATCCCAGTAGTGTGTCAGGGGCTTAGGAGAGACTCTAAAACTTACTGGCATCAGGTGAGACTCAGCACATTTTCAACTGTGGTAGATATGGCAAAAGACTCCTTCTCCTTGAAGAAAGCAGAAGGAACAATAAAGGGGGTTTTGTTTTGAACCTTAGATACTAGCTTAACCACAGCAGTTTGTGGCATGAGTGTCCTCATGACATAACCCGGGCTCTTGAACAGTGTTTGGAGACCATTCCTGGTTCAGAGAGGAGCCCACTTCCTTGAAGGGTGAGTCCCAGGCTTGGCAGCATTCATCACAGCTGAGTAAAAAGATCTTGAGCTTTAAGTGACTATTGGTTAGTGGCCTGGAAGAACATTTATAGGCTGTGGTCTTGGTGTTCACAGGAAGACACTGCTCTGCCTGTATAAAAGGGATAAAGGAATGGGAAAAGGTTTGCCTTGTGGTTTTAGTGTCAGCTGAGTTACAATAGAGTAAAATATCATATAGATTTAAGATTTTTACTCTAATTGCTTCCAGAAAACTTCTCTGAAGCCACTTAGGGCCTTGGGGAATTTACTACCCTAAAGGGAAAAACTTACATACCTAGCTGGATTAGCCGTATGCTGATTGTGGAGTACTAGTGCCTTAAGTGACCCTAAATGTTAGCCAGGTAATGGTTAGAGTGGGCCTTTGGTAAAAACCACTGCTGTGCTGGCTTCAAAGCTGACACATTGCAATCAAAATAGTGGATGACCACAGCTGCAGTTGTGTTAACCCCAGCTGCTGGCAGCTTAGCACTAAGAAAAACTCAGTTTGTTTGAGAAAAAGTAAAAAAGATAACAAGAGTCTCTGCCTCATAATCTAGAGAACTCTTTCATATCTTATCTAAAACTACCAAGGTGTTACTTTCATGAGTCTACAAGATCCACAGCATTCTTGGGCTTGGGGTTCAAGTCCTTGAATACTTGGAAAGCCTTCCTAAGAAAGACAAACACAAACAAGCCCATATTGCAGAGACTACAGGAAATAGTTAGCTATTAAGACACTAAACATCCCTATGCATCAAGACCATCTAGGAAACATGATCTCATGAATAAACTAAATAAAGTTCCAGGAACCAATCCTGGAAAAACAGAGATTTGAGACCTTTCAGACAGAGAATTCAAAATATCTCTTCTAAGCAATTGCAAATAAACCCAGGATAACAAGGAGAAGGATTACAGAATTCTATTAGATAAATTTAAATAAGAGAATAAAGTGATAAAAAGAAAAGCAGAAATTCTAGAGTTGATAAATGCAATTAATATGCTGAAGAATGCATCAGAGTCTACTAACAATAGAATTGATACAACAGAAAAGAGAATTAGTAAACTTGAAGATAGGCTATTTGAGAATACACAGTCACATAAGACAAAAAGAAGAAAAAAACAAGGAAGCATGCCTACAGGATCTAGAAAATGGCCTCAAAAGACAAATCTAAAGTTATTGGTCTTAAACAGGAAGTAGACAAAGAAATATGCATAGAAAATTTATTCAAAGGAAAAATAGGGAGCTTTCCAAACCCAGAGCAAGATATTAGTATCTAAGTAAAAGCAGGTAATGGAACACGAAGCAGATTTAACTCCAAAAAGACAACATCATGGAATTTAGTAATCAAACTTCCAAAGGACTAAAATTACAAGAAAAATTCTAAAGACAGCAAGAAAAAAGAAAGAAATTGCACAAGATGAAACTCCATATATCTGTTGGCAGTCTTTTCACTGGAAATCTTGCAGACCAGGAAAAAGAGAAATGACATAGTCATAGTGCAGAAAAAAAATTAACTTCTTACTCTACAAATAGCGTATCCAGTGAAAATGTCTTCTGAGCAGGGAGAAACAGACTTTTCCAAACAAACAGAAGCTGAGGAATAACATCAAAACAACATGTATCTTAAAAGAAACATTACAGTGAGACGATTAACCTGGAAAAGGGAATATTATTGAACAATAGGACATCACAAAAGTGAAGAAAATTTACCTGTAATAATAAGTACACAGGAAAAACACAATAGATTATCATATAACTGGGCAAATTTAATGTGTAAACCTCTATTTAAAAGTGAAGAAAAATATTAAGATGTACAGTTTACCAGTTTTTTCTGGGGGGCTTTTTTTAAAATAAAATCAGTGTTAACTTGTCATCATTTTCATGTAAAAAATATAGTACTTGTAAGCCTGTTGGTAACTTCAAATTGAAAAACATAGAGTGAGTAACAAGAAAAATAAAATGCAGGAAACTAAATCATTATCATCAGTCTTACTTAAGAGAAGACAGAAATGAAGACAAGAAGAGAAGACCATAAATCAACCAGAAAACAAATAAGAAAATGTCAAGAATAAGTTATTACTTATTAACAAAAACAGTGAATATTAATGGATTAACTCGTCAATCAAAAAAAAAAAAAGAGAGAGAGAGTGACTGCATAGATCTAAAGAAGAAGACCCAATGATCTGTTGCCTGCAAGAAACACACACATAGTATTGGAAGTTCTGGCCAGGACAATCACACAAGAGAAAAAAATAAGAGGTATTCAAGTAGGAAGACAGAAAGACAAATTGATTTTATTTTCAGATGACATAATCCAATATCTAGAAAATCCCACTATCACAGTTCCAAAGCTTCTAAAGCTGACAAGCAACTTCAGCAATGTATCAGAATAAAATATCAATGTGCAAAAATTGCGAGCATTCCAACACACCAACAGGCAAGTAGACAACCAAATTATGAATGAATTTCCATTTACAGTTGCTGCAAAAGAGATAAAATGTCTACAAATATAGCTAAACCAGGAAGCAAAGGAACTCTTAAAGATAATTACAAATCTCTGCTCAAGGAAATCAGAGAAAACACAAACCAATGGAAAAATATTCCATGTTCATGAATAAAAAGAAACAATGTCACGAAAATGGCCATACTGTCCAAAGTAATGTGTATAACAAATGTCATTCCCATTAAATTACCATTGATATTTTTACAGCATTAAAATAAAAACTATATTAAAATTCATATGAAACAAAAAAAAGCTCATATTGCCAAGACTATCCTAAACAAAAAGAACAAAGCTGGAGGCATTACGCTTACCAACTTCAAACTATACTACAATGCTACAGTAACCAAAACAGCCTGGTACTACTACAAAAACAGACACATAAATCAATAGAACCAGAATAGAGAACTCAGAAATAAGACCATACATCTACAACAATTTGATCTTCAACAAACCTAATAAAAACATCATTCAATGGGGAAAAATTTTCTCTTCAGTAAATGTTGATGAGAAAACTCACTAGCCATATGCAGAAAAATGAAACTGGACCCCTGTCTTATACATTATACAAAAATTAATAGAAGATGCATTAAAGATGCATATGTAAAATCCCAAAATATAAAAACTCTAGAAAAAAATCTAGGCAATATTATTGAGGACATAAGCATAGGTAATTATTTCACAACAAAAATATCAGAAGCAATTGCAACAATAGAAATAATTGACAAAGGAGATCTAATTGAACTAAATTTTTTTTTACAATAAAAGAAACTATCATCAGAAAAAATGAGAAAGAGTAAGTTTTTACAATTTATTAATCTGACTGAGGTCTAATGTCCAGACTCTGGAAGAAACTTAAGAAATTTACAAGGAAGAAAATAAACATTCCTGTTAAAAAGTGGGCAAAGGAAATAAGCATACACTTCTCAAAAGAAAATATTTATGTAGCCACCAAACATATTTAAAAAACTCAACATCACTGAATATTAGAGAAATGCAAATCAAAACCACAGTAAGATACAATTTCACACCAGTCAGAATGGCAATTATTAAAAAGTCTGGAAGCAACAGATGCTGGAGAAGCTGTGGATAAACTGGAATGTTTTTAAAGTGACAGTGGGAAAGAAAATTAGTTTAACCATTGTGGAAGATAATGTGGAAATTCCTCAAAGATCTAGAACCAGAAATACCATTTGATTCAGCAATCCCATTAGTGGGTACATACCTAAAGGAGTTTAAATCATCCTATTATAAAGATACATATATGTGTATGTTTGTTGTGGCACTATTTACAATAGCAAAGACTTGGAACGAATTTAGATGCTCATCAAAGATAGACTGGATAAAGAAAATGTGGCAAACAAATGCCATGGAATACTAGGCATCCATAAAAAAGAATGAGTTCATGTCCCTTGCAGGGACATGGATGAAGCTGGAAACCATCAGTCTCAGCAAACTAACACAGGAAGAGAAAACCAAACACTTCATGTTCTCACTCATAAGTGGGAGTTGAACAGTGAGAATATATGGGCACAGGGAGGGGAGCATCATACACCAGGTCCTGTCAGGTGTTTGGGGGACAAGGGGAGGGATACTATTAGGAGAAATACCTAAAGTAGATGATGGGTTGATGCGTGCAGGTAACCACCATGGCAAATGTATACCTATGTAACAAAACTTAATGTTCTGCACATGTATGTCAGAACTTAAAGTGAAATTTAAATAAAAAGAAAGAAAGAAAGATAGATAGATCAGTATATCAAAGAGATATTTGCATTTTTATGTTTGTTACAACACTGTTCACAAGAGCTATGATTTGAAAGCCACCTAAAGTGTCCATCAACAGATGAATGGATAAGGAAAATGTGGCACATATACACAATGGAATACAGTGTAGCCATAGGAAAAATATTCTGTCATTTGGAACAACACAGAAAGAGCTAGAGGTCATTATGTTAAGTGAAAAGAGCCAGGTACAGAGGACATACTGCATGTTCTCACTTTTTTTGTGGAAGCTAAAAATTAAAACAATTTAATAATTTATGGCAGTAAAGTAGAAGCATGGGTACTTGAGGCTGGTGAAGATGGTGGGATATTTGGGGGGTTAGTAAGTGGGAACAAAATGTAGTTAGAGAAAATCAATTAGATCTAGTATATGATGGCACATCAGGATGACTATAATCTGTAATGAAATAACTGTAACTTTTAAAAAAACTAAAAGTAAATTGTTTTTTTTTTTTGGAATACAAAGGATAAATGCCTGAAGAGACTGATACCTCATTTACTTTGATTTCATTATTATATATTTTATGTCTGTATTAATGCAGCTCATGTAATCTATAGATGCACCTCCTGTTGACTCACAATTATAAATAAAAAATTAAAAATATATAGTACTAATTTTTCTGTATTCATTTTGTATCCTGCACCCTTTCTAAAATTTTTCATGCATTCTAGTTTTTTTTGCAGTTTATTATATTTTTGTAAATATAAAATGTTATCTGCAGATAAGCATAATTTGACTATTTGATTTTGACTTTAGGTACTCTTTATTTCTCTTGTTTACCTATGCTGCCTAAGACTTCCAATATTATGTTGAATAAAAGCGGTAAAAATTGTTATTCTTGTCTCATTTCATAACTTAGGCAAATGATTTTTATGTTTTTCTTTTTTCAATATGATGATAGCTATGAATTAGTCTAATACAGCCTTTAATAAAGTTTTTTGAGATATTTTCTGTTTATTTCTAGTTTGTTGAGAGTTTTTACTGTTAAGAATTGTTGAATTTTATGGAATACTTTACTGGCATCTATTGAATTCATTATATGCTTATTGTCTTTTGTTCTGTTAATCTGATACATTACAATTATTTATTTCTGTATGTTGAACCATCTAGGCATTTTGTGAATAAAAACTTCTTGGCTATACTACTTTCATTGTGTTGTTGAATTCAGTTTTTTGTTACCTGTTAAAAAATTTGGGGAGGATATTTGCATTTATGTTTGTCAAAGGTATTGATCTACATTTTTGTTTTGTTTTAGAGTTTGTTGTATGTTACCTGCCTTATCTATCACCATTAATGATGGCCTTGTAGAAAGAGCTTGGAAGTATTCTTTTTTCCTTAAATTTTTAGAATAGTCTGAATATCATTCATATTAGTTACTCACTCAATATTTGGTATTAATAAAATTTATCTGTAAAGACATCTCATTCTGGAATTTTCTTTTATGAGACATTTTATTAATGTTTCTATTTTATTATTAGTTATGAGTCTATTCGAATTTTCTATTTTTTTAACTTTTATTTTGGGTTTGGATGTACATGTGCAGATTTGTTATATAGAAAAACTCATGTCATACAGGTTTGTTGCACTGATTATTTGGTCACCAAAGTACTAAGCCTCGTACCCAAAAGTTATTTTTTTCTTGTCCTCTCTGTCTTCTCAACTTCCACCCTCAAGAAGGTACCAGTGTTTGTTGTTCCCTTCTTTGTTTTCATGATTTCTGATTATTCAGCTTCCACTTGTAAGTCAGAACATTTGGTATTCAATTTTATGAATACCACATGTATTTGTTTGCTCTCCATTTGTTTGCTAAGAATAATGGAATCCAGCACCATCTATGGTTTCACAAAAATCCTGATCTTATTCTTATAATAACTGCATAGTATTTCATGGTGGATACATATCATGTTTTCTTTATGCATTCTGTCATTGATGGGCATTTATGTTGATTCCATGTATTTGCTATTGTGAATAATGCTGCAATGAACACTTGTGTGCATGTGTCTTTATGGCATGACAGTTTGGATTCATCTGTTCATATACCCAGTAATGAGATTGCTGAGTTGAGTAATAGCTCCACTTTTAGCTCTTTGAGAAATCTTTCCACTAGTTTACACTCTCACTAATAGTCTGTAGGTGTTCCCTTTTCTCTGCAAACTTGCCAGTGGTCTGTTATTTTTGAACTTTTTAATAACAGCCACTCGGGCTGGTCTAAGATAGTATTTCAATGTGGTTTTAATTTACGTCTCTAATGATCAGTGATATTGAGCTTTTAAAAATATGCTTATGGGCTGCAGGTATATTTTCCTCTCCCTTCTCCTTTGCTCCCCACACTTCCTCTCCACTTCTTTTCTTTCATGTATTTTTTTCTTAAACATGTTCTCACTGTCTCACCTTTGTTGCAGGACAGTGATATGATATTGGCTTACTGCAACCTCTACCTTCTAGGCTCAAGCAGTTTTCCTATGTCAGCCTCCCTAGTAGTTGGGGCTTACAGGCATGCATCACCACATGTAGTTAATTTTCCCCCCATAGAGATGGAATTTCACGCTTGTTTTTCATGATGGTCTCAAACTCCTGGGCTCATTCAATCAACCCACTTCCACGTCCCCATGCCGGGATTACAAGCATGAGCCACTTCACCAAGCCAGGTATGTTTTCTTTAGAAAAGTATCTGTTCATGTTCTTTGACTACTATTTAATAGATTTGTTTGTCTTTTTCTTGTAAATGTGTTTAAATTCCTTGTTGATTATAGATACTAGACCTTTGTCAGATGCATAATTTGCAAAAATTTTGTCTCTTTTTTAGGTTGTGTGTTTACTTATTTGACAGTTTCTTTTTTGGTATGCAGAAGCTCTTTAGTTGAATCTTATTGTCAATTTTTGCTTCCATTGCAATTGCTTTTGACAATATGATTGTATATCTAAAACTTCATAATCTTAGTCTAGAAGCTTTTGCATGTGATAAACAACTTCAGTAAATTTTCAGGATACAAAATCAATCACAAAAATTATGAGCTTAACTATACATTAACAGCAGCCAAGCTGACAGCCAAATTAGAAATACAATCCCATTCACACTTTCCACAAAGGGAATAAAATACCAAGGAATACAGCTAACCCAGGAAGTAAAATATCTTTACACTGAGACTTACAAAACATTGTTCTATGAAATCAGAGATAAAACCAACAAATGGTAAAGGATTTCATGCTCAGGGATAGAATTAATATTATTAAAATGCCCATTCTGCCCAAAGCAATTTATATATCCAATCCTATTTCTACCAAACTACCAAATGACATTCTTCATAGAACTTAAAAAAATAACTAATTTAAAATTTATACACAACCAAAAGTACATTTTCATAGCCAAGGAAATCCTAAGCAAAAGCAAAAAGGCTGGAGGGATCATGCTACTCAACTTCATACAGTTACCAAGATAGCATGGTACTGGTACGAAACCAGACACACCAACCTAAGGAACAAAATAGAGACCACAGAAGTAAGCCCAGACAACTACAACAATCTGATTATTGACAGAGCTGACAAAAAAAAAAAAAATGAAGAAAGGACTCCTTATTCAACAAAAGGTGCTGAAATAACTGGCTAGCCAATAAAAATGATTGAAACTAGACTCCTTCTTTATATCACATACAAAAATCAGCTAGACAGATTAAAGACTTATATAAAACCCCAAACTATAAAACTCAGCAACACAATCTAGACAATGCCATCCTAAACATAAGAAGGGGGAAAAATATGACAAAGTGTTTCTATTCCTTCATGGTTCAACATTGGTAAAGTGTGTATTTCTTGAAACTTATGTATTTCTTCTAGATTTTTCCACTAAATGGCATATAGTTAGTATGAATCAATTTTTTTTGAATTTCTGTAGTATCAACCTTAACATCTTTTTTTACTATGATATTTTTTCTGGCTTTTGCTTAGTTCACTTAAAGTTTTGCCAATTTTAATTTTCTTTTCAGAAACCAAGTTTTTATTTCATTTGTCATTTGCATTTTTTACTTTCATTAATTTATCTTCTGATTATTACCATTTAATTTTTTATCCAAATTTTTGTTTAATTTGCTTTTTATTTTTTAGTTATTTTAGACGTATTTTTAAGCTATTTCTTTGAAGACTTTCCACTTTTAAAATTTAGAAGTTTGTTGCTATAAACTTTTCTCTTACTACTGCTTTCACTGTATTCCCATTAGTTTTGATATGTTGTATTTTAATTTTCATTGGTCTTAAACAATTTTTAAACTTTCTTAAAGATCCAATTGTCATTCAGAAGCAAGTTTTGAAATTTCCGTTTGTTTTTGTAATTTGCAAAGTTTTTCTTGTTTATAATTTTTAGTTTTCATTGTGATTAGAAAAGATGGTTGATATAATTTTAGTGATTTTTAAATTTTTGGACTTGCTTCATGTAATGACCTATAATTTCTTTTTAAAAGAATTGCTGAAGAGGTATATTAGCTCATTCTCATGTTGCTATAAGAAGTATCTTAGACTGAAAAATTTATAAAGAGGTGTAATTACACAGTTACACAGGGCATATAGGAGGCATGGCTGGGCAGGTCTCAGGTAACTTACAAACATGACTGAAGGTAAAAAGCAAACAGGTACAATGTTCACAAGGCAAAGCAGGAGAAAGATAAAGTGAAGTCAAAGGTGCTACACACTTTCAATCAAGGAGATCGTCTGAGAACTATCATGAGATCAACAAGGGGAAAGTCCACCCCCATGAGCCAGTCACCTCTTCCCAGGTCCCTTTCCCAACACTGGGGATTAAAATTTGACATCAGATTTTGGTAGGCACATAGAGCCAAATTATATTATTTCAACCTGGCCCTTCTTAAATCTCATGTCCTTCTTACATTTCAATACACATTCATGCCTTCCCAACAGTGCCCCAAAGTCTTAACTCATTTCAGTATTAACCCAAAAGTTCAACTCCAAAGTCTTATCTGAGGCCAAGCAAATCCCTTCTGTCTATGAGCCTATAAAATAACATAAATAAATAGTTATTTCAAAGATACAATCATGGTACAGGCATTGGGTAAATGCTCCTATTCCAAAAGACACAAATTAACCAAAACAAAAAGCTACAGGCCCCTTGCAGTCTGAAAACTGGCAGGACAGACTCTAAATTTTAATGTTCCAGAGTAAACTTCTTTCACTTTATGTCTCACATCTGGCTACATTGACACAAGGGGTGGATCTCAAGGTATAGTCACCACTGCTATTTAACAGGCTGGCATTGTGTCCTTACAGTTTTCTCAAGTTGCATGCTCTCAGTGGAACTTCAATTCGGGGGCCTGGGTGATGATGACCCTTTCTTTATAACTTCACTAGGCAGTGCTCTAGTAAGTCCTCTGTGCGAGGCATCCAACCCCACATTTCCCCTACAGAATGTGCTAGTAGAGGTCCTCCGTGTGGGCGCTGCCTTGCAGCAGACTTCTGTATGGATATTCAGGCATTTCTTTACAGTCTCTCAAACCTAGTTGAGGCTCCCAATCTCAACTCTTGCCTTCTGCACACCTGCAGGCCCGACACTATGGGGACACTGTAAAGGTTCTAGGCTTTCACATGCTGAAGCAAAGGCCCAAACTGTACCATGACCCATTTTATTTATAGCTGGAGCTGCAGCAGAGGGGAAACAGCATCATGTCCCAAGGCTGGACAGGATTGCAAAGCCTGGGACATGGAAAGTTCTCTGTCATTTCTTTGAATATATTTTTACCCTGATATCTTTCTAGACCTCCTCTTTAAATCCACTAAATAAATTTTTCCATTTTGTAGTTATTTTATAAGTCTTACATATGTACCTGATTTTTTCTTATTTTCTTTTATGGTGTATTTTCATATAGCATGTCTTCAACCTCACTAGTATGTTTTCTTTTTCTGCCTACTTAACTCTGCCATTGAGACACTCTGACACAATTCTTACTCAAGATCAATTTTCAGCTCCAGAATTCTTGCTTAATTTTTCAATTTAAATCTTTGTTTAATTTTTTGAATAGAGTTCTGAATTCCTTCTCTGTTTCACTGAAATTCATTGAGATTTTTTGTTTTTTTAAACAGCCATTTGGTTTTATTGTCATAGTGGTCACATATATCCATCCCTTCAGGATTGGTTCCCAGTGTCTTATTTAGCCTATTTGGTGAGATCATATGTTCCTGGATGTTGTTGATGCTTATGGAGATTTATTGATGTCTGTACATGAAGGAGTTGGGTATTTTTTCTAATACTTGCAGTCTAATCTTGTCTATATTAATATGTGTTGAGTGAGATTTTCAAAGAAATGAAAAGAAGAGTGCAAAGATGGCTGACTAGAAGTAGCTAAAGTGCATTGCCCTCACAGAGAAGAGACAGAATGGTAAGAAAATACTAGCTCTTCAGGACATGTTGGGATTTACTAATGAAGTGATGTAATTCTTGGAGAATAGAGTAGAATAAGAGAGGAGAGCCACCTTCCCAGGACTGGTATTGAGCCAAGGGAGGAACTCCACCATGAAAAAATGCTGAGTGGGAGCTTCCAGAAACCTGTATTTCTTCTATTAACCTTTGCAACCCAGGGCACAAGAGATCACTGCATCATATTCTCCCTCTGGAACCTCCTGACTGACATGGCCTTGGGACACTGAGCATTCAGTGCCAGTGGCTTTAGCTTTGCCAACAAGAGAGGACATGCTCTCTCATGTGCTCACAGGAGGGGGTCCAAATCTATAGTTCTGAGGAGTGGATGGACTATAGGCTTCATTACCCTTACCCTTTGCCCGGGAAAGCCCACTGGCCAGGGACTTTTCCATAGCCACCACAGCCCCACCCAAACACTTTGGCCAATAGTACCATTATGCCTTTCTTTGAGTTGGAGCTACGAGATGTAAAAGGGAGGCCTAACATTCTTCCTGAAGCTACAGCCTCTATAGCTCTCATGATTTAAAGGAAGTGAAGAGTTCAAGGACTATTATGAGCCTTCAGCAAAATGCAGCTGCCTTATGGAAAATGGGCTGTATTGTTTCCCATACAGGTCCCTGATCCTACCATTCTTCACTAGGTGGGGCCTTCTAAACTGTGTCCCAAACACAGTCATCCCACTCTTACCTGAGTTTTCAGGGTAGCAGCATATTTGTGTTCTCCTGGTATAAAGCACCAAGTGGTAACAGGCAGGCTTGCTATTGTTGCCACTCCATGGCCCCCACTCTTATTGCCCTTTATTCAGGAGAAAGCAAAGAGGTTAGAGACTATCATGGGCCTCCTGCATGGTGCAGCCTGCATTATAGAAAAGGAGCCAGACAGTTTCCTATGTGGGTCTATGCTCTTGTAACTTCTTACTGGACAAGACCTTTCAACCTGTACCTCTAGTACAGATACCCTGTCCCAATTTTATCACTTTAGTTAGTGGTAGCTCTGCATTTCTCTGGAAAAAAAAAATCTCAGAGACAACATGCAGTTCCATTGCCATTACAGCTGCAGTAATACTATCCTTATTGCCCTTGGGATGAGGAGAAAACAAGGAATCTGACCACTGTTTAGGCACCTCCAGCGTGTCACAGCTGCCATATAGAGCAAAGCTCAGGCTCTTTATTCCGTGAGCTTCCACTCATACTCTTCATCAGACAGATCCCCAGGCACTTCCACAGTGTAGCTGTCCCAACCCTGGTTGAATATTCTCACTGGGAGAAGGTCTGTGTTTATCTAGTGTGGAGCTTCAAGAGGAAACTGGCAGCTCCTCTGCCACTGCCACTGCAGTGGTACTCCCTTGCTACCATAGGCCTGGGGAAGGAACAGAGACCTTGAGTGTTTTTCATGTACCTCCAGAACACTACAGTTAAAAAAATGAAGTAGAGCCCAGTTTCTCATTTCTGCAAGCCCCCAACCCCTTCTCTTTCCCAGCCAGGACTCTCAACTTCAGCCCATAGTGCAGCTGCCACAATCCCACCTACATCTCCATGGATAATAGCTCTAATTTCTTTGGGGTGAAACTCCTGAAAGCAATTAAAGTCCTCTTGACCACTGCAGCAGTCCTGCCCATGCTACCCTTCAAACTGAAATAGAATAAAGATCCTGACCGCTTTGTTCACACATCAACCAAGCCACAGCAACCCAATGGAGAAGAGGCTAATCTGTCTTCCCTATGAGCCTCCAACCTCCTTGCTAATCACCAGGCAAGACCCCATAGCTCAGGGCCAAAACACAATCTCCTCCCGAGTTGATCATTTTGATTGGCAGTGTTCTGTGTTTCTCTGGCATGGAGTGACAAAAGACAAGTGAAAATTCCTCAGCCACTGCTACTATCAAGGTCCATGACCCTATTTCTCTCAAGCTAAAGGGGGAAGAAAAAAGCCTGAGGTCACCTAAAGGCTGTGTTGCACATCCCAGGAGTGCCAAGCCAAGATCTGCAGTCAGCATGTAATATTGTTTGGCTCTGTGTCCCCACCCAAATCTCCCCTTGAATTGTAATAATCCCCATGTGTCAAGAGTGGGACTAGGTGGATATAATTGAATCTTGGTGTGGTTTTCCCCATACCATTCTCATGAGAGTCAGTGAGTTCTTGCAAGATCTAATGGTTTTATAAGGAGTTTCCCATTTGCTTGATTCTCTTTCTCCCTCTTGCCTGCCATCATGTAAGATGTGTCTTTACTTCTCCTTGGCCATCTGCCATGATTGTGAGGCCTGCCAGCCATTTGAAACTGTGAGTCCATTAAAACTCTTTTTCTTTATAAAGTACTCAGTTTCAGGCATATCTTCATTAGCAGGATGATAACAGACTAATACAGCATGTGAGTGGGAGGGAAGCCCTCATTCTCAGATGACCAGGAGGAAACATAACTGTAAATGTGATGAAATACATAGGTGCTTCATGGATGAGAAAGAGCCTACCTCTCAGTCATTATAATTAAGCACCTTCTACTGGATCAGACCCAAAAATCAACACTAAAAATATTTTGTTGACATACCTACTTTGAAAAGAAGGACAAGTATTCAGCCACAATTAAAGACCTTGCAGAAAGCCTTGGCCCTCTGAAAACACCCAGAAACAAATTCAATAGACTATGCTAAAATTATTCCACAGCTAAATAAACTACAGCCCACACAGATGAGAAAGAACCAGTGCCAGAATGCTAGCAACTTTAAATGCTACAGTATCTGTTTTCCTTCAAATGACTGCACATACTCCGCAGTAGTATTACTTAACCAGAGGGAAATGGCTAAAATGACAAACATAAAATTCAGACTCTGGATGAAAATGAAGATTATTGAGATTTAGGAGAAAATTTAAACCCATTTCAAAGAAACTTAGGGGAACTAATGGAAATAGAGAGTAGAAAAATGGTTAATGGAGGCTGGGAAGGTTAGCTGTAGGTATCGGGGAGAGGGTGGATGGTTACTGGGTACAAAAAGTAGGATAAATAAAATATCTGATAGGTCATCAGGGTAATGATAGTCAATAATAATTGAATTGAATACTTACAAATAACTAAAACAATGTATCATACTTGGATTATTTGCAACACAGAGGACAAATACTTGAGTTGATGAACACCTCATTTACTTTCATGTAATTATTAAGCACTATATACCTGTACAAAATATTCCATATACCCTATAAACCTATACATCTACCATGTATCCATAAAGATTAACAACTACATGTTTAAAAAGTTATGATTAAGGTTATCTGGTCAAAGGAATGTTTAAGCACAAAAGCATGTAAGATGTTGCTTCTATGTGATATTAAGTCTGCAGGCATTCATAATGCAAGAATAAAGGAGGCTTGGCAACCTCCACCTAGATTTCAGATAATATATGAGAAAGCCTATGTACCCATGTAGAAGTCTGCCACAAGTGGACAGCCCTCACAGAAAACCTGTACTAGGGTGGTGGAGAGAAGAAATGTAGATTTGGAGGGCTCACACAGAGTTCCTTCCCACTGGGACATTGCCTAATGGAGCTGTGGGAAGGGGACCATTATCTACCAGATTTGAGTGGTAGATCTACTGGCAGCTTGTGCTCTCATTTAGAAAAGCCTCAGGTACTCAACTCTGTCAGACCCAGTCAGTGAGACTGTAGCTTGCAGAGACAGAGTAGAATGTTTAAGCTTCTTGCCTAGCCAGGCCAAAGAACTGGTGTGGCAGCTGACTGCAGTGAGTGACACGGACCAATAGAGACACGGACCAATAGAGAGAAAGAGCTATAGGCTTTATTGAGCGAGTGAAACTACAAAGCTTCCACAGCATGGAAGGGGTCCTGAATGGGTAGCCACTGTTGGTTTTGGGTGATTTCCTTTTGAACTCTTTAAGACGGGAAATAAATGCGGCAGGAAGATGTTACCAGAGAGAGAAACAAAGGCAGTAAATTATTTTATGACCTGTCTTAGATTTTGAAGAAAACTGGAATGGCAACTTAGGTTTTATCTACTTTATGACATTGCACGGCATGTCAAAGGAGACAGGATTTTACAGTACTTTACGAAGTATGTTTACAAGGAATTGGAATTGGGAGTAGAGATAATGTCCGCTGGTCAAAGGAAAAACAGGCAATTAACATTTCTTTTACTTTAGTTTTCGGGGAGGGGGAAGGAAGAGAGGGAGAAAGGACACAGGGAAACTTACAGCAAAATTTTCGCTGTTTATACCTTTCTTGGGGAAAAAAACACATGCTGAAATCCTGGTGTTAGGAATAGTTTAAGCATATATCCTCAATATTATCCATGCAGGATGGAATTAATTCCTAATGCAGGAAATCAGTGAGTTTCACAGCTTTCCGTGCCTCTACTCGACCCAGGAAGTCCAGCTGGCACTTCCTCCCAGTCGCCCCTCCAAACAGAACACCCCAACTGCTGTTGGGAACTGTGCAGTGGTCGTTCTGGTTACTTCCTGCTGGTTAGGGGTAAAGAAGTAGTTGTGGTGTCCTCCAGAGGGGAACTTTCTAGGCTAGTTGAGGGACCAGTGGGTGGATCCAGGGGTCCTCGGTAGAATCTGTGAGTTGAGCTCAATTGAGGTTCCATTTGTAAGACAATTTGTAGCTTGATAGCCTCAATCCTGGAGGAAATAAATTTGACAAGGAGGTTCAAAATGCCAGGCCTAAAGGCAAGTGTTGGATGGCTGTTACATGTCCTAGAAAGGGGAGGAGCCAAGGTATCCATTGGTTAAACATATTCCAGGGTCCTGAGAGTTCAAGCTCCTTTTTTCTACTTTCCGTCCATTCTCTTATTTCTTTGACTTTTTAAATAATGAGTTCTGAATGGTTAATGAAATAACAACATGAACTGAGAGTTAGAGTGCAGGGGAATGCAGAAGAAGGCATCTTTGAGGTCTAGAACAGTGAACCATTCTGCTTTTTCTACTATCTGAGAGAGCAGTGTATAGGGGTTGGGTACGGCAGGATATAAAGGAATTACTGCTTCATTGATTATTCTGAGGTCTTGCAGTAGTCTCCACTGACCATTTGGTTTTTGTATTCCTTGGCTTGGGGTGTTGCAAGGACCTCTGCATTTTCTTACTAAGTCTTGAGCTTTTAAATATCTAACAATATCCCGTTATCTTTTGTGAGCTTCAGGCCTTAAGGGGTATTGCCTTTGAGAAGGAAAAGTGGTGGGGTCTTTTAGCCTTATTTGAACTAGGCCAGTGTGGTGGCTCATGCCTGCAATCCCACCACTTTGAGGACTGAGGTGGGCAGATCATGAGGTCAGGAGATCAAGACCATCTTGGTTAACATGGTGAAACCCCATCTCTATTAAAAATACAAAAAATTAGCCAGGCATGGTGGCAGGCACCTGCAGTCCCAGCTACTCGGGAGGCTGAGGCAGGAGAATGGTGTTAACCTGGAGCTGGAGGTTGCAGTGAGAGCTGAGATCACACCACTGCACTCCAGCTTGGGTGACAGAGTCTTAAAAAAAAAAAAAATAACAATATCCTGTAATCCTTTGTGAGCCTCAGGCCTTAAGGGATATTGCCTTTGATAAGGAAAAGTGGTGGGGTCTTTTAGCCTGATTTGAACTGGATGAGCATTTTTTGCCCTTCCAAATTGTCCTTCTAAGTCTCAGACTTCAGAGCTGATTCCTTTTTCAAATAGCGGACAACAAACGGATAATTTGTTCCTCATATTCAGTAGACAATAGCCCCAGCTTTGGTAATATGTCCCTTCTTAATAAGGGTGTGGGACTTTCGGGCATAACAAGAAAGGCATGTGAAAAGAGCAAAGTCTCCTAATTGCAGCTGAGGAGGCAAGAGAAATACCTGGTTACAGGCTATCCTAAGATTTCTCGGATAGTAGTGGACTTTGAGGACAGTCATTCAGGGCAGGAGATTAAAACTGAGAAGGCCATGTCAGTGTCCAGGAGGAAGTCTACTTCCTGGCCCTCAATGGTCAAACTTACCCGGGGCTCTGTGAGGGTGATGGCATGAGCTGGCATTTGCCCCAGACACCCTCACTCCTGTTGCTGAATCATCTGGTTGGGTGTTTCTGGCCCAGAGGGGCTTTGTCCTCTAGGGCAGTGCATCTTCCAGTGATTGCCTTGGCATATTGGTCATGGGTGAGGGGGTTATTTGTTTCTGGTTGGACAATCTTTCTTAAAATGTCCTTGCAAACTGCATTGAAAACAAGCACTACTATGCAATTGGCCTGCTCCTCTTTTGGTTTCCTCTGTGCCACTAAGGTCTGCTTGTCTGAGGGCCATGACTAAGGCTGCAGCCTTTCTCTTATCTCACTTTTCCCTTTTGGCCTGTTCCTCCTGGTCCCTGTTATAGAACACCAAGGTTGCCAGGTTCAATAATGTCTCCAAATTTTGTAACAGTCTCAAAGCAGACTTTTGGAGTTTTCTCCTAATGTTGACTGCTGATTGGCTGATAAAAGTTATTCTTTAAAATAAGTTGGTCTTCTAAGGAATCTGGAGTTAGGGAGGTGTGCTTTCTTAGGGCTTCCTTTAGCCTTTCTAGAAAAGTAGAGGGGTTTTCCTCTTTTCCCTGTGTAGTTGTGGACAGCATTGAGTACTTCATGGGCTTTTTCCTACTTTTCCTCAACCATTCTAAAATGCAAGTTAGCAAATGCCTGTGGCTCCAATCTCCATGATCTGAGTCAGTATCCCAGTGAGGGTCTGCAGTGGGGACTGCCTGTTGCCTCGTGGGGAATTTTTCCCTCTCCTCCAGGCCAGTTGCCCATTTACGTGGCTAAGGTACCACAGATCCCCAAATTGCTGGGCTGCTGTTATAGCTGCTTCTTTTTCAGTAGGACTCAAGATCTGATCAAGAAGCAACGTATCTCTCCATGTTAGATCAAAGGACTGTTTTAATCCTTTCAGGACATCTGTATAGTTATCAGGATGACCTGAGAATTTCCTTAAATCTGCCTTTATTTGTTTTAAATCTGAGAATGACAAGGAGACATGTACACAGGTGGGCCCAAATTCCCCTCCTACTGCTTGTAAGGCACATAGTTTGGGTGCCTGACTCACGGCATTTATGTTCTCTCTCCAGTGTGCCTTTAAAACTTTGGTGGGGCCAGATGGAGGAGAGTCAGTAGGGGTGGAGAGTGGGGCTGAGGGAAGAGGCCCTGAGTATGGAGGTGATTGTGGGCCTCTGTCATTTGGGCAAAACTTGCAGGCTTGGCACAGGGCAGTATTGCCACAAAAGACAAAGAAAGCCTGTACATAAGGGACTTAACCCCATTTACCTTCCTGTTTACAGAAAAGATTTAGTTGTAGAAGGGTGTTATAGTTAATACTTCCCTCAGGGGGCCATTTTGTAAGAAATATTGTGTTTTTCATTCTGTAAGAATATTGTGGCCAGGCACTGATACAAAAGAAAATCAGCCTCTTCTTTTTTAAGGTTTCAGGTCGAATTTGTCCTAGTTATTTAGGATACATCTTAAGGGAGTGTCTGTTTTGAAGGTGTGGTGCCCATCTGGAATTGTAAACACAGGCATGCCCACACCTCTGGTTAGTCCTGGGACTCATCTTCCCCTAGGGCATCCCCTAAGGGTCAGGTCCAATTCTGCTCAAAGCTTATGGCCACTTTTCCTGTGCTCTCCATCTACCAGATTTAACCATGCTTACCGAGCAAGATAGAAAATTCCCTTGCCCATGCCGTGCACCCATTGACCACTAAATGGGGCACAAGGACTGTTGGATTTATTGTGGTCCTTCTTCCAACACATCCTACCTGTTCCAGGGTGGCAAGGCCTGGGTCAGGGGCACCACTGCATGCTGAGGCCCAATTTACATGGGCCTGGCCATCAAAACTGTCCTTCAAGGAGAAATCTCTGAATTAGTGACAGGAGGCTTAGTAAGCTTAAAGGGGGTGGTGGATGTCCTCTAGGCAAGGGCTGAGAGAACAGCTGCTGTACTCTAACCTTCTGTCCCCACTTGCCATCAAAGGAGTAAGCCCCTCTCTCAAGGCAGTACCAGTATCCTGTGCCCCAACTGACTATATTTTCTTCCTTCCAATAACAAATATTGAATGGTTGAAACAATTCATTGGCCCTAAGAGCTGTACCCATGCACCACAGATTGCACTTGAGACACCCCAAGGAAGGGAAAAGTCTACCTGGGGAGCAATGGAGGAAATGCCCTAAGGCTTCTACTATCCACATGAAAATTACAGACATGTCTTTAAATTGTTCTGATGTACACTATGGTGGGGAACTGGCCCTTCAAAATAACCACCAAATGGCAACACTTGCCTAAACCCTGGAGTGCACCATGAACTTGGATCTTCTGGGCTCCACCCTAAGAATTTAAGTCTTCTAAGTAGGGAAGCTTGCTCCTGACTAGGGGGAATAACCTTGCTTGTGAGATGAGGAAAGAAGTCTAACCAGTGGACATTAGGACCCAGGACGCTGGAGTCAGAAGATGTGGCTGTCTCATGCTCAGTAACCCATGCTGGGGGAGCCACTGGCAGGTCTCAACCAGGATCTCTGGGAGACTAGGATGTCCACTGAGCACTCCTAGGTGTACTTCGGGACCACCACGGAAAGTGAAAGACTTAGAACTGGGTCCAGGCTAACCAATGCTCCCAACCCTAAAGGGTCAGTGTTGTTAGAGAGCCCTTTTCCAGAGAGCCTGACACCCATGTCTTTAGTCCAGCAGCCATGCTAATCACTTTTAAGTGGCTGACAGGTGCCTGGTTTAGCTTTTGAATTCTAAGGAAGTACAGGACAGAATAGCAAGTGAAAGAGGTCTGATTGTACTCACCACATGATGATTTAGATGCCTTTCCTGGAACCTCCTGGCTGGCTCACCAAAATGTAACATTCAAGGTTCTTGCCTAGCCATGCCAAAGAAGTGATGTGGTGGCTGACTGCAGCGAGTGATAGAGACATGGACTGACAGAGAGAAACAGCTATGCTTTATTGAGCAGAGTGAAAGTACAAAGTTTCCATAGCATGGAAGGGGTCCTGAACAGGTAGACACTGTTGGTTTTGGGTGATTTCCTTTTAAACTCTTTAAGGTGGGAAATATGTGTGGTGGGAAGATATTACCAGAGTGAGAAACAAAGGCAGTAAATTATTTTATGACATGTCTTAGATTTTGAGGAAAACCGGAATTGCAACTTGGATTTTATCTATTTTGTGACCTTGCAGCAGCATGGCAAAGGAGACAGGATTTTACAGGAGTTTACAAAGTATGTTTATAAGGAATTGGAATTGGGAGCATAGATGAGGTCTGCTGGTCACAGAAGTACTGGCTTTTAACATTTCTTTTAGTTTTAGGGGAGGAAGAAGGGAGAGAGGGAGAAAGAACACAGGGAAACTTATGGCAAAATTTTCATGGTTTATAGCTTTCTTGGGGAAGAAAACACATTCAGAAATCCTGGTGTTAGGAATAATTTAAGAGTATATCTTCAGTGTTATACATCCAGGATGGAAGTAATTCCTAATGCAGGAAATCAGTGAGTTTCACAGCTTTCTGAGCCCCTACTCAACCCAGGAAGTCCAGCTGGCACTTCCTCTCAAGAGGAGCACAGCTTCCCAAGGCATTCAGAGCCCATTCACTGCAGTGGTGTTCCCATTATGTGGGAAATAAATTCAAAGGACATTATTTTGGAGTTTCAAGATTTAAATACTGTACTTCTGGGTTTCAGACTTACGTGGGGTCTGTAGCTCCTTTCATTTGGCCAGCTTTTCCCTTTTAGAATTGGAAATTTACCCAATGTCTGTACCTCTATTTTATCTTGGCTGTACATAATTTGCTGTGATTTTACAGGCCCACAGGTGAAAGTAACTCATCTCCATATAAGATTCTGGACTTGAGACATTTGAGTTAATGCTAGAAAAAATTAAGGTTTTAGGGGATTATTAAGAAGGGATAATTATATTTTACAATGTCACCAGGATATGAGATTTGGGGGTCCAGAAGTTAAATAATATGATTTAGATACTTGTCCCTTCCCAAATCTCATGCTGAAATGTAATCCCTAATGTTGGAGTTGGGAGGTGTTTTGGCAAGGAGGGTGGGTTTCCTATGGCTTGATGTTGTTCTCATAATAGTGAGCAAGTTCACATAAGAACTGATTGTTTAAAAGTATGTGGCACCTCTCACTATTCTCTATCTTGCTCCCACTCTTACAAGATAATATGACTGCTCTGTGGCCTTCTGCCATTACCATACACTTTCTGAGGCATCAGCAGGAGATAAACAGATAACAGCACCATGGTTTCTATAAAGTCTAGAGAGATGTAGGCCAATTAAACTCTCCTTTTAAATAAATTGCCCAACATCAGGTGTTTCTTCATCACAATGCAAGAATGGCCTAACACAGCAGGCAACTAATTTGGATAGTTTAGGCTGAGTGCTCCAATCAGCCTCTTGTAAACTCTGGTTTTAGTGTCAGCTCAGTTTTCAATGTATATGCTGTGCTAGCCAAGTCTTTCTGTATGTTTTTTCCATGTGTGTGTATATACACACAAACATGCATGCATAACCTAATGGGAAGTCTGAGAACTGGGTTGTAGTTTGTTAATTTCTCAGTACTTTGATGTGTATACCTGGAGATAAAGCCAGTTTGACACATCCTTATGGTTAGTTTCCCAAGTCCCTTTCTCTCTGTAATCCCACTTGTGTTGTGCACTTGGCATACTTGCTTCTAAATTCAAGAATATTTGGCAGTGGGAAGAAACAAAAATGCTCAATATTTATCCCATCTCATGACATTACAGCTCTGGCAATTAGAAGAACATTTCCCTCATTCAGAGCTTTAACAATTAATTAACCATGGGCTCTTAGTGGAGACTCTGATATCAATGCCATCAGATTGTTTGAAGCTGGATATAAGAAAAAAAAAAGAAATTTAAAGAATGGAATTTCTATACTTCCCTAAGCATTGGGAGTTGTTGTCCCAATTTTTTTGAGGCAGGCCTAGAAAATCTTTCCTGACTCAGTGGTAGTGTATTTACTCCACAGTACTCAAGAGCAAATAACCTATTTGATATGATTTTGCTCTGTGTCCCCACCCAAATCTCAAGTTACATTATAATCTTCAGTGTTGGAGGAGGGGCCTGCTGGGAAGTGATTTGATCACGGGAAAAAATTTCCCCCTTGCTGTTCTTGTGATAGTGAATTAGTTATCATGAGATCCGATGTTTTAAAAGTGTGTGACACTTCTCTCTTTGTTTTCTCTCTCCTGCTCCTATGTGAAGACATGCTCGCTTTTTCTTTATGCTTCATCATGATTGCTGTTTTCTGAGACATCTGCAGCCCTGCCTTCTGCACAACCTGTAGAATTGTAAGTCAATTAAACCCACTTTCTTTATAAATTACCCAGTCTCAGGCAGTTCTTTATAGCAGTGTGAGAACAGAACAATATACAATATACAATGTCACCATTATTTGTATGTATGTAAAAAAATTCTAGACCCTTGCCATTTCTTTCCCAAGCCATTTTTTCATGGTTGTTTGTCAGTAAGTCACCTGGAGAAATAATATAACGTCTTCTCCAGAAAAGAGTCTACTTTCCTCTGTTTACTATTATATCAGTGGTTTCTTTAGCCCAGTGTTTCCTAAAATACAGCTCTGCAATAATTAATGGTTGGTTAAGTGTAAATTGTCTGAGCTTAGGGAAGCAATAAAAACAATCTTGTTTACTGCTTTTGTTGTGAGTTATACAGTTTCTAGTTTCTGACCTGAAGTATTTTGTCCTCTGCTATTATCCATGAAAATAATGTATTAGATTATTAGTCTGAAGTTGAGGTAAAATTTCAGACAATTGAAACAGTTTTTTGACAGTTTTGTGATTAGATGGAATGCTGGCAGACATGTAGTCTTGTGTAAGAAAGAGTGCTAGTCCACACAGGTCAGGTTAGGTGATATGAGAACACTTCTTGGAATCTGGGAGCAAGGGTTCTTGCCCAATTTGTGAATAAGAGGATAAGATACCCCACTATTAGAATTGAAGCCTGCTTCCTAAATGCCTTGGTTTGGTCATTCTCTTTCATGTAGTAGGAAAAAGGATGCTCTTAAGTGACTCCACCTGAAAAAAAAAAATACATCTGTTGTTCTTTGGTTAAGGAATCCCTAAAGGTGAAATAAGCAGTGTCAATGTGAGAAGCGAAAAGAAAATCGGAAATTTACTTTAATTGAAAAGGGCATCCAATACATTATTGGACTCTAGATATACAAGATTACATATGTCTGCTTAATCAAATTCAAGGGTGCAGTGGCCTGGGCTGAGCATCATCTCAGTTTTGCATGAAGAGGTAGCAGTTACTCTACTTGGAGAAAATTTATCTTTCACTCCTGACCTACAGCAAAGCCTCTGTCTCAGTGAGACCCCCCATTTTAGATTTCCGTAGCTGCACAGGTGAAATTGACTTATTGCTTGGCTAAGTCTCAGGTGGAATTGACTGATGGATTATTGAGATTTGAACTTGATAGTTTTACCATGAAATTTAACACTAAACTGTTAAACATTTAGACATTAAACTGCTAATTTTAATACTTTATAATCTGTCATGCAGATGCCAAAGAAATAGGTTTACTGAAAGAAGTGGAAAGAATGTATTGGGAAAACTCTATTCACTAAGCATTTATTTAGCTCTACCTACTCTAGGGCCCTAGTGTGTCTGGAATTGGTGGGTTCTTGGTCTCACTGACTTCAAGAATGAAGCCGCGGACCCTCGCGGTGTCACAACTCTTAAGGTAGCGCATCTGGAGTTGTTCCTTCCTCCCGGTGGGCTCGTGGTCTTGCTTGGCTCAGGAGTGAAGCTGCAGATCTTCGCGGTGAGTGTTACAGCTCATAAAAGCAGCGTGGACCCAAAGAGTGAGCAGTAGCAAGATTTACTGCAAAGAGCGAAAGAAGAAACCTTCCACAGTGTGGAAGGGGACCCCAGCGGGTTGCCAATGCTGGCTCTGCAGCCTGCTTTTATTCTCTTATCTGGCCCCACCCACATCCTGATTGGTAGAGCCCAGTGGCCTGTTTTGTCAGGGCACTGATTGGTGCGTTTACAATCCCTGAGCTAGATACAAAGGTTCTCCAAGTCCCCATCAGATTAGTTAGATACAGTTTCCACACACAGGTTCTCCAAGGCCCCACCAGAGCATCTAGATACAGAGTGTCGATTGGTGCACTCACAAACCTTGAGCTAAACACAGGGTGCGGATTGGTGTATTTACAATCCCTGAGCTAGACATAAAGTTTCTCCAAGGCCCCACCAGAGCAGCTAGATACAGAGTGTCCATTGGTGCACTCAGAAACCTTGAGCTAGACACAGGGTGCTGATTGGTGTGTTTACAATTCCTGAGCTAGATATAAAGGTTCTTCACGTCCCCACCAGATTAGTTAGATACAGAGTTTTGACACACAGGTTCTCCAAGGCCCCACCAGAGTAGCTAGATACAGAGTGTCGATTGGTGCATTCACAAACCTTGAGCTAAACACAGGGTGCTGATTGGTGTATTTACAATCCCTGAGCTAGACATAAAGGTTCTCCAAGGCCCCACCAGAGGAGCTAGATACAGTGTTGATTTGTGCACTCACAAACCTTGAACTAGACACAGAGTGCTGATTGGTGTGTTTGCAATCCCTGAGCTAGATATAAAGACTCTCCAGTCCCCACCAGACTCAGGAGCCCAGCTGGCTTCACCTAGTGGATCCCGCACCAGGGCTGCAGGTGGAGCTGCCTGCCAGTCCCGCGCCATGCGCTCGCATTCTCAGCCCTTGGGTGGTCGATGGGACTGGGCGCCGTGGAGCAGGGGGTGGTGCTCGTTGGGGAGGCTGGGGCCGCACAGGAGCCCATGGAGTGGGTGGGAGGCTCAGGCATGGCGGGCTGCAGGTCCCGAGCCCTGCCCCTCGGGAAGGCAGCTAAGGCTCGGTGAGAAATCGAGCGCAGCGCCGGTGGGCTGGCACTGCTGGAGGACCCAGTACAACCTCCACAGCCACTGGCCCGGGTGCTAAGTCCCTCATTGCCCTGGGCCAGCAGGGCTGGCCGGCTGCTCCGAGTGTGGGGCCGCTAAGCCCACGCCCACCCGGAACTCCAGCTGGCCCGCAAGCGCCGCACGCAGCCCCGGTTCCTGCTCGCGCCTCTCCCTCCACACCTTCCTGCAAGCTGAGGGAGTGGGCTCTAGCCTTGGCCAGCGCAGAAAGGGGCTCCCACAGTGCAGCGGCGGGCCGAAGGGCTCCTCAACTGCTGCCAAAGTGGGAGCCCAGGCAGAGGAGTCACCGAGAGCGAGCGAGGGCTGTGAGGACTGCCAGCACGCTGTCACCTCTCACTAGTCAATGGTCTGGCTCTGTGGTCTACTGTGTAAAAAACTACACATTGATCAATCAAAGACATTCCTCTTCAGATCCTCTAATTGTGAACACAAACTGCAACTGTGATTGACCTATATGAATCATGCTGAAGATGCCCATGGTAAGCTTACTCTTAGATATGCTCAGTCACCTTTAGGCTACCTATTTATTATGCCTACCTGACGCAAAGTTTCTCATTGTAAATAGAAACACAACAACCACTACATATTAGAGCTCACAGATTAAAAGGATTTGTTTCTGATGTAGCAGCAACCATATATGTCAGATTATTGTTGACTTCTGCCAAAATATGATTTATTTGTACCTTGGTAAAGGACACATTATATGATAAAGGTCACATTATATGGGTCACATTATATAGTTCTGATCTTTGTTTCCTTCTCTGGATGATCACAGGTGCCTTACGAATGGTGACATTCTATTAGGATACAATATTTCTATTTCAGTCTGACTGGCTGACTGCTACCAATGACTTCTGTGGTCAGAAGACTCAGTCCCCCGGGACTTTCTCTGTAGTGTCTTTAGCTTTCCAGATAAATTTACATTTTAGTAACACTGCACCATACATAGCAATGCAATAAGAGATTGTTATAGTATTTAATGAATGTTCTTTATTCCCTAACATATTCAGACATCTGTAATTATTTCATGTTGGACAGATTTTTAACTCTATCACCTCACCTACTCCTGTCCCATAAAATTGTAAAAGGTGTTGGATTACTGAATAAAACAAGTCCTATAAAGGGATTATCCCCTCTTGGCTCCTTCCTGGGTACAAGTTGAAAGTAGTAGAGGTTACATAGAATATATAGATGTACTTTTAAAATTTAGGACTCGACAGTGATCTTTCTGGACAGAAGTTTGAGTATATATGGTGGAAATAATTGGAAATAATACTCTTGTAGGTGCTGAGATGCAATACGTTGATTCAATGGGGGTAAAGAGACAGCAACAATCCTAGTATATAAATATAAAAGACTTTAGATTTCTGAAAATTTCTTATTGACTTATGCATATAGCACCACTGCTTCACAGCTTGACTCAATTGCAGCTGGCAGTCAGGCCTACACGCTATAGAAACAAAGCCTTTTTTTCTGTGAAAGATAAAAAGTAATAGCTTGAATACAATAGCAGGCTTATTGTTTTTGGCAATAAATATATATTTTAATGAGTTTAAGTCACATTCCATAAATAACAAAGTAAGTGAGAAATACCTCCTGGAAGGGGTTATATCTGTACTGTAACGTTGTAAGTGGGCAAGAAGGGAGAGGGCCTTTTATCTCCAGGAAAGAAATTAGGTAAAAGTTACAAGATGGGAAAGTGCATTGGTGAAAGTGGTTTGTCTGAAAGTAGCTCCAGATGGAGAGTGGTGAAACAGAAAGGCATGAAACTGAAAGGCAGACAAATGCCAGATCTTGAAGTGATTTCTTCAGCCGTGCTTAGAATCTGGGCTCAGAATCTAGAAAGTATTAAATACCAGCATAAGAATTTAAATCTGAGTTTAGATGAAGAATAAAATTAATGTGATAAAAATGTGCATTAGAAAACATGAAAGGTGGACTCTTGTGGGAAGTAATTAAAGGCAAAAAACAGCTGGAACTTTTTGAGGGAAGATAAAAAAGGACACTTGCTAATGACAGTTGTAAAATTCCACCATGTGCTGACAGTGATGCAACCTATGAGTATAATATTATGTAAATTTTATTACAAAAGTGATGACACAAATAATGGTGTTCATGCTAACTGAGCTGGCTGGATATGAGCTGTAATAAGGAAAACCTGTGCCAATGAAATCCCATGTATAACTTTAAAATATCTGGCACATGCATGCATGTATTTATTGCAGCACCATTCACAATACCAAAGTCATGAAATCAACCTAAATATTTATCAGTGATAGACTAGACTAAAAATAAGTGACACATATATACCATGTGATACTGCGCAGTCACAGAAACAAATGAGATCACGTCCTTTGCAGGGATATGAATGGAGTTGGGGGCCATTATCTTTAGCAGCTTACACAGGAGCAGAAAACCACATACCACTTGATCTTTCTTTTAAGTGGGAGCTTATAGGAATTTTTTTAAGGGGCTTTTTGCCTTTTCTATTTGTGGGTATTTCTTTTCTGAAGGAAGTTTTTTTCCTTCTCAATTAACAAATTATTTGTCTCCATTTTTCTCTTGTCACTCTTAACGTAAACACGAGGTACTCCAGGATGACTTCTGATGGCCTGGGGCTCCTTGGGAAAGAGAGAAGAGCTTCCACTTACCAGTTTTGGTAAGAAACTCGGTTTTCCTCAGGGAGTCCCACAGATTAAAGCAGACAGATGCCTCTCAAAAATCTGTTTTTGGGCCCGGTGCAGTTGCTCACACCTGTAATCCCAGCACTTTAGGAGCCCAAGGTGGGTGGATAACCCAAGGTCACGAGTTCAAGACCAGCCTGACCAACATGGTGAAACCCTGTCTCTACAAAAAATACAAAAATTAGCTGGGTATGGTGGCGGGTGCCTATAATCTCAGCTACTTGGGAGGCTGAGGCAGGAGAATCACTTGAACCTGGGAGGTGAAGTTTGCTGTGAGCCAAGATCATGCCATTGCACTCCAGCCTGGGCAACAGCATGAGACTCCATCCCTCCAAAGAATGTTTTTGGGCTGGGAGTGGTGGCTTATGCCTGAATCTCAGCATTTTGGGAGGGCAAGGCAGGCAGATTACCTGAGGTCAGGAATTCAAGACCAGTGTGGTCAACATGGTGAAACTCCATCTCTACTAAAAATATGAAATTAACTGGCATGGCGGTGGGTGACTATAATCCCAGCTACTTGGGAGGCTGAGGCAGGAGAATTGCTTGAACCTGAGAGGTGGAGGTTGCAGTGAGCCAAGACTGCACCATTGTGCTCCAGCTGGAGCAACAGTGAGACTTTATAAAAAAGAAAAAAATTCTGTGTTTGTCTTCCAGCAATACCTGTTTATTACACCTAAGAAACTGCATATTTTCCTAGTCTTATTTTTTGAGGAGCTCCACCCTGAGGCCAGTAATCTAATTAAGAAATTGGCACATGGAAAAATCATACAACTACTGAATCTCCTTCTGTCTGGCTGTGTAGTTATATATGTGTGTGTCATGTATTATGTGTTATATAATGTGTTATATATATATATGCCATATTTTTTATATAAATGAGCTATGTATACATGCAAAGAGCTCTAATTGACTTTAAAAAAGTAGGCACTTAGATTAAATATTAGGAAAAAATAAAGCTGTAATGTCTTTTAGTTCATGTGACCAAGCTTTGAGAAGTAAAGGTATCTTTGAAATGTAGACATAGGGTTTAAATTATGCAGTTCAGAAACTAGGTCTGTTAAATGCTTTAAGGTTATAAATTGCTTCTTTTGCTTTTGAAAATAGCTTGACTTATCTGCTTTACAGGTTAGTAAGATCTGAGGACATATTAAGTTAACTACACCTGTAGCTATGCTTGACCTTAGTCAGACCTTATCTGTACCTAGCATGTAATTAAAACAACTTACCAGGTTTCTAACCAAAGCTAAAATTACTGAGCGTTATCACTATAAAATGTAATTGAGATTACTGAAAATATATTCACATGCAAAGTTCATAGAAGGGAGAGTTAAATGTGGTTTTGGTAAAAGATTATAACGTTTCCTGGGAATATAAATTTCTAATCTTAAAGGGCTAAAGAATTGTTTAAAAATAAAAGTTTGAAGAAATTGTTAATGGTTTATATACATTAATCTAGTAAAATAAATTTATATCGATCAAATTCAAAAGGGTATAATTTGGTTTGTCTGTAAATTGAACATTACAATAAAAGCACAGCAAATGTTTCTTCAGGCAGTAATCTGCTCTTTACCAAAAATTTGTAAATGGTTATAAAAAGATTATAAGAATCTCAATTCATATACTTTGCCCACTTTTTGATGGGGTTGTTTGTTTTTTTCTTGTAAATTTGTTTGAGTTCATTGTAGATTCTGGATATTAGCCCTTTGTCAGATGAGTAGGTTGCAAAAATTTTCTCCCATTCTGTAGGTTGCCTGTTCACTCGGATGGTGGTTTCTTTTGCTGTGCAGAAGCTGTTTAGTTTAATTAGATCCCATTTCTCAAAAGAAGACATTTATGCAGCCAAAAAACACATGAAAAAAATGCTCATCATCACTGGCCATCAGAGAAATGCAAATCAAAACCACAATGAGATACCATCTCACACCAGTTAGAATGGCAATCATTAAAAAGTCAGGAAACAACAGGTGCTGGAGAGGATGTGGAGAAATAGGAACACTTTTACACTGTTGGTGGGACTGTAAACTAGTTCAACCATTGTGGAAGTCGGTGTGGCGATTCCTCAGGGATCTAGAACTAGAAATACCATTTGACCCAGCCATCTCATTACTGGGTATATACCCAAAGGATTGTAAATCATGCTGCTATAAAGACACATGCACACGTATGTTTATTGCGGCACTATTCACAATAGCAAAGACTTGGAACCAACCCAAATGTCCAATAATGATAGACTGGATTAAGAAAATGTGGCACATATACACCATGGAATACTATGAAGCCATAAAAAGTGATGAGTTCATGTCCTTTGTAGGGACATGGATGAAGCTGGAAACCATCATTCTCAGCAAACTATCGCAAGGACAAAAAACCAAACACCGCGTGTTCTCACTCATAGGTGGGAATTGAACAATGAGAACACATGGACACAGGAAGGGGAACATCACACACTGGGGACTGTTGTGGGATGGGGGTATGGGGGAGAGATAGCACTGGGAGATATACCTAATGCTAAATGACGAGCTGATGGGTGCAGCGCACCAACATGGCACATGTATAGATATGTAACAAACCTGCAAGTTGTGCACACGTACCCTAAAACTTAAAGTACAATAATAATTAAAAAAAAGAATCTCAATTCATGGTCAAACTGATTAAGATTGAATAGGTTTTTCTGTAAGGTTTCATTAAAGAAAAATTGGAATTTACATTAATAGTAGACTGATTCAGGTGAAATTTTGGCTTTCTCTCTCTTTGACAATACTTTTATGTAATGAAAGATTTTT
Organism: Homo sapiens; assembly: GCF_000001405.40. Taxonomy (NCBI): domain Eukaryota; kingdom Metazoa; phylum Chordata; class Mammalia; order Primates; family Hominidae; genus Homo; species Homo sapiens. The sequence goes on from NC_000024.10 coordinate 19,929,412, forward strand.
GTTAGTTTTATGAATAAACATTGAAAAAAAGAAGGAAAGGACAAGCAGCTGACTGTTTGGAAAACTAGAATTTTCCTCTTAATAATAAATATTTTTGCTTTTTTAAAATTTGAGTAATCATTTTGGCTAAATGGATGTATTTTGTGTAACCTGAAATTGTTTTAAGTGTTTTAAGCCTTTAACTTATTTGACAGACTTTCCAAAATTAAATTTCAGCTTCAAAATTATCTATTATTTAACATGTTTAGTTACATAGGATTGATGAAATATCATGGTGTTTGATCTTCACATTATATTTTAGTGAGTAATGTTAAGCTGTGTTTCAAAATGGTATGGGCTTTCTAAAATTCTGATGTTTAAGTTTGTGTTATCAGTCATAATTAGGGTTATTTCTAGGTTATTGCAGACCACAGGTAACCAAATTTTTTTATCAGTCATGTTTTTGACTGAGTGTCATAGGACATTTTGACATTTACAGAGAGTTGTTGTCTTGTTTGATCCTCTTCAAGGGATGGATTATAGCCCACAAGTATAGATTTCTGGGAACTTGGGAGATTTTGACTAGGAGTTGACTGGGTAAACTGAACTGCTGGAAGTCATCTTTTTTTTTTGACTTTTTGCTTGCAACATTTTTGATTTTTCATTTTGTTTTTCAGCATCAAGGTAGCCTTTTCTTTTGACGTATCTGTATATTTTGACAATTTTGGGGGTGAACCAACCAGTGATCCTTGACTGTAGCTCAGAAGAAATGAAAGGTTTGGGTCATTAAACTCCAAACTTTTGTGCAAATGGAACCTTGGATAATAACTCCCATTTACTGGGGACCTCTAGATAGGTCTCCGAGAAAAATGACTGTTGTTTTCCCAAATCAGTGCCTTTGTCATTATCAAGCAGTTAAGGTTGATGATCATCAACCCTTTCCTAATGGCAGTTAGATGTACTTCTTTAGAGGTGGAACTGATGGCAGTGGCCACTCCACCGCCTGCTGCTGTCATTCTGCTAGCTGCAGCAGGGAGGTGCATCTTGGGCTGCATGCTCTGTGGAGCTGGCAGAAGCCTTGCCACTTTTGAGTTGAGGTGGGGGCTCCCTTGGTGCCACTGCAGCCACCAGAATTGTGACTGCAGATTCATGCCTTCTGCTCCAAAAGGCAAGTTAAGAGCCCCACCTTCCTGGGAGGAGCTGCCGTTGCCCAAATTTTATCTGTGGATGAAAGTATCCCTGTGCACTTGGGTAGTTGGGGGCAAGCGAAAGCCCCATTCCCTAGGGTGCAGCAGCAGCTGCCTACCCGTGGCATCCCTGCACTCTTTATTTATTTATTTATTTATTTATTTATTTATTTATTTATTTATTTATTTTTAAGACGGAATCTTTCTCTGTTACCCACGTTGGATTTTGGTGGCATAATCTCAGCTCCCTGCAGTCTCTTCCTCCTGGGTTCAAGCAATTCTCCTGCTGTAGCCTCCTGAGTAGCTGGGATTACAGGTGCATTCTACCACACCCGGATGATTTTTGTGGTTTTAGTAGAGATGGGGCTTTGCCATGTAGGCCAGGCTGGTCTCGAACTCCTGACCTCAAGCAATCCACCTGTCTTGGCCTCCCAAAGTATTGGGATTACAGGTATGATCTACCATGCCGAACATGGCAAAACCATGTGACACAAGTTTACCTATGTAAAACAGTACACTTGTACCTTTAAATCTAAAATAAATGTTAAAAACATAAAATTAACCAATTAAAATATAAAAAATGAAAAAAGATAGTACCAATTATAATAGAATCAAAGTATTTAAAATACTAATCATACCTGGGAATATGTAATTGATAAAATACTGAAATAAACTGTATTAACCTTTCTCTAGATTTTCTGTTTGTGTGTGTGTGTGTGTGTGTGTGTGTGTGTGTGTGTGTGTGTGCATATGTCTGCATCTGTTTCCTTTGGGTCATTCTAATTTAGGCTCTTATTTGATTTATGACAGACTATTTAAGAACTTGCTTTTTATGTTTTCCTAGCTCTGGTTCCTTCTTTCTACCTTGCTAACTCTCGTGCCTTTGAATGTCCCCTCCAAATCCCAGATGGAAATTCTGTGGCCATTGCAATAGTGTTAGGAGATAAGGCTTTAAAGCAGTGATGAGCTGTGAGGGCACACCCTCATGACTGGATTGATGTGATTTTCTGGAAAATTAGTTATTTATTGTGTGAGTGGGCTTTCGATCAAAAGATGAGTTTGTCCCAATTTTCTGTTATTCATGTGTTCTTCACTATATGATGCCCTGCTGCCATGTTGTAACTTAGAAGACCTCACCAGATGTAATGCCTTGGACTTTCTAGCCTCCAGAACCATAAGCAAAGTAAGTCTCTTTACAAATTACCCAGTCAGTGGTATTCTGTTGTTTCAGCAGCAAGTGGACTAAAACACTATTATTTATTCTTTTTCAAATAACTAAATAAAGTAACTTAAAAGGGGGCATTTAAAATGTCCTGTCCAATAGTCATAAAGCCCATATATTTTTTTTAAAAGTAGTACAATAGCCTGCCATTGAAATAAAACCCCATTTTACTCTAAACCATATTTTTAGAAGTAAGGGAAAAAAATCATAAAAGTGAACATGTAATTTTATTGTTCAGTAAGAGAATTGCAAGAATTTTTTTTTGTCAGCATCAGTGATTTTCAATCACTACTGTCCTGCATAATCTGTTATTCCTCTGGTGGAAGATCAGTTGTAATTAGGGTGATGTTTCCCTAGTGAAGATTGTTGATGAGCTGACCTGGAATAAGAGGCAGCTGATGTATCAGCTATCACAGGCTCTTGGCACCACAGGTTGCTTTCTTGTAGCAGGTTAGAATAAGGAGACTTATTGACTAACACCTCAAAATATTTTGTTGTGAAAGTAGATGGTTCCACCATTAGGCCCAAAGAACTATTCTGCAAGGGTGATATGATGTGATATTGAGAAGTTGCGGTGGGAACAAAATTCATAAGGTAGCCATTTGGTTGCATGTAGGTGCTATGAGAGTGAATATGAATAGTCACCAACTGATTAAAATAGCATGTTGATCTGTTGCCATTTGGACTGATGGTCCAAACTGAATAAATGTCAGCCCACACAGATGGGAAAGAAACAGTGTGCTAACTCTCACAACTCGAAAAGTTGTCTTCTTGCCTTCAGATGACTGCATTAGCTCCTCAGCAATGGTTCTTAAACAGGCTGAAATGGATGAAATGTCAGAAATATAATTCAGGTAACAATGAAATAATAAAAATTATCAACATACAGGCAATAGTCAAAACCCAGTTAACCACAAAATCAGGCATACAACAATCCTCAGGAAATTCAGAAAAAACTGAAATTATAACAAACACACTGTTCAGACACAGTGCAATAGAAAATAGAAATTAATGCTCAGAAAATCACTTAAAACTATACAGTTACATGGAAATTAACCTACTCCTGAATGATTTCTGAATAAATAATGAAATTAACGCAGAAATCAATAAATTCCTTGAAACTAATGAGAACAAATTTATGATGTACCAGAATCTGTGACAAAGCCATAATAGTGTAAACGAGAACTTTACAGCAATGAATGCCAACATCAAAAAGTTAGAAAAATCTCAAATTAATACCTCTCATCACAATTTTTAATAGAACTGGAGAAACTAAGAAATAGAGAAACACTAGTAAACCAATCCCAAGGCTAGCAGATGACAAGTAAGCAAAATTAGAGTTGAACTGAAAGAAATTGAGACATGGAAAACCATACAAAAGATCAATGAAATCAGGAGCTAGATTTTGAAGAATTAATAAGATAGATTTACTGCTAGCTTGATTAATACATAGAAAAGACATAAATTATATAAACAATCAGATATGATGAGGGACATATTGCAGCTGACCCCACAGAAATATGAAAAACTGTCACAGATAGTTATGAACACCCCTATGCACATAAGCTAGAAAACCTTGAAAAAATAGACTCTATAAAACACATAACCTCCCAAGTCTGAACTAAGAAGTAATTGAATCTCTGAACAGACTGATAATGAGTTCAAAAATTGCATAAGTAATAAAAAACTTACCAAGCAGAAAAAGATGGAGTAGGTGGATTCAAAGCAGAATTCTACCAGATGTGTAAGGACAATGTGCTATTTCTACTGAAAATATCATTTTAAAATGAGCAGAATGAACTTCTCCCTAATTCATTGTATGAGGGCAACATCATCCTGATACCAAAACCTGGCAGAGACAAAAATAAAAATAAAACATTAGGCCAATATTCCTGATGAATGCAGATGTAAAAATACTGAACCAAATAATAGCAACTCAAATACAGCAGCACATCAAAAAGAAAATTCACCATGAACAAGTAGGCTTTTTTCTATTGGATGTAAGTTTTGGTCAACACATGCATAAAAATCAATGTCATTTATGAGACAAAGATAACTGGAAACAAAAAACACATGATTACCTTAATAGATGTGGAAAAAGCTTCGAATAAAATTTAACATTCCTTCAGGCTAAAAACCTTCAATAAATTAGGCATTGAAGAAACATACTTCAAAATAATAACAGACATTCATGATGAAAGCATAGCCAACAACATACAGAATGGCAAATGTTGGCACCTTCCCCTTGCAACCAGAGAAAGACCAGGATTTCCTCTCTCACCACTCCTATTCTACATAGTACTGGAAGCCTTAGCCAGGGCATTCAGACAAGAAAAAGAAAGAAAAGACATCCAAATAGGAAAAGAGGAAGCCAAATTATTCCTCTTTTTATATGGTATGATTCTGTTTCTAGAAAATCTCATTTTTCTGCACAAAATTCCTTATGTGATTAAAACATGTTCATCAGATTTTCAAGATATGAAATCAATACATGAAAATCAGCGGCATTCCTATATGCCAACAAAGTCTAACCATTCCATTCACAACAACCTGTCCCCAACAAACACAAGCATACCTAAAAATAGAGCTAACTAAGAAGGTCAAATAATTACAGAACACTGTTTGAAAAACTCACAGATAACACAAATGAATGGAAAAACATTTCATGCTCATTAATAGGAAGAATTAATATTGTTAAAATGGTAACACTACTCAAAGCATTAATATTGTTAAAATGGTAATACTACTCAAAGCAGGTAAAACTACTCAAAGCAGTTTATATATTTCATGCTATATGTATCAAACTACCAGTGACAATATTCACAGATTTAGAGAAAGAAAATCCTTATTGTTAACACTTATATGGAACCAAAAAGGAGCATGATTGCCATGATACTGGTACAAAACCAGACACAGACTAATGGAACAGAATGGAGAGACCAGAAATAATCTCACAAACTGACAACAATCTTATCTTTGACAAAATCAAGAAAAATAAGCAATGAGGACAAGCTCAGTATTTAGTAAATAGTAATGGGATAACAAATGAGCCATATGCAGAAAATTGAAACTGTATTCCTTCCTTAAACCATATGAAAAATTCTACTCAAGATGAATTAAAGACTTAAAAGTAAAACCTAAAACTTCAAAAAACAATAAACCCTGGAAGATAAACTATGAGATTTTATTTTAAATGTAGGACCTTGGTAATATTTCCTGATAAAGACTCCAAAATCAATTGCAAGAAAAAAGGAAATTGACAAGTGACACCTAACTAAAAAGCTTCTGCACAGCAAAAGGAGCTATCAACAGAGTAAATAGAAAACCTACAGAACGGGAGAAAATATTTTCCAACTATACATCAAAGAAAAGGCTACTATTATCCAGACTCTATAAGAAACTTAAACAAATTTACAGGAAATAACAACCCCATTAAAAAGAGTGCAAATGATATCACAGTTTTTAAAGGAAGACATACATGAAACCAACAAGCATATGAAAAAAATGCTTAATACTACTAACAATTAGAGAAATGCAAATCAAAACCACAATGAGATACCATCTCACGCATGTAAGATCCAACTTTTTTTTTATTAAAAAGTAAAGAAAAAAATAACAGATGCTAATGAGGTTCTGGAGGAAAGAACACACTTATACACTGCTGGTGGAATGCAAATTATTTCAGCCATTGTGGAAAGCAATTAAAAGAAGTTCTCAAAGAATTTAAAACAGAACTACCATTTCACCCAACAATCCCATTATTAGGTAGATACCTAGAGGAATAGAAATCATTCCTCCATAAAGACAGACACACAAAACACTCACACACACAAACACACACACACACACACAAACACACACACACATTGTAGCACATTGTAGCACAATTTACAATAACAAAGACATGGAATTAAACTAAATGACCATCAATGGCAGAAGGGATTTTTAAAATGTGGTACACCATGGAATACTATGCAGCCATAAAAGATTAATGTCCTCTCCAGCAACATGGATGGAGCTAGAGGCCATTATTTAAAGGAAGCTAATGCAGGAACAGAAAACCAAATACTGCATGTGCTTACTTACAAATGGAAGCTAAACATTGAGTACATGTGAATATAAAGAAAGGAACAAAGAAACTTGAGGGTTGAGATTGGGAAGAGGATGAAGATAAAACACTACTTAATAGGCACTATGCATTTTACCTGGGTGACAAAATAATATGATGATCAAGCCCCTGTGACATGCAGTTTACCTATATAACTAACCTGCACATGTATTCTTGAACCTAAAATAGAAGTTAAAAAGGAAACTCATTGTAGGAAAATGTAGAGACAGAGTTCTTTGGGATTCCAGAAGATTAAAGTTAATTTTAAGCACGTTTCTGAAAAAGCAGATGCCTAAATTCCATTTAGTCATAAAACATTCAGTCTTCCTTTCACTCAGTGTTTGTAACTTGAATTTAAAGTTCATCTTCCTTTAGTAGAGCATTGTTTTCATAAATACTTTTTTGATAATAACTCAAGCAGGCAAAAAATTTTATTACTCAATGAAAGAAACAAATTAGAATTTTTTTTTAAGTTTGAACAAATAGGTAGCAATTTCTTCTCAACCTAAAATGTTATTTTTTTCCTTTTAATGAATGTATCTTCCTCAGTGAAATTTTTTTCCTACAAATATTTCACATGATTTCAGAACATCTTTTTTACTACATATTTCTGATGGCCTAACAAAGTGATAAAGTGTTTGTGATGAATATAGATTATGTGCAATATTTACAAAAGTAACTTTTCAGGTAGTTGTATGAGCTCCTAGGGAATATTTGATTTTTATTGTCCTATCATATGCATTTGTCTTCAGCAGACACTTTTGTGATTGTGACATACAAACACGTTGTTTTACTGTAGTCATATTGCTTGTAAGGAAATAGCTAAGTATGTTATAAAGACAAAGGTGGCAAACTTGCCTAATATTAACTTGAAAACAATATATTGAAGCTATTGGTTGTTTATATATGTATAAACATTTGTAGAATTGTGGTGTTTCTCAAATTGTTAGCAAAATGCTGACAACCTGATATAATATTAACTTAAAATACATTTAATAAATGTGATTTACCTATAGAAGTATAAATGCTTTTAAATATATGATGGTATATCCATCAATTGTCAGTGTTAAAATTCAGGTTCTATCATGGAAAATGCAGGTAATATGAAAGAAATGTGATCACATGAAAACTGTTCTAGTATCTCCAGAAATTAAATGAGAAATAATATTTTATTTTTAACCAAGCAAAACATTTCTCAAAATGTTTTGAATTTCAGTTTTGCATATCACAAACTGGTCTTGTTACGGTAAATTTGAACAAACCTAAAGGGAAACATATAAAAAAATTTGGGATAAGATTTAATAAATGTTGTAAGTATAAAAGAGAACACAAAACATTATCTTCAGTGATGGAAGTGTTTTTAATGTCCCACATTTGAAGAAAAATTGAATTTTGACTTGATAACTTACTGGCATATTAATGATTGTAGGGTGTAAATAAATAACCTAGAAAACACTGCAATAGAATGAGGAAAAAAAAGCAAAATGCAAATAGAAACTATAATGTAAGAATAAACCCACATTTTATTATTCCAAACTCTATGTACATTTGTGTACAGTATTTAGCTCCCACTTGCATGGGAAAATATATGTGTTTGACTATTCCTAAGTCATCTTACTTAAGATAATGCCTCTAGTTCTATTCATGTTATTACAAAAGATATAATTCCATTCTTTTTATGGCTGAACAGTATTTCATGTGTATATATATACAGAGAGATGAGAAATCACTCATTGGACACAATGTACATTATTCATGTGATAATTATACTAAAAGCAGACTTCGCCACTACATAATATGTCCATATAACAAAATTGAATGTGTACTCCTTTATTTGATTTTATTATTATTATTATTATTATTATTATTATTATTATTATTATTATTATATTTTTGAGCTAGAGTATAACTCTTGTCACCCAGGCTGGAGTGCAGTGGCACAGTCTTGGCTCACTGCAACCTCCACCTCATGGTTTCAAGTGATTCTTAAGCCTCAGCCTTCCGAGTAGCTGGGATTACAGGCACATACCACCAGGCCCAGCTAATTTTTGTATTTTTAGTAGAGACAGGGTTTCACCATATTGGCCAGGATGCTCTCGATCTCTTGACATTGTGATCTGCCCACTTCGCCTTCCCAAAGTGCTGGGATTACAGGCATAAGCTATTACTCCTTTAATTTACACAAAAAAGAAAGAAAAGTATGTACCTCATGAATATGTATAGTTAATATTTTTAAATTAAAAATGTTAAATAGGTATATGTACTTTTTATTTTTAAAATAATAACTCCACATTTTAATAACTCTGCAGTGCACAGAAATCATAATGATGGAGCCATTTCACCAAAGCTAAAATAGATTGAGCTGGGTAATTTTAATTATATTATAAATTTGGGAAATAACAGAAAAATAAATAAGGATGAAAAGTTAGACTGAGAACAATTAATGTTAAGCTAATTCTCAGTGATAAACTAAAGCATGAAAACTTTAATTTTCAGGCAAAGGGAGGACAGTAAAGAGAGAAAAGTGCATGATGTTAATACTGTTAGCCCTACAATTAATAAGAAAACAGGACACATAAAAATATACAAATTAAAAAATATTACAGACAGAGTAGATAATTGAGAAATTAACCTTAAAATCATGGTTTAGATTATTAATTTAAATTTAAGTATTCAGATATTCACTTAGTATATCTAGATGAGGAAACTATTAGCAATGAAAAAGAACAAGCTAACCAAGTTATTGTACAGCAACAACTGACAATATTTGATGACAATCTAGGTAAGGCAATACAGATTATTTATATATCCATACATATATATGTATGGATATCATACATTTATGAAGTTTTACTGATGTAGTTGAAAACAATGTAAAAATATATTTTGTAAAAATACATAGAATAGGCCGGGCGCGGTGGCTCACGCTTGTAATCCCAGCACTTTGGGAGGCCGAGGCGGGCGGATCACGAGGTCAGGAGATCGAGACCATCCTGGCTAACACGGTGAAACCTCGTCTCTACTAAAAATACAAAAAAAATTAGCCGGGCGTGGTGGCGGGCGCCTGTAGTCCCAGCTACTCGGGAGGCTGAAGCAGGAGAATGGCGTGAACCCTGGAGGCGGAGCTTGCAGTGAGCCGAGATTGAGCCACTGCACTCCCGCCTGAGCCACTGCACTCCCGCCTGGGCGACAGAGCGAGACTCCGTCTCAAAAAAAAAAAAAAAAAAAAAAAAAAACTTTTAAGTTCTGGTATACATGTGCTGGTTTGTTGTATAGGTAAACATGTGTCATAGGGGTTTGCTGTACAGATTATTTTGTCACCAGGATAGTAACCCTAGTACCAGTTAGTTATTTTCCTTGGTCCTCACCCTCCTTTCAGTTTCCAGCCTCTGGTAGGATCCATCATCTGTTGTTTTTCTCTTTGTGTTCATGTTTTCTCACTATTTAGCTTCTACTTCTAAGTGAGAAGATGTGGTATTTAGTTTTCTTTTTTACATTAGTATACTAAGGATGATGACCTTCGGCTCCAACCATATTCCTGCAAAGGTCATGGTCTCATTCTTTTTTATAGCTGCCTAGTATTCTATAGTGCATATGTGTCATATTTTCTTTCTCTAGTCTACCATAATTTGGTTCCATGTTTTGCTATTGTGAACACATGTCTTTATAATAAAACAATTTATTTTCCTTTAGTTATATGCCTAGTAATGAAATTACTGGGTCAAATGATAGTTCTGTTTTACACTTCTTGAGGAATTTCAATACTGCTCTCTATTACTGAACTAACTTAGAGTCTCACTAACTGTGTATAAATGCCCTCTTTCCTCTGCAACCTCATCAGCATTCGCTATTTTTTGACTTTTGCTAATAGTCATTCTGACTGGTATGAGATGGTACCTCACTGTGGTTTGGACTTGCATTTCTCCAACTATCAGTGATAAGATTTTTTGAAATATGATTTTTGGCCAGTTGTATATTTTCCTTAGAAAAGTGTCTTTTCATGTCTTTTGCCCACTTTCTAATGTGGTTGTTTCTTTCCTGTAATATTAGACATTTGTCAAATGCATAGTTTGCAGTAATTATCTTCTATTGTGGAGGTTGTCTGTTTACACTGTTGATAGTTTGTTATGCTGTGTAAAAGCTCTTTCATTCAATGATATCTCAAAATACTACACACTGGGTCTAGTATACACTGCTGGGGTGATGGGTGTACCAAAATCTCAGAAATCACCTCTAAATAACTTATTCATGTAAGCAGACACCACCTGTTCTCCCAAAACTACTTAAATAATAAAAACATAATAAATATCATACCCAGGTGATTGTAAAAAAATGCCTTTTGTAATATCTTACAATGTTTTCCACATGTGAGTCAAATATGATTATAAAATAATAATACATAAAAAAGACATACAAATGGCAAAGTTAAAATCACAGTAAGATATATTCCATCTGATAGAATGGCTTTTATTTAAAAACTCACTGGAGTTAGGCTGGGCGTGGTGGCTTACTCCTGTAATCCTAGTCTTTTGGGAGCCTGAGGCAGGTCAATCACTTGAGGTCAGGAGGTGAAGACCAGCCTTGCCAATATGGTGAAAGCTGTCTCTACCAAAATTGCGAAAATTAGCCATGGTGGCATGTACCTATAATCCCAGCTACTTAGGAGGCTGAGGCAGAATTGCTTCAGCCCAAAAGGCAGATGTTGCAGTGAGCTGACATCATGCCACTACATTCCAGTTTGGATGGCAGAATGAGACATGCCACAAAAAAATATATAAATAAATAAATAATAAACAAACATTAAAAAATGAAAATACAGAAATTAAAAATAATTGGTGACAGTGTGAAGAAATGGGAACCCTGTATGCTGTTGGTAGAATTGTGCATCAATAGAGACATTAAGAAAAACAATGTAGAGTTTTCCTTAGAAAACTAAACATGGAACTATCCCACTTCCAGATATATATCCAAAACAACTGAAAAGGGTATGTTGAAGAGTTATGTTCATATGCTCTCAGGTTCATTGCAACATTATTCACAATGGATAAGATATGAAAGGAAACTATATGTGTTCATTGTCAGATAAATAGAAAGAAAATCTGGTACATATACACAATGAAATATGATTCAACCTTTAAAAGTAATGAAATACTGTTATTTGAGATGATAAGGGTGAACTCAAAGGTCATTATACTTAGTAAAGTAAGCCAGACACAAGAGATGAATACCACATGATCTCATTTATATGTGAAAACTTAAAAGTCAAACTCATAGAAATAAAGAGTAGAATGATGATTATCACAGGATAGAAGAAAGGGCTGAATAGAGAAATTAAAAATGTTGGTTACACATACATAATTATAGACAGGAGAATTGTGATTTAGTAAGCTTTCTTACAAATGGTGACTAAAATAACAATTTATTACATATTTCAAATCACTAAAAGCATAAATCTTAAATGTTTTGACAAAATATAAGTATTTAAAGTCATGAATTTGTTAATTACCTTGATTGAACAACTTTACAATGTAAACATATATCAAAACATCAAGTTGTATTGTATCGTACAAATATATAATATATAAAATTTTTATTTGTAATTGTGTAAATTGTAATAAAGTTTTTAAAAATAAAAATAAATTATCACAATAGAGAAAAAATAATCATTTTGCTACCTGACTTAATAAAATGGAAAATTAAAGACATTTTAATTTCAACAATAGTTTTAATATTTAAAAAATTGATTCAAATATTTTGATTAAATAATACTAACAAATATTTTAATTTTAAAACTTTATGTAACATTTTAAGATAAGACTTACAGTCATAAAATAATCTTATGGTTGTATTAAGTTTCTTTTGTTTGCCTTAAAAAAATTACTTCTTTAATACAGTAAAAACATTTATATGTCCATGTCTGAAAGAAAAGTACTATAACAAGATTTTATTTTTATTGTATAAGGCAAACTACTTTCCTTTTTGCAAAAAAAAAAGTTTTTTTTATTTTATTATGTATCTTTATTTTTAATGTAAATGTTTATTAATGCATAATAATTGTATATATGTATGGAGTACATGCAATATTTTGATACATACATAAAATATGTAATGATCAGGTTAGGGTATTTAGAATATCCACCACATCAAATATTTATCATTTCATTGTGTTGAAAACTTAAAATCTTCTCTTCTAACTATTTTAAAATATACAACATATTGTTATTAACTATAGTCACCCTATACTGCTATCAAACATTAGAGTTTATTCCTTCTATCTAACTATATGTTAGTACCCATTAACCCATCTCTGTTTACCACCCCCAACTTCACACAACCCTCCCAGTCTCTGGTAATTATCACTCTATTCTGTCTACTTTTCTGAGATCAATTATTTTAGCATCCACATATGAGTTACAACATTTAATATTTGTCTTTGTGTGCCTGGTTTAATTCACTTCACATAATGACCTCCCTTTCCAGTTATGTTGATGGACACTTCATTTGATTTCATGTTACACTGTTGTGAACAATGCCACAAAAAAGCATGGAAGCACAGGTATTTATTTGATGTATTGACTTCCTTTGCAGTAGATATCTAGCAATGAAATTGTTGAATTGAATAGTAATTCTATTTTCATTTTTTTAGGAATCTTCATATTGTTTTCCACAGTGGCTGCATTAGTTTAAGTTTCCACCAACAGTATTTTAGAGTTCCCATTTCTCTCATCCTTACCAAGATTTTTTGTTCCTTGTCTGTAATAAAACCATTCTGATTGGGGTAAGGTGATAACCCATTGTGGTTTTTGATTTTGCATTTCCATGATGATTAGTAATGTTGACTGTGTTTCATATGCCTGTTTGCCATTTGCACATTTTCTCTTTATAAAAGTCTATTAATATATTTTGCCCTGCTTTTAATGAGTTTTTTTATGTTAACATATATAAGATCTTTGTATATTTTGGATGTTTAGTGCCCTAAGAGATAAGTAGGTTGTAAACATTTCCTCTCATTTAACAGAAAGTCTTTCACTCTATTGGTTATTTCTTTTGCTGTGCAAAACTTTTTAATTTAAGTCCCATTTGTCAATTTTCATTTTTCTCTCCTGTGCTTTTGAGGTCTTAGTCACAATTTCCTCCTCTAGGCCAACATCCAAATGTATATTTCTGGGTTTTCTTTTAGTGCTTTAATGTTTCAGGTCTCACATTCCCAAATATTTCATATATCTTGAGTTGATTTATATATATTGTGAGAGATAAGAGGCACAGGTATTCTTCTGCATGTGGCTATCCAGTTTTCCAGCAATATATATTAGGACGATTTCTTTTACTGAGTTTAAATTCTTATCAGTTATGTCAAAGATCACTTAGCTATAAATATCTTTAACTGTTACTTATGGCTGTATTCCTTATTACTAAAAGTAGTCTATGTGTCTATTTTCATACCACTAACATGCTGTTTTGGTCACTACAGACTTGTATTTTTGAAGTCAAGTAGTATAATGCCTTTAACATTTTTCTATTTGCTCAAAATTGGTTTGTTTATATGTCCTCTTTTGCGTTTTATGAGAATTTCAGGATTAAAAAATATTCTGTGAATAATGATGTTGGTATTTTTATAGGGTTGCACTAAGTATACAGCTTGTTTTGGACAATGTGATCATTTCAATGATACTTTATCTTTTAGACCATAAGCTTAGTCCATGTTTTCCCAGTTGTTTTTGTCATGTAAAATTTATTTCAACATTTTTTGTGTATGCAGTTTTCCTTGTATTAATTGTTCACATCCTTTTTAAAATTTAGTCCTAGGTAGTTTAATATTTTGCAGCTATTATGAATGAGATTGACTTCTTGATTTCTTTCTCAGCTAGATGACTATTGTATGAAAATGCAAGTTGTTGTAACCTACAATTTTACTGAACTTATTTGTCAAATATAAATTTTTTGTGAAGTCTTTAGGTGTTTCTGCATTTAAGATCATATTGCCAGAAAAGAGGGACAGTTTGACTTTCTCATTTCTAATTTGGATACTTTTTATTTCCTTCTTTAGCCTGATGGCTCTGGCTAATACTCGCAGTGTTGTGGTGAATAGGAGTGATGAACATGGGCATCTTTGTATTGTTCTATTTTTAAGAAGGACATTTAACGTTTTTCCATTTAGAGTGATGTTGGCTGTGGGTTTGTCATTTATACGCTTTATTATTCAATGTATGTTCCTCTATGTGTACTTGTTGAGTGTTTTTTTATGACAAAGTGCTGAATTTTATCAAATGCTTTTCCTGTGTCCTTTATTCTGTTGATGTGATATATTATGCTTAGTGATTTGCTTGTGTTGAACCAGTCCTGAATCTATGGTGTAGATTCCACTTTATCTTCATGCAACACTTTTTGATTTGCTGCTGGATTCTGTTTGGCGATATTTTGTTGAGAATTTTTGTATCTGTGTTCAGCAGCGATACACAACTGAAGTTGTTGTGCTATTATTATTATTGTTTTATCCTTGTTTGGTTTGGCTATCAGGATGATGCTGGCCTTCTGGAATGAATTGAGAAGAATTTTCTCTTCTTTGATCATTTTTCAAATAGTTTCAGTAGAACTGATGTTAGTTCTTCTGTATACATGTTGCAGAATGTGGTGAAGAACCTATCCAATTTTTGGATTTTATTTGTTGGAAGACTTTTCATTATTGATTCAATCTTCTTACCCATTGTTGGTCTGTTCAGGTTTTCCATTTGTTATTGATTCAGTCTTGTGTAATTGCATGATTTCAAAAATTTGTTCATTTCTGCTAAACTTTCCAGTTCATTTATGTATGGTTGTTCATCATAGTCTCTGATAACCTCTTTGTATTATATCACTTGTAATGTCTTTTTTTTATTTCTGATGTTCTTTATTTGGCTTTTCTTTTTCCTTTTGGTTTGTCTAGCTAGACATTTATCAATTTTCTTTATATTTTCAAATTACGTTTTGTTTCAATGTTTTTTTGGTCTCTTTAATTTTAGCTCTACTAAGATTATTTTTATTGCTTTATTCTGCTACATTTGGATTTTTTGTTCATGCTTTCTAGTTCCTTGAGGAACATTTTTAGATTGTTAATTTATAATATCTTTTTACTTTTTTGTGTAGGTATTTATTGGTATGAATTTTATCCTTTTAGTATTGCTTTTGCTGTATTGCACAAGTTTCATATATTGTGTTTCCACATTCAATTGTTTCAAGCAATTATTAAATAAATTTTAACAATTTTTTATTACTTGGTGGTCATTCAAGAGTATGTTGTTTAACTTTTATGTATTTGTATAGTATAATTTCGAGAGTTTGGGTAGATATTGTTTCTACTTTTATTCTACTGTGGTATAACAAAAGTATTTGATATGATTTTGACTTTTTAAAATTTACAAAGACTGATGAATGCTGATATATGATCTATCCTGAAGAATGTTTTATGCGCTGATTTTAAAAATGCCTATTTTGCAATTGTTGAAAAGAGTGTTCTGTAAATATCTATGTGGTTTAAAATATATCTTAACCCAATATATCTTTATTGATTTTTGGTATAAATGAGCTGTCTAATGCTGAAGCTGGGGTATTGAAGTTCTCTCAATATTATTGTATTGCAGTATATCTCTCTTCTTAGCCTCTCTTCTTAACACTGAGTGCTCCAATGTTAGATGCGTGTATGTATTTAAAATTATTACCTTCTCATTTGACTGATTCCATTATTATTAGGTAATAATCTACTTGATTTTTTTTCTTTCAGCTGTTCTTGATTTGAAGTCTGTTTTATCTGATATGAGTGCAGGTATTTCAATTGACTTTTGGTTTCTATTTGCATGGAATAAACGTGTGTGTGTGTGTGTGTGTGTGTGTGTGTGTGTATCTTTATTTTTAGTCTCTGTGGTAAGGTGAGCTTCTTGTAAAAAGCATATCGATGGGTCATGATTAGTTCAACTCATCCAGTCATTCTATGTCTTTTACCTGAAGATTGTAGTCCATTTACATTGAGATTTTCATTAACTGTGAGGTTTATTTCTTGTTATATTAACTATTTTCTAGGTGTTTATATATTTTCATTATTTTCTTTTTCTCATATTTCTCTCTTTATGGTTTATTGATTTCTGTGGTGACATCATTTGCATCCTTTCTTTTCTTTCTTTGTGTGACTGCTTTACATGTGAGTTTTACAATTCTGTGTGATTTTATAATGGGTAATGTCATCCTTTACTTCCAGATATAGGACTTCCTGGAAAATTTCTTGTCGGTCCAGTCTAGTGGTAACAAATTTCTTCAGAATTTCCTTGTCTTGGAAAAACATTATTTATTTTAGGAAGGATATTATTGCTGGGTATTTCATTCTTGACTCCCAGTATTTTCTCTCTAAGCACTATGAATATATCATTTTATTATTTTCTGACTGAAACATTTAGGCTCAGAAGTCTGCATTAGTTTGGTGATTTTTTTCCCTTTATAGGTAATTAGATGCTTTTCTATTGCTCCCTTTAAGATTCACTCTTTGTATTTTACTTTAGACAAATTATAAAATGTCACAAGTATAACTTTTTGCACTGTGTTTACCTGGGAATCATTCAGACTCCTTTATCTGAATATATAAATATATTGATAGACTTGGGAAATCTTTATCTATTATTTTATTAAATAAAATTTCTAATTTAAAAATTTTCCATTCACCCTTATAATATTAATAATTTGCTTATTTACTTTCTGTACGTTGTCCTATATGTCATGAAGGCTTTTACTCATTTTTAATTTTTTAAAATTTTATCTAATCATGTTATTTCAAAATACTTGTCTTCGTGTTTCAATATTATTTCTTTTGCTGAGAGAGGCTATTGTAGTTTTAAAATGCATTTGTATTTTCTTCAATTATTCAGCTTCAGAATTCCTATATTTAATTTTTTAAATTATCTATTTGGTAAAATTCTCATTCATATTCTTAATTTTTTTCTGATTTGTTTGCATTAATTTTCTGGATTCCCTTGTTTTTCAAGGCTTCTTTAAAAATCAGCATTTTGAATTATTGACCCAGAATTTTGCAAATTTCATTTTAACTGAAACCTGTTACTTGAAAATTACTGTCTTTGATTAGTGGTGTTACATTTTCTTGTTTGTTATGTTTTCTCTGTCCTTACATTAATATCTGCAAATATGGTGTAACAGTCACTTCTTCCAATTTTTTTAAACTACATTCATGGGGAGAATTTTTTCCTGAAGAATGTATATATTTTCTTGGTTGTATAGAATGATCTAACTTTAATTTTAGGTGCCTGTCATAGTGTGATCTCTGTATAAGTTGTTCAGGAATACACAGGATTAGTTGCATCTGTAATTTTCTCAGTGACTTTGTGTAGAGACTTGTGGTAAAATTTTGCTGTAGAGTAGAATCCCATGTGGGCAGTCTTTGGGCCCCAGTGGTAGCACCAGTGAGCCGAGTGTGACTGTTCATTGGTTCCAGAGGGGTTTATGCTGGCACTATACGATCCAGTTGTGGATTTTGTTGGGGGGTGGATTTTTTGACTCAAGGTAGCTTGTTATGATAAGATGTAGGTAGTGGCAGTGATAATCCAGGCATATAGGTGATCCTTAGGACTCCTGAGCAACTGATGAGATGGGGTTGATGGCAGGAGCAGTGGTGGAGCAATTGATTAGAACCCTAGCAATTCATGCTGATATTGGTGGTGGCTGCAGTGGGTTGGGTGGGCCAGTCCTCTGGTCTACCGGTAACATGTACAGATTGATGTCAACTGGTGGTACTGGCTAGTTGTGTTAGCTTGTCCTTTCATCCAGGGAGGAGTAACTGGGCTGAAAAATTAGTAGGCCCTTGGATGTAATAGGAGCACAGGAACAGGCCAGCAGACTTGTTCTCAGACCCCTTGGTGGTGCATACAGACACTGACTGTGACTTAAAGAAAATAATATTCTTCAGGACACCAGCAGAGTGCTCAACTGTCAGCTATGACAGCTGTGCTGCATTGCTGCCACTGGGGAGTGTGAGGCCCCTGTCAGCTAGAGAAGTGTGGGGAGATAAGAGTGGAAACTGTGGCCTGCCTTTACTTTGGTCTTGCAGCATCCTACTTCAGTGTGGTATTATTTGTTCTATGTATACATGGGAGTGCTCAGTCTTCCCTATCTTTTCTCAGACCAGTGACAGCAACAGCAGTGACCATATCATTCTGAACTCAGGACAGAACACAGATTCTGGTAGTTATCTCTCATAGAAATACCAGGCTGAAGCAACTCTGGACTCACACGTTTGTGGTACTCTATTTGATCTCTCGTTCTGGAGCAATTTACCTTTGCAATACCTAGGCAGCTGTCTATGTCAGGTGTAATGACCACACAAAAGGAGATGTTTTCTCACAGCTAAGATTGTTAAATCTAACGGTGCAAATGTGGAGTTCTTTCTTTTACTTTTTCCTGTGTCTAGTGTCTTCCCCTAACTCCAAGACAATTGGTTTACTCTCCTTCCTTACTTTTGGTTGTTCCTATTACATCTCTGTTGAGTCTCAATATTCCTTCTTAGATAATCCATTGTATGAATATTTATTTGCTATTCGTGTTCTCTTGTGGGAAAAGTGCATACTAGCTGGATCTATTCAGCCATCTTGATTCCCTCTTTTCTCAAGTGGGAAAGTAAAATTTTATCAAATGTTTTATTGTGTATAACGAGATGACCATAAGATTTTTGTCCTTCATTCTGTGGATGTGGTGTATCATATTTATTGATTGGTGTTTGCTGAACCATTCTTGCATACCTGTAACAAATCTCACTTGATTATGTTGCATAATCTTTTTGATGCACTATTGAATTTTGTTTCCTACTACTACATTGAGGTTGTTTGTATCTATATTCATCAGGGATAATGGTCTTTAGTTTTCTCTTTTTTATTGTATTCTTGTCCTTTGTTGGTCAAGGTAATACTCACCTCATAAAATAAGTTAGGGAGTATTCCTTTCTCCTATTTTGAAATAGTTGGAGGAGAATTGGTTTTACTTCTTTGTAATTTGGTACACTGCAGGAATTAGGCTTTCCAATCCTAGAGTTTTTTTGCATTGGAAGACATTTATTATTAATTCAATTGTTATTGATTGTTGGTCTCTTTTGATTTTCTATGTCTCCCTAATTCAATCTTGTTAGGTTATATATGTGTAAGAATTAATTCCGCTAGTGCTTCCATGTTGTCAATGGATAGCTGCTCATAATAGTTTCTGATAATCCTTTTTATTTTTGTATCTGTTGTAACTTTTTTTTGTTTTTGATTTTATTTATTTGATTTTTCTTCTTTGTCTTAGTCCAACTAGTGGCTTATCACTTTTTCCGCAAAAAAATTACATTTTGTTATTTTTAAAATATTTTTTAAGTCACTACTTGGTTCAGTTCTCCTCTGATATTTACTATTTCCTTATTTCTATGTGTTTAGGTTTTCTTTTGTTTTGCTTTTTAAAGCTGGTTAAAAGTGCATTCTTTGGTTGTTT
Organism: Homo sapiens; assembly: GCF_000001405.40. Taxonomy (NCBI): domain Eukaryota; kingdom Metazoa; phylum Chordata; class Mammalia; order Primates; family Hominidae; genus Homo; species Homo sapiens. Next base: position 19,949,399 of record NC_000024.10, read on the forward strand.
ACTTATTTCTTGTTTGCTTTTTTGATATGAGTATTTATTGTTATAAATTTTCCTCTTAGTACTGCTTATGCTACTTGTTACTGTTGTTTGTTCCAAAAATTATTTGAATTTTTCTTATATCTTTATTGACTCAATTGTTGCTCAGAAACATAGAGTTTAATTTTTCTATATTTAGATGGATTCCAAAGATCCTTTTGTTATTAATTTATAGTTTTTTCCAATTGTAGTCTGAGAAGATAATTAATATGATTTCATTATTTCTAATGTTGAGACTTATTTTCTGTCTTAACAAATTATCTATCCTAGAGAATGACCCATGTGCTAATGAGAAAAACTGTATTCTGCAACTGCTAAATAAAATGTTCTGTAAAGGTTGGTAGTTCTGTTTGGTCTAAAGTTCAGCTTAAACCAAATTGTACTTTTTGTTTTCTGTCTAGATTTTCTCTCCAATACTGAGAGTAGAGTGTTAAAGTCTCCAAATATTATTGTACTGGAGTTCATCTCTGTCTTTCAATCTAATAATATTAGCTCTATATATTTGGATGTTTCAGTGTTAGGTGAAGATATATTTAAAATCGTTATATCATCTTAATGAAGGCTCCTTTTGTATTACATAATGACTTTCTTTTTCTTCTTACTTTTTTTGGCTTACAGTCTGGTTTACCAGATATAAGCATAGCTACTCCCACTCATTTTTGCTTTTTGTTTGAGTGAAATTTCTTTTTTTTTATTTCTTCACTTTCAGTCAATATGTTCCTTTAAAAACAAAGTGAATTCCCCATTGGCTGCATATAATTAAGTCCTGTTTTTCATATTATTCAGCCAGTCTACAAATATTGATTGGAGAATTTAATCTATTTATACTGGATGTTACTATTGATAGGTTAGGACTTATTTTTGTCTTTTGTTAATTACTTTCTCATTTTCTTATTTTTCCTACAACTTTGTTTTAAGTGTAAAGCATAATATGCAAGATTATTACACGGGGAAAATACATGTTCCTGGGGTTTAATGTATAAATGGGTTCAGCACCCAGTTATTGAGCATAGTGCCTAAGAAGTTGTAATCATTCTCTTCCTTCCACCCTCTGCCCTCAGTTAGAACCTTGTGTCTATTGATACCTTCTTTGTGTCCATGTGTACTTAAGGTTTATCTCACATTTACAAGTTAGAAAATGTAGTATTGGGTTTTCTGTTTTTGCTTAAAATAATGGCCTCCAAAACCTATTCATATTGCCACAAAGACTATGGTTTCATTCTTTATATGGCTATGCAGTATTTCATGGTATACATGTACCACATTTTCTTTATGCAGTTCACCTTTGATGGAAATCTAAGTTAATTTCTTGTTTTACTTTTATGTCTTCAATCTATATTGAGTTAATTTTTGTATGTGGTAAAATATAGGCATCTTGTTTCAATCTTTTGCATATGGTTAGCCAGTTTTCCAGTACCATTTACTGAACAGGGAGTTCTCTTCCCATTGCTTGTTATTTGTGACTTTGTCAAAAATCTTAGAGTTATAGATGTGTAGCTTAATTTCTGCGTTCTTTATCCTGTTTCATTGGTCTTTGTGTCTGTTTTTGTAGCCATACCATACTGTTTTGGTTACTGTAGCCTTGTAGTATAGCTTGTATTTGGGTAGTACCATGCTTCCTCCTTCACTCTTTTTACTCAGTTTGCTTCAGTAATTCAGACACTTTTTTAATTCTATATTAATTTTGGATTTTTTTGTTTCATAGAAATAGCATTCAATCTGTACAAAAAATTAGCGGGCACCTGTAGTCCCAGCTACTTGGGAGGCCAAGGCAGGAGAATGGCATGAATCTGGGAGGTGGAGCTTGCAGTGAGCCGAGATCGTGCCCCTGCACTCTGGCCTGGGAGACAGAGCAAGACTCTGTCTCAAAAAAAAAAAAAAAAAAAAAAAGAAAAGAAAAAGAAAAAAAGAAATAGCATTCAATCTGCACATAGCTTCATGTAGTATGGTCATTTAGAAAAGTTTGTTCTTCCTCATTCCATGCTCATGCGTAGGAAGAATCAATATCGTGAAAATGGCCATACTGCCCAGGGTAATTTATAGATTCAATGCCATCCCCATCAAGCTACCAATGACTTTCTTCATAGAACTGGAAAAAAACTACTTTAAAGTTCATATGGAAACAAAAAAGAGCCCATGTTGCCAAGTCAATCCTAAGCCAAAAGAACAAAGCTGGAGACATCATGCTACCTGACTTCAAACTATACTGCAAGGCTACAGTAACCAAAACAGCATGGTACTGGTACCAAAACGGAGACATAGACCAATGGAACAGAACAGAGCCCTCAGAAATAATGCCGCGTATCTACAATTATCTGATCTCTGACAAACCTGACAAAAACAAGAAATAAGGAAGGATTCCCTACTTAATAAATGGTGCTGGGAAAACGGGCTTGCCATACGTAGAAAGCTGAAACTGGATCCCTTCTTTACACCTCATACAAAAATTAATTCAAGATGGATTAAAGACTTAAATGTTAGACCTAAAACCATAAAAACCCTAAAAGAACACCTAGGCAATACTATTCAGGACATAGGCATGGGCAAGGACTTCATGTCTAAAACACCAAAAGCAATGGAAACAAAAACCAAAATTGACAAATGGGATCTAATTAAACTAAAGAGCTTCTGCACAGCAAAACAAACTACCACCAGAGGGAAGAGGCAACCCACAGAATGGGAGAAATTTTTTGCAATCCACTCATCTGACAAAGGGCTAATATCCAGAATCTACAATGAACTCAAACAAATTTACAAGAAAAAAACAAACAACCCCATCAAAAAGTGGGTGAAGGATATGAACAGATACTTCTCAAAAGAAGACATTTATGCAGCCAAAAGACACATGAAAAAAATGCTCATCATCACTGGCCATCAGAGAAATGCAAATCAAAACCACAATGAGATACAAACTCACACCAGTTAGAATGGTGATCATTAAAAAGTCAGGAAACAACAGGTGCTGGAGATGATGTGGAGAAATAGGAACACTTTTACACTGTTGATGGGACTGTACACTACTAGTTCAACCATTGTGGAAGAAGGTGTGGTGATTCCTCAGGGATCTAGAACTAGAAATACCATTTGACCCAGCCATCCCATTACTGGGTGTATACCCAAAGGATTACAAAACATGCTTCTATAAGGACACATGCGTGCATATGTTTATTGCGGCACTATTCACAATAGCAAAGACTTGAAACCAACCCAGATGTGCAACAATGATAAACTGGATTAAGAAAATATGGCACATATACACCATGGAATATTATGCAGCCATAAAAAAGGATGAGTTCATGTCCTTTGTAGGGACATGGATGAAGCTGGAAACCATCATTCTCAGCAAACTATTGCAAGGACAAAAAAACAAACACTGCATGTTCTCACTCATAGGTGGAAATTGAACAATGAGAACACACAGACACAGGAAGGGGTACATAACACACCAGGGCCTGTTGTGGGGTGGCAGGATGGGGGAGGGATAGCATTAGGAGATATACCTAATGTTAAATGACGAGTTAATGGGTGCAGCACAGCAACATGGCACATGTATACATAAGTTACAAACCTATACGTTGTGCACATGTACCCTACAACTTAAAGTATAATAAAAAAAATTGGTTCTTCCTTTAATGAACATGAACTGTTTCTGTATTTGTTCATGTCATAAGTGATGATTTTCATCATCAGTGTTTTGTAATCCTTTTTAGAAACCATTTACCTCCCTGTTGACCTGGATCCTTGGATATTTTATTATTTTTGAGGCTATTGCAAATGGAATTGTATTTTTGATTAGGCTCTTAGTTTGAATGTTATTAGTGTATAAAAGTGCTGTGATTTTTGTGTGTTGCTTTTGTATGCTGAAACATTGCTGAAGTTGTTTATCAGTTTTAGAAGCCTTGAGGCATAGTCTATTAGGTTTTCTAGGCATAGAATTATATAATGTAAAAAGAGAGATAGTTTGACTTTCTCTCTTTCTATTTGAATGTGTTATATTCATTTTGTTGCCGATTGTTCTGGCTAGGACACTCTACCTTTCATTCTGGGTGTAGGTAGTAGTGTATACTTTGTATGATCTAGCTGGCTTTCAGCAGCATCAGTGGTAACTGTTATTTTTCTTTCTTTCCTTTTTTTTTTTTGTTTTTTTGTTTTTGAGACAGAGTTTTACTCTTATTGCCCAGGGTGGAGTGCAATGGCACGATCTTGGCTCACTGCAACCTCTGCCTTCCAGATTCAAGCAATTCTCCTCCCTCAGCCTTCCAAGTAGCTGGGATCACAGGCATGTGCTACCATGCTTGGCTATTTTTTTTTTTTTTAGTAGAGACAGAGTTTCACCATGTTAGTCAGCCTGGTCTTGACCTCCTGACCTCAGGTGATCCACCCACCTCAGCCTCCCAAGTATCTGTGATGGCTGCAGATGTTCATGAGGCTGTGGCGAGGGTTTTCCGGTAATAGCGTTACTAGGCATTTTGGTACTTTGATCCCAAAAGTGGGTAAACCACACCTGTCCTTTGGACCACAGAGCATCCAGTGGTGTATGTTGACACCATTGTTAGAGAGGCCAGGATGGCCGATTCTTGGGCCTACATGCAACTTGTTCTGGTGACAACATTGGCAGCAGCGAACTGAACAGATGGGTGGGTTCCCACACCCCTGGGCATTCTGTGTGGCATGAAAAATGGCTGTTGTGGTGAGACATTCCCTGTAATTTCAGGTGACGCATGCTGGTTTAAGTTGTGATAGTAACAAGCTAAGTGGGCCAGGGTCTAGGCCCCAAGGAGACATGTGTGAATGGGTGCCCATAGTGATTGTAGGAGTAGGCTCAAGCAGCTGATAGCTTGATTCTTTGTGAAACCCTCTGACGGTATGTGTACAGGTACTGTGTGACAGATAGGAAAGGCTTCACAACTGTATGTAGTGTGTTTACGTATTGTAATGGATTGGTGGTTGGTGGGATTAACCTAACTTCAGGCCTCTTAATAATGAACACAGGTGAAGGCTGTAATGGTTAGGGCAAGGCAATTCTCTGAATCATGAGTGGAGTGTCAGGTGGTGGAAGCATCACTTGTAGTTGTGGGTGGGGAGACTCTTCTCAGGGCACGTATAATGACATGGTGATTTTGCTGTGGGTGGAGCAATATGGCTGTCAGTGATACTGGTCTCAGACTCTGGGGAACATATATTTTGGCTTATTTTGGCTCAACCGTGTTCTCCTTAGTACACTGCAACTCTAATTTCTCAGGGTGTAGGATAGTGTGTGCTAGAGTGCTGGGGAACAGGCCACACATCTGGGTGAAACTAATATTATAACACTGTAGCCCTCCATATAGACAGAGAGGATGTCAGTGTGATTCCAGACATATGGAGAGGCAGTTACTGTTGAATTTCAGGGCAAGATGCAGTCTAGAAAAAGCTGGGCTGTCAAAATGGTGCCATGCTGCAGCTCCTGTGTGTCAGAGGGATTGTGGCACCCAGTGTGAGCTCTCTTTCTGAAAGAATAATGTTACACAGACTCCAGAGAGCTATTTATACTAGGCTCAGGGCCTGTGAGAGTGGGATGGTTTGATATAGCTAGGTTGCTGGAATCCATGTGGAAATGGGTGTGGCTAGGGATCTCTCAATTATGCTTTATCCAAAATGAGAAGGTTCTTTTATCTCCAAGTAAATCCTGATTGTCTCATTTTTCTTTCCTCCTGTGCCTTAGGTATTTCTTGTCACTTTTCTCCAGAATTCAAGTGTTCTCTTTAAGATGCTCTATTTAAACTGTAATTATTGTAATTATTGTTTTGGCTCTTTGTAGAGGAGGTGTCTGTTGCTTCTTGTAAAGAACTATGATGCCTCCCTGTTTATTCCATGTGTTTCAGATCTACAACATGATGCTTTGATTTATATATACATTGTGAAATAATTACTACAGTCAAGCAATGATTGTATTTATAATCTCATGAAGTTATCTTATTTTGTTGATTGGATATAACATTTATTACATTAGCAAATATCTAAAATATTAAAAAATTAACTATAGTCTTCATGCTGTACCTTAAATTTCTTTACTTATTTATCCTACATAACTATAACTTTGTGCTCTTTACCTATGGCTTCATAACCTCTACCCACACCTGGTAGCAACCATTCTACTGTCTATTTATTCAATATTTCTTCAGTTTCTGTATGTAATGGAAATCATGCAGCATTTGTTTCTGTGTTGGGCTTAATTTACTTAGCTTAATTTTCTCCAGGCTTATGTATTTTGTAAAAAATGACAGGATTTACTTATTGATTAGGGATGAATAATATTTGATTATATGAAAAGCCTTCAAAAAGATCATGTAAAATGTATATTATTTTAAATCTACACATGAATTTCAAAAACGTTTGCCCCAAATACATGAGTACTATCTTATTATAACACAACTGAACAATATTTAGTTTAAGGTACTAAGAAGTGTAGTATATTGGTTTGAAAAGAGTCCCTGTCAGAGCAACATCAATTCTGTGAAAACTGAAACAAAAACAAATATCAAATTTATAGTGAAGCTTGAATGAAGGAATAATACAATCATTGATGCTTCAAAAAAGTTTTCTATCTGTTAAAATTATTTGAATAAATGTTTTAGGATCTTCATCCCACTTATTTAAAATTTTTATTGAATGCTCTTCTCTTATTGTTAGCTGACCTCGGTACAACAGTTTGGGACCTCATTCAATTAGAAGGTTTGCTCAACTTTAATTTTTTAGTCAAAATTTAGTAAGTTAAAGTAGTTGAGATGTCTGTGATGTTGGCCGTTGTGTCTGACGTTAATCATCCGTTCTTTTTAGGACATTATAAAGATTAATTTTTTTCTTGAAAATATGTGTGGATGGTCGGCTGCTAGAGGGTTAATTTTTAACATCTGATTTCTTCTTAAAATGAGATATGTTTGTAAACTGCTGATAAGACAACATAAAAATATATAAATTGTGATATCAAAAATTTTAAATATGTGAGGGAGTAAAAGTGTAAAGTTTTTGTATGTAATCAAAGTTCAGTTGTTATCAGCTTAAAGTAGCCTCTTTTAGCAAGGCACAACTCATTCTCAGCCTCTTTTAGCAAAGAACAACTCACTCTCACCAAGGGCTCTGGAATCCCAGGAGGTTAGTTCATTACCACCATGGACATGTGAGTTGGCAGGGAGAGCTGCTTAGAGAAGAAGTAGGAACAGAACTCCAGCCAGTGTGATTCCTAGAGGGTTTGTTGTCTGTAGTGGAGCATGGGCAGGCACACCCATTCCCTAGGCCTGACTTGCTGCTGTAGGATACTTTAGCCATAGGGGAACTGTCAGACCTCAGCTTTGCAGGGCCATCTTGCACATGAGATAGGGCTGGTCTAGCCTGAGCACCCTTCAGTCGGCTGTCCCCTGCTGGGGCCCCAGACTGGCCATGCCTGCTTGCAGTGCAGCCTTGAGTGCCCAGGTGAGAAGTACCTCCTGGGACCCATATCGTAGTTCCTGTGCCGGTGGAATGCATTTTACTGGCAGAGAGCTCCAGCAGAGTGTTGCTTTAAGAAACACACCATCCTGCCAGCTCTCTCCCCGCACTGCACCCTCCCCCATATCAATTTGCCTGCATGCACTGGCTCACAGTTATCTCCAAATTTCCTTGACAATGCAGGTGTGCACAAGAGGACCTGGCCTTCCCATCTCTGCCAGTGTGTGTATGTGCACGCACATGCCTGTGTGCACTCTGCCATGCCACTACTGCCAGTGTGAGTGCATTCTGCTTTCCATGTCTGATGAACTGGCATGGCCATAGGAACATTGGTGGGCACAAAGTACACCAGCTCCACCCCTGCTAGCACCCTGCCCCTGTGCAATGCTGCCACCAGTGTGAAACTAGCCATGGAAACCAGTGGACACACCCCAGCCCTGAGCATCCATAGCCATCCATGTGAATGAGAACAGAGGGTGCACACAGCCCTGCACCCACCAGCATTCCACCCCCATGCTAACATATCCACTGGCACAAATGCTTACACAGACACCAGCAGGGGCACCCCACCCAGCTGTGCCATGCTAACACCAACTACTACTGTAAAAAACTGCACAAAGGCCAGTACCCTGGGACCTGCAACAGCCAACAGGAATACACTCCATTTCATTGCCACTAGCACCGGAAAACAAGGACTGGTCCCCTTCCTTACTAAGCACTTTGGATGGCACCAACCATTGGATACAGTGACCAGAGGCCTGGAAGCACCTCAGTCTCTCTAGCACAGCAGATCCCAAACTTGGAGGAGCCAGAGAACAAAGCTGGGACTGCTTAACATTCACCCATAATTACAGGATGCAGTTCAGAATTCCCGAGCTTAGCCTTACCTCCCAAATAAGACCTTTCAGAAATGAAGCCAGTCAACTGAACCCACCTAATACCACTATCCAACCCCAAATGAAATCAAATAGGATAAAGAGAAAAACAAAAACTATCAAAGGACACAACTTCAAAGACAGAAGGAACATCAGCCCACAAAGATGAGTAAGAATGCACCAAAATGTAGCCACCTTTCTTGTGAGCTATCACCCAGCATTCTTTATCTCAAGTTCATGATGATTAACGATCATGGACACAAAGGTGAGGTTGGAGCAAAAGTTTAATAAGTGAAAGAAGAAAGCTCTCTGCTGACAGACAGGGGGGCCTGAATGGGTTAACCTCTGTGAGGCTGGGGTTCGGGGATTTTATGCATTGGGAAGGGAAAGAAATGTGCTTAGTCTGTGGGCTATCTTGGAAAAAGCTTGCTCAGGTTGGCCCACAACCTTGGCCCAGGACCAAACAGGAGCTGAAGAGAGGATTCATAGAGGTAGCTTAGGTTAGCCTGGGAACTATCAGGAGCTGAAGTGAAAGGTTGGCCTGGGATTTTGGCCTGGAACCAATCAAGGAACTGAAGTGATAATTAATAGAGGTCAAGCTCATCCTCTATAAAGGAAAGGAAAGTGCCCATCAGAACCCACTGGAGTCCACAGTGTTCATACCCACAAAAGAAGAAGAAACTTTTTTCCTGGGAACTCACTGATTATACAAAGGACAAAGGCATTTCTGTGTCAATCCTTGTGCTGCTAATTTGCATCATGATCGTTCGGTGTGAAGAATTCCCTTTAGCATTTCTTATAAGGCATTTCTTCTCTCTCTCAGTTTCTGTTTATTTGGGAAGGTCTTTATCTCTCCTTAATTCTAAAGCACATCTTTGACATATACAGCACCCTTGGTTGATAGTTTTTTTGTTTTCCCTTCATCACTTTTGATATATCAGCCTACTCTCTCCTAGCCTATAAGATTTCTGCTGAGAAATCTGCTGCTAACCTTGGACTATCTTATATGTTCGGTCCTTCTTTTCTTTTGCTGCTATCAGGATTTGGTCTTTGTCCTCAATTTTTGACAGTTTAATTATAATATGTCTTTGTGTCATCTTATTTGGATTGAATCTGTTTGGAAACCTTTGATCTTTCTGTACTGAGATTTATATTTCTCCAATTTTTGAGAGTTTTCTGCTATTATCATTTAAAATGAGATTTCGACCTCTCCTTCTTTTCCTTTTACATTGATTTCTGCCCTTTTGAAAATATAGAGACTTATTCTAGGCTTTGCAGACTGGCTTTGTCTGGGAGTCTTGTCCTTGCAGACTGGCTTTGTCTGGGAAAGCCCTCTTCCAGTCATCCTTTCCTGAGATTCTGGATAGGATGCCTGGAATGTCTGAAGGTAGTCATTGGTCAGGCAGGAGTCATTGGGCAGGCTAACCTGGTGCCTTGGTCAGCAGGTAGAAAGGCCTGGCACCTACATCTGCATTGCTGGTCCTGAATCCTGTATCTACTGGGGTGGACCTGTGAATTGCATCTGTAGAGATGGGCCTGGAGGTTGGGTAAATGAGGATGAGCCAAAAGCTAGTATGTGTGGAGGTTGGCCTAAAATCTGGACCCACAAAGGCTGACATAACATCAGGGTGGGCCTTTAACTTAAGTGCTAAAAGTCTGGTTTGTCACTGGGGTTGTAGGAGATTGGTGAAGGTGGTGGGAAAAATTGTAGAAAGATGCAAACCCTCTTGGAAAGCCAGGAGGTTTTACAAAAGCTTTGGAAAATGATTTGGCTGAAGGCAGCCAGATTCTCTTATCCAGTGCCTGAAAGCTTAGTTTAGATAACAGGGGGATGTAAAGAAACTTATCTAGATAAGTTAGTTTACTTAGGCCTAGTATCTGTGTACACAGGACTACTCTCTCAGGGAGGATGAGCATGTTAATTACCCACAAGTGTTTTTACTCAAGGCCTTTGTCATTAAATCTGTACTGAATAAATGCCTGCAGTGCCAGCTTGTCAGGGCCAAGGCTGCTGCAACTCTTTCTGTGGGTGGTCTGGTCCTCTAGCCCACTCTTTCACTGGATATCTATGTTGCAGTGCATTTGTTAATTTGTTTCTTGGTCAGGATCTGTGGGTTGGACATGGCAGGTGGTGTCCTGTGTGAGGAACACTGCAATAGATTGAGATGGAACCCTTGAAAACAAAGGTGAGGAGACCATGCAGTCAGTAAGTCATGGGTGCCAACTCAGGATTTCCAGGCTTGAATGAATTGTTCAGGCTAGGGTTTCATTATGGGGCAACTGTTATCAGCACAACAAAAGCAGTACATGAAAGCATTGAGGCCAGATGTGGTGGCTCACGCCTGTAATCCCAGCACTTTGGGAGGCTGAGGTGGGCAGATCATGAGGTCAGGAGATCCAGACCATCCTGGCTAACATGGTGAAACCCCATCTCCACTAAAAAATACAAAAAACATAGCCAAGTATGGTAACAGGTGCCTGTAGTCCCAGCTACTCAGGAGGCTGAGGCAGGAGAATGGTGTGAACCTGGAAGACGGAGCTTGCTGTGAGCTGAGACCATGCCACTGCACTCCAGCCTGGGTGACAGAGCAAGACTCTGTCACAAGAACAATAAATAAAAAATAAATAAAAGTATTGAAACAGCTGCTTTAATCTATCAGAGCCTTGGTTTTGCAGGCTCAATTAAGGGACCTAATGCAAACTGCTGTTTTCCATAACCCATGGTTCCCAGGAGAAGGTATGCTAGACACAGAGCTCTGGGAACAAGTGGGGAGAAATCTTAAACAACATCATGTGCTAGGGCAATTAGTCCTAGTAACATCTCTGATGTTATGGGTTTTAGTTAGGGTGGCTCTGGTCCTGCTTTACACAGCAGAGCCTAAAAAAGAGGAGGGAGGAGGAACCATCACCTATCTTACCACCTTATCGCTACTGAATAAATCCCTCAGCCCCACTATCACTGGGCCAAAATAACAAAGAGAAAATGGAGGTATTTCATGAGCCCCCCTCCTACAATAAATTGGAAAAAAGACAGGAGATACACTACAGTTATGGGACCCTGTCTTAGGTAAGTGGCATTAAAAGGGGAGCTCTTAGCCTGCCCAGTAGTGCAAGATCAACAAAGCAATCAGGTACATAAAGAGATAAGGAAAACCATTAGAGATAATGGAGACACTAGCTCATTTACAAAAGGATTAATTGAGGCCATAGCAGACAACTTATCTATGACTCCATGAGACTGCTCAGTGCTAGCTAAAACAACTTTAAACACCAGTCAATATCTCCTCTGGAGGGCAGAATTTGATGAATTCTGTGAACAGCAAAGCCTTTTCTAATCATAGCCACTGTTATTCCTCTCCTACCCTTGATGGGACTCTCTCAAGATCCAATTTGGGTAGAACAGTAGCCTTTAAAGGGAGAGAAATTACCAACAGCCCATGAGTTAGTTGAGGAGCAATTAAAAACCAGTCATATAGAATCGTCAAACAGCCCTTCAAATTCACCCATTTTTATCAATCCCAAATGGAAAATGGAGACTTTTTGCATGACTTACATGCTGTCAATGCTAATCTGCAACCTATGGTGCCCTTTCAGCAGGGGCTCCCTCACCTTGCAGTGATTTATCAAGATTGGCCTATAATCATTACTGACTTAAAAGACTGCTTTTATACTATCCCCCATGCAAAACAGGACAGAGAAAACTTCCATTTACAAGATCAGCTATCAATAAGGAAAAGCCAGCTCACCAATTTTATTGGAAGGTACTTCCTCAAGGTATGCTGAAGAGACATACCATATGTCAGTATCAGGTAAATCAAGCTTTACAGTAGAAAAAAAATTCAAATTACAAGATTATTCATTTTATTGATATTTTACTAGCAGCCCCAACAGAGCCAGTACTTTTCAAGTTATATGCCTCTGTCATAAAGAATACACAGTTAAGAGATTAAATCATAGCACCTAAAAAAAATACAGATGTCTTCTCTTTGGAAAAATCTTGGGTACCTACTACCTTCTTGGTCAGTAAGACCTCAAAATGTTAAATTAAATGCTAGCACCTTAAATGATTATCAGAAATTACTAGGCGATATTAACTGGCTTTGCTTCATCTTAGACATAACTAGTGATAAGTTACAGAACCGGCTTTCTATGCTAAAAGGCAATGTGTCTGGAATTGGTTCCCTCCATTAGGTTCTTGGTCTTGCAGACTTCAATAATGAAGCCGCAGACCCTCGCAGTGAGTGTTATAGTCTTAAAGACCATGTGTCTAGAGTTCGTTCCTTCAGATGTTTGTGGTCTCACTGACTTCAGGAGTGAAGCTGCAGACTTCCTCAGTGAATGTTACAGCTCTTAAAGATGGCACGTCCAGAATTGTTTTTTATCTCCTGGTGGGTTCGTGGTCTTGCTGAGTTCAGGAAAGAAGCTGCAGACCTTCACAATGATTGTTACAGCTCTTAAAGGTGGCTCATCCAGAGTTGTTCATTCTTCCAGTGGGTTTGTGGTCTGCTGGTTTCAGGAGTGAAGCTGCAGACCTTCGTGGTGTTACAGATCATAAAGGTAGTGTGGACCCAAAAAGAGCAGCAGCAAGATTTATTGCAAAAAGTGAAAGAACAAAGCTCCCACAGCATGGAAGGGGACATGATGGGTTGCCGCTACTGGCTCTGGTGGCCACTTTTTTCCCCTTATTTGGCCCCACCTACATCCTGCTGATTGATCCATTTTACAGAGTGCTGATTGGTCCTTTTTTACAGAGTGCTTATTGGTGGATTTACAAACTTTTAGCTAGACACAGAGTGCTGATTGGGGCATTTACAATCCTTTAACTAGACAGAAAAGTTCTCCAAGTCCCCACCCAACCCAGAAACCCAGCTGGCTTCACTTCTTAGCAATACTGCCCTAGACTCTCCCAAGTATTTAACTCCTGCAGCACGAAGAGAAACTGAAGAGATAGAGCAAGCTATTTCTCAGAAGCAACTAGATTGCATAGATGCATGGTATTCAGTTCAGTTGTTTGTTTTTCCCACTCAACAGTCTCCTACAGGGTTAATAGGACCGATGGCCCCAGGGCTGTCTCTCTAGAATGAGTTTTTTCCTCACAAATCAGGACTAAAACCCTCTCTCCCTAAATCCAGTTAGTTAGTTAATAAAGTCATGTATTCAGGCTGCAGATGATGCAATCAGTTGCTAGGTTATGACTCTGTTATCAGAATTTGTTTAAGTAAAAAGGAATTTGAAGCATTATTGCCCTTATTTATGGACTTGCAATTAGCACTTTCCAATTATATAGGACATATAGAGCACACCCTTCCTGCTGACAAACTCCTTTAGCTCTTATCTTGTACTTCTATGGTTTTGCCTACTAAAATAGTTCAATACCCCATACCTGATGCTTTAACACTGTTTACTGGTGACTCTGGTAAATGGAAAAACGGCTGTTTGGTGGAGACTGCATAATTCCCTCACTCCTTCTGGATTCGCTAGCACTCAGAGAGCTGAGGTTGGAGCCTTAATATTGGCCTCAGAAACTTTTTCCACCCAGCCTATCAATATTGTTAGTGACTCTGCTTACTCTGCTTTCTTATTGCAGAAACTTGAGACAGCCCTCATTAAGTCCACTCTGGAGCCCATCCTGTGTGTACTTTTTCACTGACTTCAGCAATTGCTAGATCAACGTACACATCCTATTTTTATTACACACACTTGGGCCCATAGCTCATTGCCTGGCCCATTGGCTTATGGAAATAATAAAGCAGACCTGCAAGTTATGACATCACAGCTTGACTAAGCCACCTAATTGCATCAATTCTTTTCACCAAAACTGGAGAAACTTATCTAAACAATCTCAATTTACCCAGAGGTTAGCTAAACAAATTACCCTGCAATGTCCAGATTGCCAGCTCACAGGTACATCTCCTCCTTCAACGGGTGCTAACCCTATAAAACTAGAACCTAATCAGTTATGGCAAACAGATGTTACATATGTCCCTGAATTTGGAAAACTTAAATATATACATGTATCCATTGATACATTTAATTAGCACTCATGCTTCTCCTGGAGAGTCCACCTGATATGTCATTAAACATCCTCTTTTAACTTTTGCATTTACGGGATGGCCCACAAAAATTAAAACTGACAATGGTCCAGCTTATGCCAGCTCAAAATGTCACATCTAGAACATCCAACATTCCACAGGCATCCTGTTACAACCCACAAGGACAGGCCATAGTAGAACATGTCCATTCAACTCAGACTCAAGTATTGTCTTAGAGCAATGTAAAAGTGGACAAACAAAAATTCTAACCAGAAATGATACACTTAAGACATGCAGAATCAACACAAATTATAAAAATGCAGGTTAAAATCCCATTATTGTATTGTGCAGCTTTACTTTAAATATTATTCTAGAATGTTCACTTCTCTTATTCTTATTGTTTAAATGAACTGAGAATCTTTATTTTGCATTGCTTTTTGGTAAATGACCTAGGCATTAACATAACATTAAGAAAAATAAGCAGCAGCAGAGAAAAATCATACAGTTCTAATTCTCAAATTAAAATAAGCAGGACATAGAAAATTTACACTAGTTTTACCTGCTTAAGCTAACTTTCTGGGAAACAGTATGGGACAACTTAAAAATATGTTGCATTGGATTAAAAATGATAGTCTTAAAAGTTCCAAGTAGCATAAACTTGGGAATAATATGCTCATGTGTTTAGAATACTGTATAAAAAAAGAGGATGTTAAAATTAGAGATTCAATTCCAATTTATGAACAACTGATGTTTAATGATTTGTTCAAATAAAAAACAACCTGTAGCCTAAATGCTACAATTTGTCTTTCAAATGTATTATATGAAACAAAAACAAGCAAACAAAAATAATAAATGTAAGTCCATGACAACATTTAGATCACATGGTCAATTAATTGTGTAAAAAAATTGTGTCCAAAGAGGTAACATGAATAAATCAATTAGTGGTGATTTCTGGGATACTGGAGCACCCATCGCCAAGCAGAGTACATTACACCCAATGTACAGTCATTTATCCCTCACCCCCATCCCACTGTTCCCCGAGTCTCCAGAGTTAATTATATTGTTACGCTTTTGTATCTTCATGGCTTAGATCCTACTTATAAGTGAAAACATACATTTGATTTTGTATTTCTGAGTTACCTCCCTTAGAATCATGGCTTCCAGCTACATCCAGGTTGTCACAAATGAAATTATTTTACTACTTTTATGGCTCAGTGGTATCCCATAATATCCGTATTTAACATTTTCTTTATTCACTCATTGGTTGAAGAGCATTTATGTTGGTTCCATATTTTTTTTTGCAATTGCGAATTATCCTGCTATAATCATGCTTGTGCAAGTGTCTTTTCAGTAGTATGTAGTATGGGATTGTTAGATCAAATGATAGTTCTATGTTAGTTCTTTAAGGAATCTCCATACTGTTTTTCACAGTGGCTGTACCACTGTTTATATTACCACCAGCAGTGTAAAACTGTTTACTTTTTGACACATCCATGCAAACATCTATTATTTTTTGATTTTTAAAATTATGGCCATTTTTGCAGGAGGAAGGTAGGAAGGCATTTATTTGTATTTCCCTGATAATCAGGGGTGCTGAGTATTTTTTAATTTGTTTGTTGTCCTGTTGTACATCTTCTTTTGAGAGTTGTCCATTCATGTTCTTAGCCCATTTTTTGTAGGCATCCTTTATTTTCCTCCTGCTGATATGTTTGTCTCTTGTAGATTCTGGATATTAGTTGTTTGTCACATGTCTAGATTGTGAAGATTTTTCTCCCCCTCTGTGGGTTGTCTGTTTACTCTGCTGATTCTTTCTTTTGCTGTATGGAAGCTTTCTAATTCAATTAAGTCCCATTTATTTATCCTTTTTTGTTGTTGCACTTGCTTTTGGATTCTTGCTTAAGACTTTTTCTATGTCTACAAGAGTTTCTCTGATGTTACCTCTAGAACTTTTATGGTTTCAGATCTTAGATTTGAGTCTTTTCTCCATGTTTAGTTGATTTTCTTGATAAGGTGAGAGATGAGAATCCCCCTTTATTTCTCTGCATCTGGCTGGCAAATCATTTCAGCACTATTTGTTGAATAGGGTGTCCTTTTCTCACTTCATGTTTTTGTTGCTTTATGAGAGATTAATTGGCTGTAAGTTTTTGGCACTATTTCTGGGTCCTCTATTCTGGTCCATTGTTCTGTATACCAGTTTTTATACCAGTACCATGCTGTTTTGGTAACTACAGCCTTGTACTGTAGTTGGAATTCTGATAATGTGATACCTGCAGATTTTTTCTTTTTTTTTTTTTTTTTTTTGGTTTGGCTATGTGGGACCTTTTTTTGTTCTATATAAATTTTAGGACTCTGCTTTTTAGTTATGTGAAGGATGATTATGACAGTTTCTGGAAATTGCACTAAATTTATAGTTTGCTTTTGGCAGTATAGTCCATTTTCACAATATTAATTTTATTCATCCATGCTTATGGGATGTGTTTCAATTTGTTTGTGTCATCTATGATTTTTTTCAGCAGTGTTTTGTAGTTTTCCTTATGGAGATCTGCCACATTCCTGGTTAGGCATATTCTTAGGAATTCTTTATTTTATTTTATTTTGCAGCTGTAGTAAAAGGGATTGGTTCTTGAGTTGATTCTCAGCTTGGTCTCTGAGGGGTAGCAAGGGCCTGGTTAAGGGGAGAGAAGGATGTTTAATGGGCACAAAAAATAAAAATAATCAATAAGACTTACTATTTAATAGCACAAAAGGCTGACTATATTCAATAATAACTTAATTTTACAATTTAAAGTACTTAACGAGTGTAATATTTTATAACTTATTATTATTATTATACTTTTTTTTTGGATATGGAGTTTTCCATATGACATGATCTCAGCTCACTGCAACCTCTGCTGACTGGGTGCAAGTGATTATCCTGCCTCAGCCTCCCAGGTAGCTGGGATTACAGGCACCCACCAACAGTGCCAGCTGATTTTAATATTTTCAGTAGAGATGTGGTTTCAAAATGTTGCCCAGGCTGGTCTTGAGCCCCTGACCTCAAGTGATCCACCTGTCTCGGCCTCCTAAATGGCCAGAATTACAGGTGTGAGCCACAGTGCCTGGCCTATTTTTTGTAACTTAAAGGATAAATGGTTTAGAAGATTAATTCCCCATTCTTCATAATGTGCTTATTTCACATTGCATGCATATGTCAGAATATCTCATGTATCCCAAAATATATATGCCTATTAAATAGGGACAGACATTTTAAAAAAGAACATAATATCTTGCTTTATTTTAAAGAAATAGAAGGATCAAAACTATAGAAATAAGAGGTAATAAGAAATAAATAAAATTTTAGCAATTAAATAAAATGAATAGTCATAAGATAAAAAATAAATAGAAGTAAAATAAACAGGGCTATAATAAAATTAAAATGTAAAGATAAACAAAAATAAAATATGAATAAAGTAATAAAAATAAAACAGATAATATAAAGAAAAACAAAACTTTAAAAATAGGGAAGAAATGCAAACATAACAAAAGTGCAAAAAATGAAAAAAATTAAAAACTAAAATGAAAATAAATAAAGAAGACTATAAATGGAGACATAATAGAAAATATAGTAAAAAATTAAAAAATGAATTAAATGCAGACAGAACAAAATGAGATAATTGCAAATAAAATAGAAAATAATTAAGTTAGTATTCACAAATAAGTGAAAATAAAAATAAAATAAAAATAATCGAAAGGTAGTAAAACTAACTATAAATTGAAAAAATAAATGGAAGAGAAAAAGCTAAACAAAAATAAATACAGTAAATATAAAAAACTAAAAAATAAATAAAAATGTAAAACAAGTGAGGAGAATATTTTTAAAAAATGAATTATAAGATGAATATGTGAGAATATAAAATAAATACTAATAGGATAAAATATACAAAAAATATAAAGAGAAATATGTAAAATTAATGAAGATAATATGAGATAGAAGGTAGACATAACTTGAAGTATAATTAAATAAACATTTAATATAAAATAAGAGAAGTGAAAAGCTAAAGTTAAATGAAAAGTAGTTAGAAACATTTCATACATAATATAAATATATTAAATGAAGATAAATACGATAAAATTAATAATAAAATAAATAAAATATAAAATAAAATAAATAATAAATGATGACTATAAAATTAAATTGGCTGTTTTGTAATAAGTGGAGGAATGAAAATAAAGGGAAACCAAATAAAATAAATTAAATAAAAAATAAATAAAATAAAAAAGAAATATAAGTAAAATAAAATATATATAAAAAGCAAAATAAAAGAAGAACAAAGGAAAAATCTAAAGAAAGAAACTAAAATCAGATAAAAATGAGAGGTAAAATTGTAAAATGAAGTAAAAAATAATGTAAAGGGAAATAAAATGCAATGAAGGAAAATTAAGACATAAAAGTTAGACAATAATAAGTGAAATAAACATAAAGGAGTGAAACAAATACAAATGCGATGAGAAAAAATCGAATATTCTTAACATAATTTTAAAAATAGAATATATGAAGAGAGAAACAAAATAAAGAATAATTTAGAAATAATCATAATTTAAAATGAAGATAATAAAGAAAATAAAACTTTATAACAATTACTTCTGGGAATGCAAGATGGTATGGTAATTTTGAAAAATAATTCAGCAGCTTCTTATAAAATTAAACCTGTACTTATTCCATGATCCAGGAATTTCAGTCCCAGATATTTACTAAAACAAATTGCAAACTAACGTTTAAACAATAATCTGTTTCTGAATGTTTATAGTCACTTTCTTTATAACTGTCAGAGGTGGAAGATTAACAGATATTCTTTAATAAGCAAATTAATTAGAAAAAAAACCTGGTTCATTTGTACAATGAAATACCACATGTCAAAAAAGGAACTTGTTATGTATTTAAGTGGATCTTTCTAAGTTAGGGAGCTCAGATTTAAAGACTGTACACTATATTATTCCATTTACATGACATAGCAAAAGGAAAATTATAGGAAGGGAAGATGAATAGTGGTTGCCCAAAGAAGGGATTGGGGAAGGAGTTGATTACAATGGGGAAGCATGAGACAATTTTTGACATGTTGTAAAACAGTTCTGTGTAGTAGTTTCGAGGTGAATATGTGACTGTAGACAGTTGTTAAAATCCACTTCATTGTGAACCACAATAAATAAATTTTTCTCTAGGTAATATTAAAAAAAATTCACCAATATGTTGGAGAAACTAATGTAAAATATAGATATTGAAAAATTTATTGAATTGTATTACGAAGTATGACATACTAATATTGAAGGGGTGGAGATGAAAGGTCCTAACTTAAGTAAGTTTAAAATAAAAAACAGTGTTTTTGTACAGTACTAAGAACTGTAAACAAACACTTTTTTTAGTATATATTAAAACACTTTTAAATATATATTAAAAAGTTAGCAATTCTGAGACAATATTATGCTAGTAAGTAAATTATAGATAATTAGATTTGTTTCTCACTGTGTTTGAGGGGAAATAAAATATTAAAAAGAAAATACTAAAACCTTTTGATGTTGGATTGTATTTGAAAATATTTGTAGAAACTTTTGTCACTCTTAATATATCTAGAAAAATGATAGATACAGATATAGATAAGTATGAAGAGCTGAGTTTATATTTACATGCACATTTCCTAACTCCATCAGCTGAGAGGGCCCAGAAGTAGTGGTACTCCAGTATTAGTGAGCACACCGTGATCTCACGTCTTGCTTTCTAAATTACATTATTTAATAAAATAAAATAGAAAATTTGGGGAAAATGGTTAATTACAGGGCTGTAAATGAAACATACCAAGTGAGTGTAGAATATCTTTTAGAGTTAGAAAGTTAGGAAATAACTTTAGCAGAAAAAAAAGACATATTAATAGGACCCAGACTTATAGGTCTCACAGTGGAGTAAGCTGGGGCAATGGCAGTGTTAGTAACAAAATAATTATAGTATTGAATAATTGTATAAACTAGAGACTAAATATCCATGAGTCCATATGGATATAAAAAGATTAAATAAGAAAAAAGAGAGAAATTAAAAACTGAAAGAAAAAAGAATGTGAAGAAGGAAAAATAAAAGGAAGGGAAAAATGTTTTTGCCAGAATTTCATGTAATATATGTAGATAGATAATGCAAAACAGAAAATCACCATTTGAGGAACACTACAGTAAGAATTACATTATCTCCAGGCCTGCCCCACAAGGGCTCCTGAAAGAAATCCTAAATATGTAGATTTAAAAATGGTGCTAGTCACATCAAAGACACACCAAAATATAAAGACCAATGATACTAGGAAGAAACTGCATTACCTAGTGTGAAAAATAACAAAATAGTATCATTATGACAGGATCAAATTCACACATAACAATACTAAACTTAAATGTAAAATGGGCTAAATTCCCAATTAAAAGAGAAGACCCACACTGGCAAATTTGATAGAATGAAGACCCATTGAAGTGTAGTATTCAGGAGATCCTTCTTATGTGCAAAGACACAAAAAGCTTCAAAATAATGGGATAAAGGAAAATTTAGCAAGCAAATGGAAAGCAAAAAAAGTAGGGGTTGCAATCCTAGTCTCTGACAAAACAGAGTTTAAATCAACAAATAATAAGAACAAAAAAAACAAGGAAGGACATTACATAATGGTAAAGGGAATAATTCAACAAGAAGAGCTAACTATTCTGAATACATACACCCAATACAGGAGCAACCATATTCACAAAACAAGTTCTTAGAAACATACAAAGAGACTCAGACTGCCACACAATAACAATGGGAGATTTTAACACCTCACTGTCAATATTAGACTGATTGATAAGCCAGAAAATTAACAATGACATTTAGGACATGAACTCAGCTCTGGATCAGGTGGACCCAGGAGAAATCTACAGAACTCTCTACCACAAATCAACAGAATATACATTCTTCTCATTGCCACATGGCACTTATTCTAAAATCGACCACATAATTGGAAGTAAAACACTCTTCAGCAAATGCAAAAGAACTGAAATCATAACAAATAGTTTCTCAGACCACAGTGCAGTGAAATCACAGCTCTGGATTAGGAAACTCACTCAAAACCCCACAATTTCATGGACATTGAACAACCTGTTCCTGAATGACTGCTGGTTAAATAATGAAATTAAGTCAGAAATCAAGAAGTTATTTGAAATGAATGAGAACAAAGAGACAACATACTGGAGTCTCTGAGACACAGCAGAAATATCATTAAAAGGGAAGTTTATAGTACTAAATACCCACATCAGAGTGCTAGAAACATCTCAAACTGACAACCTAACACATATTTAGAAGAGGTAGAAAGTCAAGAGCAAACTAATCTAAAAGCTAATAGAAGACAAGAAATAACTAAGATCAGAGAAGAATTGAAGTAGATAGAGACACAGAAAACCCTTCAAAAAATCAACAAATCCAGGAGGCGGCTTTTTGAAAAAAATTAACAAAATGGATAGATTACTAACTAGACTAATAAAAAGAATAGAGAGAAGAATTAAATAGTCACAATGAAGAATAGTAAAAGGAATATTACTACTTACCCTAAAGAAATAAAAACTACCATCAGAGAATAGTATAAACACCTCTATGCAAGTAAACTAGAAAATATAGAAGAAATTGATAAATTCCTGGACATATGAACCCTGCAATTTACCAAGACTAAACCAAGAATTTGAATACCTGAATAGACGTATATCAAGCTCTGAAGTGGGGGCAGTAATTAATAGAATACTAACCAAAAAAAGCCAACCAACAGACAGAGCCATAGCTAATTCTACCAGCAATACAAAAAGGAGATGGTAGCATTCCTTCTAAAACAATTCAAAACCATTGAAATGGAGGGACTCCTTAACTCATTTTGTGAAGACAGCATCATCCTGATACTGAAATCAGGAAGAGACACACGCAAGGAAGAAAACTTCAAGCCAATATCCCTGATGCCATTATCCCTTCAAGCCAGTATCATTGAATAAAACTGACAAAACTAATCCAGCAGCACGTCGAAAAATTTATCCACCATGATGAGGTCAGCTTCATTCATGAGATGCAAGACTGGTTCAACATATGCAAATCAATAAACATAAGGCAACACATAAACAGAACTAAAGCTAAAAACCACATAATTATCTCAATAAATGCAGGAAAGGCCTTTGACAAAATTCAACATCTCTTCATGTTTAAAACTCTCAACAAACTAGGCATTAATGGAAAATATCTCAAATTAATAAGAGCTATTTATGACAAACCCACAGCCAATATCATATTGAATGGGTAAAAGTTAGAAGTATTCCTTTCAAAAAACAAGTACAAGACAAGAATGCCCTCTCTCACCTCTCGTATTCAAGATAGTATTGGAAGTTCTGGCCAGGGGAATCAGGCAAGAGAAAGAAATCAAGGGTATTCAAATAGGAAGAGAAGAAGTCAAGATGTGTCTGTTTGCAGAAAACTTTATTTTATATTTAGAAAACCATATCATCTCTGCCCAAAAAATTCTTGAACTGATAAGCAATTTCAGCAAAGTCTAAGGACACAAAATGAATGTACAAAAATCACAAACATTCATTTCCAAGAACAATAGGCAAACAGAGAGCCAAATCATGACTAAACTCCTATTCACAGTTGCTACAAAGAGAGTACAATACCTAGAAATACAGCTAACAAGGATGTGAAAGACCTCTTCTGGGAGAACTACAAACCACTGTTCAAGGAAATAAGAGAGGACACAAATAAATGGAAAAACATTCCATCCTTATTAATAAGAATAAACAATATCGTGAAAATGACCATACTGCCCAAAGTGATTTATGGACTCAATGCTATTCCCATCAAACTACCATTGGCAATCTTCACACAATTATAAAAGGAAATTATTTTAAATTTCATATGGAATCAAAGAAGACTCCATAACAGTCAAGACAATCCTAAGCAAAAAGAACAAACTGGAAGCATCATGCTACATGACTTCAAACTCTACTAGAAGGTTACAGTAACAAAAACAGCATGGTACTTTAACCAAAACAGACATATAGAGCAATGGTTATTTGATCTAATTAAACTAAATTGCACAGCAAAAGAAACTATCATCAGAGTGAACAGGCAAACCACAGAATGGGAGAAAAATTTTGCAATCTACCCATCTGACAAAGGTCTAATATCCAGAATTTATAAGGAACTTAAACATATTTAAAAGAAAAAACAAACTTCCACATCAAAAAAATGGGGAAAGGATATAAACAGACACTTCTCAAAAGAAGACATTTACACAGACAACAAACATATGAAAAAAAACTCAACTTCACTGATCATAGAGAAATGCAAACCAAAACCACAATGAGATACCATCTCATGCCAGTCAGAATGGTGATTGTTAAAACGTCAGGAAGCAATAGATGCTGGTGAGGCTGTGGTGACATTGGAACTCCTTTACACTATTGGTAGGAATGTTAATTAGTTCAAACATTGTGGAAGACAGCATGGTGATTCCTCAAGAATCTAGAACCAGAAATATCATTTCGCCCAGCATTCCCATTACTGGGTACATAAAGAAAGGAATATAAATCGTTCTATTATAAAGACACATGCACACAAATTTTTATTGCAGCACTATTTAATACCAAAGACATGGAACCAACCCAAATACCCGTTAATGATAGACTGGATAAAGAAACTCTGGTACATGCACACCATGGAATACTATGCAACCATAAACAATAATGAGATCATCTCCTTTGCATGGACGTGACTGAAGCTGAAAGCCGTCATCCTTAGCAAACTAACACAGGAACAGAAAACCAAACACTGCATGTTCTCACTCATAAGTGGGATTTGAACATTGAAAACACATGGACACAGAGAGGAGACAACACACACCAGGGCCTGCTGGGGGCTGGGAGTTAGGGGAGGGAACTTAGATGATGAGTCAATAGGTGCAGCAAAGCATTATGGCACACATATCCCTATGTAAGAAACCTGCATGTTCTGCACAATTATCCTTTTTTTAAAGAAATAAAACAAAGTTGTTTCATCAGGTTTGTAAAATTTAACTAATAAGATAAAAATCTCATATATATTATAATAAATTTCATTAAGTTTTCTCAAAACAGCTATTTAACATTCTCTGAAAGGGTATGCATCTCTACCTCTCTGAGATTGTTAAATGGCACTTTCAGTATGTTTTGTGAAGTGATTGTTTCCTACCCTGTCCTGATGCTTGCAGATGTTCACCTGTGCCTGTATGTTGAAAAATTTTAAGTATTTAACCTAATCTTTGTAGTCTGGGTTTATTTGTCCTTCTTGAGAAGGCTTTTTACCTATTTAATAGTGATTAAGTGTTGTGATTTAAGTCTTTGCTCACTGCAGTCATATCTCCGTTGAAAGCAGTTTATTCCCAGGAGCAGTTTGCTATTTGCTGATTCATATAAGTAATGACTTGATGGTCTTAGATATGATATGGTAAAAATCTCTGAATTAGCATGTGGAGTCTCCTTATCACTTTTCTTAGTTTTCCGCAAACAAATGAGGTTTCTTTCTCCAGAATAAGCTGCCTGGAGTTGTAAGAGAGAGAACAAAACTTTCTCATAGCCACAATCATCAGAACTGTGCTTCTTCACACCTGAAGCTAGCACAGAATTGGGTCTTTCCCAAAGACTGTGGTAATTATTGCCTGACTGTTGATAATTATTAGTGATCCAGAGGTTATTTTAGCAGCAGCTAATATATCTTTCCTGGTCTGGTGTTTTCTTCCAGGGCAATGGGTTTCCTTCGGAAACAGTGTGGGTCTAGAAGTGCCATTCGGAAACCAGAGTGTGGAATCAGAAACTTTCTGGATATTCTTGATGCTTCATTTTACTGTGGCAAAGTTGCTTTCCAAATTGCAATACGTAGTCCTCTTAACACTTTATTATCTTGTCCTCAAAAAGAGAAAGTAATTTTTGAACTTTTAAGCTGTCCTGCCTGGAATTGTGTGTGGGGTGACACAAACATTTTTTTGGACACCTAAGCTTGTGTCTCACTGAATCAGATGCACTTTAATCTCACTGTCCCTGAGTCCAGAAAAGGTACCAGAATTTTCCCAGAAATTGCCATCTGTGTGGCCAAACTGCTTTCAAATTTATTTGGGACTCTAGAGCATTTTAACTTTGGGGGCCAGCCACAACTCAGGTTCCAAATTTTGGGCTGAATAAGTCCCCCCTGGCTAGGGCTGATCTAAGTACTCCCTCCCTGGGCAGTGGCCAAATTCTGCCCTTGGAATTTCCTAGGTGGTAGGAGCATCTTTTGTTCTAAGGAGGTGCCTCTAAATGGGCTCCTGGACAGCCTCAGGATGCAGGCTAGTTGATATGGAATGAATCATGAAGGTTGAACTTTCAGTCCCACCCCTGGACCTCCAAATAGGGGAGACAGGTTGAAGGTTGAGTTGATCACCAATGGCCAATGATGGGCCAATGGTCATGCCTACATAATAAAGCCTCCATAAAACTCCAGAGGACAAGGTTCATGGAGCTTCTGGATTGCTGAACACGTGGAGGTGATGGGAGGGCAGTACACTTGGAGAGGGCTTGGAAGCCCACCATAGAAATGCTTTTGTCCTTTATGCTTAAAGACATGTCTGCAGCTACACTGATAAAGGAAAAACTCCCAGTGTAGAAATTATTTGTCCTTTGTACAACCAGTAGGCTTACAAGAAATAGTCACTTCTCTTTTTGTGGCCATGTACATGGTAGGCTTTGTTGGGATACAGTGAGCACTTTTCCTTTCTTTTTTGGACAGGCTTTGACCTGTGAGCTAACCCTCTATAAATCATCAATCACTTCAGCCTCTGATTTGTCTTGGACCAAGGTCTTGGGCCAAGATTTCACTTCAGCTGCTAATTAGTCCCAGTCCAAGGTCCTGTACCAAGCTTTTTACTTCAGCCTCCTTGTTGGTCCCGGGCCAGGGTTCCCAACCAAGCTAAGTAATGCTTTCTCCAAGAACAGTCAGCACATTGCTTCTCTTCCCAGTCCATAAAAACCCTGGGCCTATCCTCATAGTGGCAACTCTTTTCTGAGTCCTCTCTCTGCTGTGGAGACATTTTTTTATTTTGCTTATTAAACTTTTATTCCAACCTCACCCTTTGTCTCTATGCTTCTTAATTCTCTTGGTCATGAGACAAAGAACTCCAAGTGGTACCTCACAATGAGACTGCTACATTGTGGTGCATTGTTGAGACTATAACACTATCATCATAGTCCTCAGCAATACTTTACTTTTCAAAATAATGGACTCTCTTATGTGTGTCTTGTAGGACTCTACTAGTTGTGATAAACATCTTCAGAATTTGTTTTCAATTCTGGAACTTTTTTTTTTTTTATTTTGAAGTAAAACATTTCCAGATGAATTAGCTTTGTTTGGTAGAATTTTTTGTTTTATCACATTGAAATTTGGGATATTTTTAGCTTTTTTTTATACAAATAATCTGTCTGCCACTCCTAAATATATCTAGTCAATAATGTCTAATAAATGTCATATTTTATTTTTTTGATATTTTAAAAATATTTTAAAAATATTTTTTGTGTTTATGAATCAATACGTCTTTAATTTCGTGATGATTTTGTTACCAGGAATTCTGCATTGCAATGGTTCCCTGAACTATGGACATAAACAGAGTCAGAGCTCTTAATGAATAATCTTAGTTCTTGTGACAGTGAGCAAATAATTGCAAAATAACATCAAAATACAAGTTTAAAAAATGTTTATTGAAGCACAGTAACACACTCCCAGAAAGACAGTGGAGTAATTTCTGTGAAATGAAATTATCCTCTCTTTACACAACTCGGTCTTTCATGGAGGTTTTGGAGGGAGGAGTTGAGGTTTGGGCTGTGTCTGAGTGACAAAATAGTGTTATTTGTTTAGCAGTTAATGGATATTTAGCTAAAATTAAACTATGACTGTTCTTAACCCTAATTCATTAAGAAAAGCACACTGAGTGAAGGGCAGTAAATCCCCATGTAATTTTTATTATAATAAGAGCATGGTGGGCTCAGTTTTAATTTGAGGACACAGTTCTGTGTTACTGGGCATGTGGCACTTTAGGTTATTTCCACCTGTGCACTAGTTTGTCCTGTTCCAGGCTGTGCTGGCCAGACCTTACCACAATCTCCATCCATTAAGTTTGAGTTAGAACAGCTCTGGGGCTAAACTTAAGTGGGTCATGGGCTGTCTTCGTGACATCCTTTCTGCTCTCTTTTCTAACTGCCTTGCTGATGCTAATATCTAACTACCTAATATTTTACCTTCAAGAGTAAAGGACCCAAATCTTTGATAGATGTGTAACAATCAATCTGGTTACTTCCTGATGACAAGGACCAGTGGTATTAGTTAAGTCCTCTCTCTCACTTTCTTTAAGCTAGAAGGTTGAACATAAGATAATGATACATGCCCAAAGAGTTCAGGTAGATTTCAATGTGGTTGGAAGCTCCTGGTATCTTTGTTGTACAATTATTTGAAGTTTTATGGATTATAAATAACAAGAAATGAAATGTACACAAATGGCAAATAAACATGGACCAAAAAGGAGAAGTAAAATAGTTACCAGGTGTCCTTCCAGTAGAAGAAACCAAGATATAAAAGGCAAATAACCCTTTACATTTGTCCATATAGGGTTTGATTGATTCGTGCTTGCTGTTTTGAGTCATGTAGCCACTTCAAGGACTCTATTGGCTTCTTTGGAAGAGTTGATATGAAAAAAACAGGAGGTATTGGCCAGGGCACAAAGTCCCCCTTGTTTGTCCAAAAGATAATCTAAGGCACTACGACAGTCTGCCACCTGAGCTGCCAAGGAGTCAAGGGATGTTTGTAAGGCTTAAAACCCTTGCCTGTATTTTCAGCATTATATTGTAAGTAGGTGGACACATCTCGTATAGTATGGGCATTATAGGCTATGCCTCCTGCTAAACCCCCAAGGGCACTTACTGAAGTACTAATTCCCAGTGCTATTAGCCAAGGTCCTTTTTTATTTCTGTGATGGTTGAGACTGGGGGGAGTAAGGTTAGTATACATTTGGATGGTGTTTGGCACATTTGTTACCCAAGTTAAGGAGTAGGTTCACCTGATTGCTGATTGGTCCAAGCTGCTTAGTCCTCATAGCTTGCATTTTTTTAAAATCTGCATTCAAACCATAATATTTGAAAAGCAGAGATAGTTGCATGGTTTCTGAGAATGAGTTTGATAATGTTGCGGAGTAAACAATTGTTAATCATATTACTTTCTGATACCAAAGGTCCCCAGGATGCCCTGGTCCATTTATAAGCCTTACCTAGGAATACCAGTTTGTGAGTATTCCACCTATCACATTAGCTCATATGTACTCGATGGCATGACTAACTGCTTAAGTTTTGTTATATTTGCATGTTTTCATTATCCTAGATTCATTTAACCTTTAGTATGTAAAGGCCCTTGGTTTACAGTCTTAAGTAGCTGAGAGCAAATTTAATAAAGCCTTGAGTGGAAGAGTCTCAATTTTGACTTTTGGGATGTTCAGTAGCCATTTGACTTGGAAAATCTGTTTTTTTTAAATCAACAATAATAATATATTTGAGGACTCAGGAATATAACAGTCTTCAAAAAGACCGTGAATACTGGTGGGGGCTGTTGTTCCAGAGATGACAATATAAAGATTTTTTTAAAGCTGTTAATGGTTTAATCATTCTTTACTCAGACTTTATCTTCTACCTCCAGACCTCAATGTTTCAGTAATTCATGATGTTATCACTGACTGTATGTCACTTATTTTCCCATACAGTATAAAATTGAGTCTATCATTAACCTATCTGAAATCTGAATAATGTGAACGCCCCAGGTAGGCACAAGGAAGAAACAGGTGAAGTCTGTGGTTTTAACCTTCCAAGGTGCAACCTTCTCCTTTTTTTATTAGTTCCTGGGCTCCAAATAGAACTTAACTACCACCTCTCATTACCTGGAGTAGCTGGTCAGTAGATTCGTATCTTTCCCTTTCAAAATATAGTGGTGAATCTTCCATCTTTAAGCTGTCTTTTGGAAATGTCTCTGGGCCACAGTTTGTTCCTCTGAATAGAGGAATGGGAAATACATTTACCTCGCACAGTTTTTCTTGGGACTAAATGGGCTAAAACATGGCATGTAAGCCTGCTTTTGTGTAAGCCTGGTTTTGTGAAACAGGCTGCTTGGTGTGCTGCAGTTGTTCTTGTTTGTTTGTTTTGCCTCTCACATAAGAAGCTATCTGATTTATACACCTATTACTTATGTTCCTATATGTTTAAAAAACACATAGAAAGACAACAGTTTTTTAAACATGTGTAAGGAGGTTTATATTCCTTCTAGCTAGTCTTTGTCTTCAACACAGACAAAAAAGAGAACTCTGGGAGTTACTGGTGGAGGATCTGGATTACAAGTCATATAGGTTATTGGCATTTTGAACAAATAATTGTGCAAAATGCACAGAGAAAGCTAAACAAGAATAAACCAATCAAAGCATAGCTTTATTGAAATGAAAGTAAACTCCAAAGAGTGGGTGTGGGCTCAAATAAGTGGCTCAAGAGAACTGATTATAGAGTTTTCTGGGGTTTAAATGCCTTCCAGAGATTTCCCATTGGTTACTTGATTTACACCCTATGTAAAGAAAGTAGAGACTCTTGACTGTCTGATTGGTTGTGAAAGGGGCCAATCAGTGGCTGAATTGAAGTTACAAAGTTATACCATATGCAAATGTATGATTGGTTGTCAGAGGGATCTTAACAGAGGCAAAAGTGAAGGTAGAAAGTTTCACCCCTGTAAAAATGAGGACTAGACCCATGACTAGTCTGATGGTGATGGAAAGTTACAAAATCAGAGGACCTTACCATTTTTTATCATGCCACAGAAATGGAGGGTGGTTGCAAGGGTACTAGCTTTTTATCTTTTTGTTCCTTGGGCATAGAGAGTTGGGGCTTTCTTTTAATTTAATGCTAGTAAGTCAGCACAAGTTGGCCTTAGATTCCCTGCTTCCAGACTCTATTCTCCTACTTCATTTCTCCCCCGAGTGATGTTTTCCCCTTAAATGTTTACAGAAGGCTGAGGGGACCAATGGTCCTTCTTCTGTAACTGCTTTATGCAGACTTGGAGTGCAGTGCCTACTTACTGGGTACCACAGAACCCTTGTCTTGCTTTGTCTAATGGAGACAGGGTAGCTTCTTAATGGCCAGGGATGGTGTCTTTACCGGGAAATGGCTGAAAATATTGTCACATAAGATGATTGATGGTTTCTAGCCAGGAGAAAATAAATTTGGCTAAGAGATTTAAAAAACATAGCCCCCAAACCAAGGCAAGAATAATCATTAATAATGGACTGGCCAAGGGAAGGAGACATGAACCCCAACTTGACATGTATGACCAGGAGCCCATGACTTGTATAGCTGTTATTGTATCTTACAAGCTCAATTGGCCAGTTTTCAGGCAGCATCCCTTACTATTCCTTATTCGTTGATGTAAAAACAGCATTCTTCCTCCAGAAAATAAACATAAGCCATCTTTTTCAATGGTTAAAATATCCAGTCCCCTTCTATTTTGTAAAGCAACCACTACCAAGATGTTTATTTTGTAAAGTGACAATACTTTGGGCAGTTTAATTCAAGCTTTCTGAAAGATCCTTGGACAAGTGGTTGTTAATAGGATAGGAAAGTTGCAAGAGTGCTAACTCTTGTTTCCACCTCTGCTCTTATTTGTTCACCTACCAAAAGACTTATGAGTTCTATGGGTCATTTGTGCCTGGCTGTTGCAGTTAAAGGCATAATGAGAGACTGGTTACTGTTTCAACCCAGCCAGTAAGGGTGTCTATTAGTTCTAGCAAAAATTTGTATGCTTTCAAAGCTGTCATCTAGGTGCAATCTAATTGCCAATCTCCCCCTCTAACTTTAGCCTATATATTCACACATGGAATCTCTTTTACAATTACTTTTTCATAAACCTTCCCCAACTCATTCAAATCCTTAGATTTGTCCTATCTCACTTAAAAAAACACTTTAACCTTCAACACTTATGCAAGTAATCCACATTCACATGCTTTTACCAAAAATACACTATACTTTTGTTATACAAATCCTCTTCAGATCTTAAACAGACCATCTACAAATGTTTGGAATTTCTGACTTGTCCTATGTATCCCTCTTTTTAGACAACCAGTTATTTTAGTCCAGGACAAGAATTACCAGACAAGATCTTTTCTCATACAAAATTATTATTTTTATAACCTTCATTATCAAAAATACATGTTAACATAAATAAATTTCTTCATATATCTCTCCCCTACCTATTAGTTCATTACTATCCTATTTTATAAATAATCTTTTTAAAAAGTCCACAATTTGAATTAAGTTTTAAGTAACTTTGTAACTACATAAAATCATTCTTTCTCACCAATAACACATCTTTTGGCACATTTTGAATACAGAACTATGTGTTAACTAACATTCTTATCTTTAGTAACCTTAAATTTTAGTGAATCCCTAAAAAGAAAGGAATCTTGAGTTTGTTATGTATTGAGTAAACTTTATTATTTTAATCTCTTCAATCCTGCTATATGCACATGATCTTTTTTGGATCCTGAGTGTTCAGAGGCTGGTGGGCAATGTCTATGCCATTTTGAGTTCTTTGGTGTAGTTGTACTCACCTGTAGAGAATGCCTGTTATTTATACCAGTATACTACTTGAACTCAATCTTACAACACATTTCTTAGTGTTGTCTAATAATAATCAAACAGAAAAGTGATGATAATGTAAAATAACTCATATGTGTTTGTTCAGATAAAAGTAATTAAAGAAGAAAAATCACCAAAGGAAAAAAATGAAAAAAATTCTCATCACACTCACCTATCATCACTACACTCAATTTGTTTTCTTAGTCTCTATTTCTCACATAAGAATGCTAGATATCACATTAAGCTCAAAACTGTAATTCAGTTTTGAGCCTAATGTAAATCAGGTTTGTCTTTTTTTAGAGTCAGTAGATTATTAATCTTTATTTCATCTTTGTCATATACGATAATATATTCCTAGGACCTGGTCCTTAGACATGGGCGTTATGGTGTGGCTTTATTCCATTTGCCAAATGTCCTGTTATATGGATCTTTTTAATATGATTTTAGAACCTGTTAAAGTTTTGTTTCTGTCTCTGAAAAACCTTAAGTTTTTTTTTTTTTAACCTCAGGAGCAAATTGCTAAAATTCAGTTCTCAATGTTAGAAGGAGACATAACATTTTGCTGTTTTATGGGAGATATTAATTTGCATTCATATTCTTTAATTGAGACTTCACTTTATATAGGGAATACCTTTTTATGGAATACTTTTTTATATTAGGAATACCTTTTTATGCCTTGAGATAATACTAAGGTATCTAATAGTAAAGATAATTCACCTTAACTTAATGAGGATATATCTGTATCAGAACTGTTCATAAATTTTACTGAATAGTTCTGCTGTTACTTTTTCTTGTTTGTTTTTCTTTTTTTGCCTCTATATAGGCACCACTGTGATGTCCAATTAATCCAAAATGGAATAATACAGCTCTGGCCAGCTTCAGTATCACATGCCTGTAATCTCATCACTTTAGGAAGCTGGGGCAGGGGAATCAGTTGGGTCAAAAAGTTGGAGACCAGCCAGAGTAACATAAAAATATCCTGTTTCTATTAATTTTTTTGAAAGAAATTAACTTGGTGTGATGGCACACTTCTCTGGTACCACTGACTTGAGAGGCTGAGGCAAGACAATCACTTAAACACAGGAGTCTGGTGCTGCAGTAAGCCATGATCACATCAGTGCACTCTTGCCCAGTTGAGAGAGTAAAATGTTGTCTCAAAAAATACAGCTGTATGAGACATACAAACATAATTTTAAAGAAATTAATGAAATTCTTATTCTGAGATGAAAGATTGTTTGACTATAATTTTAAGGTCACTTAAAATTATACCAGGCCATAAATATAAATGTGTAAGGCAATGAATACAGTTTGACATTTTTACCATGTACTCAGGAAATTGCATCTTACTTGAAATACTGTTTTAAAGCCATCTTATGTTTATGATTTTATATAAAACAAATTGTATAGTTTATATAACAGGTGTTATTTTTTCCCCAATTTGTAACCTAGAAGAGATACACATTTATCTCAATGTCTAGATCCACACAATGAATGATTGCCACCGAAATATACTGGAACCATCAGCATAGTTGGGGTCTTCTATAATTTTTGACTTATACGAAGCTCCAGGATAAATCAGATTAAAGGCACAGTAATAACCATATTTTAAGTATTAAAGTATTGTACCAGAAAAGCAGTAGCTGTACATGAAATATCAATATATAAAAAACTACTTGGTAACTATATATGAATCACCTTACTAATATATGTCCATATATATGTATACATAAATGTGTGCATATTACATATAAGTATACGTACTTATAATCATATACAATGGTAGAGGAAATAACACCAGTAAATCAACTGAACAAAAGATTGATCACAAATGACGTAGGCTTAGATCACATGTCTGAAGCAAAGAGAATGTAGTGAAAGTCATTAGCCATTTATGAAGATTAAATTATGTTATGCATAAGAATATTATAACATGGAGAGTATTAATGAAAAAAGTCTATTTTCTCATCTTTATAACAATGTCAAATTTACAGATATTTTTTTTAATAAATACCATAATTTATCCACAGATATTTACACTCAGCCATGTTTTAGATAAAATTTATATACAACCTACATAATAAAATAGCCTACCAGGGTTACTTTATTACAATCATAATTACTTGGTCACCACTATTTTTACCATCTTTTGTGAACCGTGCTGTTTGACTCTTGACTGGTCATTGGCAATACAAAATATTTATGAAAAACACACATGGTAGGTGATGGGCTTTTGATTGATGCTGTGGCAATAGTTGGCAACATCAGAAAAGTGAACCCATAATTGTAGAAAACTGTACACCATTCTACCTAGTTTCATGAAACAATTTTGTAAAATATAGAAATGCCAGAAAAGCAATTTTGATAGTTATAACCAAATAACTGAAATACATATTGTTTGACAGTTTAACTTAGTAAAGGATGTAGCTGAAAAGACATTGTTTGCTAGTATAGATATTAATAATATCTATCAATTTAATTACTAAATCCCTAGAAGGAAAATAGTGTTAGAAATGTTACTGCAGATACAAGAGAGAGAAATAACTAGATGGGCTTTATCAAAAGTTACATGTTACAAATTTTTAAATGCTCTAAGTATGTGCTTTTGTAGTATGCAACATTTTTCTCATTTCAATTATGAAGAAAATATGAGCATGCCAGGTATATTTTCTGAAACCTGAAATTTGAACAGTTTGGGAGGCTGAGGAAGGAAGATTCCTTGAGGCTAGGATTTAAAGAGTAGTCTGGGTAACATAGTGAGGCCAACCTCTGGTTTTTTTTTTTTTAATTATTATTATACTTTAAGTTCTGGTGTACATGTGCAGAATGTGCAGTTTTGTTACTAGGTATACATGTGCTCTGGTGGTTTGCTGCACCCATCAACCTGTCACCTACATTAGGTATTTCTCCTAATTCTGCCCCTCCCCTATACCTCCACCCCCCGACAGGCCCCAGAGTGTGGTGTTCCCCTCCCTGTGTCCATATGATCTCCTTGTTCAACTCCCACTTATAAGTGAGAACATGCACTGTTTTGTTTTCTGTTCTTGTGTTAGTTTGCTGAGAATGATGGTTTCCAGCTTCATCCATGTCCCAGAAAAGGACATGAACTCATCCTTTTTTATGGCTGTATAGTATTTCATGGTGTATATGTGCCACATTTTCTTTATCCAGTCTATCATTGATGGGCATTTGGATTGGTTCCAAGTCTTTGCTATTGTGAATAGTGCTGCAATAAACATATGTGTGCATGTGTCTTTACAGTAGAATGATTTATAATCCTTTGGGTATGTACCCAGTAATGGAATTGCTGGGTCAAATGGTATTTCTGGTTCTAGATCCTTGAGGAAGCGCCACACTATCTTCTGCACTGGTTGAATTAATTTACATTTCCAGCAACAGTGTAAAAACGTTCCTATTTCTCCACATCCTCTCCAGCATCTGTTGTTTCCTGACTTTTTAATGATGCCCATTCTAAATGGTGTGAGATGCTATCTCATTGTGCTTTTGATTTGCATATCTCTATGGACCAGTGATGATGAGCTTTTTTTCATATGTTTGTTGCTGCATAAATGTCTTCTTTTGAGAAGTGTCTGTTCATATATTTTGCCCACTTTTTGATGGGATTGTTTGATTTTTTTTTGTTTTCATTGGTTGGTCTCATCTCACCAAGCTTGAGCATCCTAGATCCATCTCAGACTGCTAGACTGCTACGGTGCTGGCCGTGAGAATTACAAGCCAGTGGATCTTAGTTTGCTCCAGTCCATGGGGCAGGGCAGGGGTGGCGGGGGTGGGGAGCAACTCGCGGAGTCAGGCCACTTGGCTCCCTGACTTCAGCTCACCTTTCCAGGGGAGCGAACGGTTTTGTATCGCTGGCGTTGGAGGTGCCACTGGGGTATAGAAAACAAACAAACAAACAAACAAAAAAACTCTTGCAGCTAGTTTGATGTCTGCCCAGTTTCATGCTTGAAACCCAGGGCCCTGGTGGGGTAGATACCAGAGGGAATCTCCTGGTCTCAGGTTGCGAAGACCGTGGGACAAGAGCAGTATCTGGGCCGGAGTGTGCATGGTTTCCCAGGTTCAGTCCCTCACAGCTTCCCTTGGGTAGGGGTGAAAATTCCCCTACCCTTTGCATTTTCTGGGTAATAGCAATGCCCTACCCTGCTTTGACTCGCCCTCTGTGGGCTGCGCCCACCGTCCACCCAGTCCCAATGAGTTAAACTGGGTACTTCAGGTGGAAATTTACCCACCTTCTGCATCGATCTTTCTGGGAGCTGCAGACCGAAGCTGTTCCTATTAGGCCATCTTGCCAGCAATCTTTCTTTTCTTTTCTTTTCTTTTCTTTTCTTTTCTTTTCTTTTCTTTTCTTTTCTTTTCTTTTCTTTTCTTTTCTTTTCTTTTCTTTTCTTTTCTCTTCTCTTCTTTTCTTTTCTCTTCTCTTCTTTTCTTTTCTTTTTTTTTTTTACAAAGGGCATCATAGGTAGAAAAACTACCTACTGGGTACCATACCCATTACATCTTTGACAGAATCCATACCCCAAAGTCAGCATCACACAACGTGCCCACTTAGCAAGGTTGCACATGTTCGGCTCGTGGCAACCTCTGTCTCCCTAGTTCAAGTGATTCTCCTGCCTCAGCTTCCTGGGTAGCTGGAACTACAGGCACGTGCTACCACGCCCACCCAGAAATTTGATACTGCAAGCAAATGGGATGGAGGGGTACTCTCATGAGCTACAGAAAGAATGGGTAGGGGTTAAGATAAAACACAAGGCAAATTTATTAGAGTTATTAAAAAGCCAGCAATGGTGATCTTCTTGCTGGTCTTGCCATTCCTGTACAGAAGTGCTCCATGGCTTCTGCAATGCTTACACCATCTTTCACCTTGCCAAAACTAAATTTTACCTTGCCAAGGGCAGTTTTATTCTGTCTTTAAACTTTGCAAACAGCTTGATGGAGACACAAACCAAAAGCTTACTGTTGACTGTGATATGGAAAATCACCATGGGGCTCACTGTGGCTGGTGGTGTTGGCATCTGTGAAGGATCTCACAGTTTCTTTACTTTCTTTCTGAGTCTCACATTTATCTCCAGACATCACCAAACAGTGTGAGAAGCCCATGACAGCCCTCCCTGAAAAGATACCATACAGAATCTCTATTTTGGTTGTGCAGATGTGGCTTGCAGTGCTAACTCCATATTGCTGGTCTTGAATTTCCAGCAGAAGTTTGTCTTGTCCTGGGGCTTCAGTGGTTATAATCTTGAAGATGAAAGAGGAAAAGTTATTTTCCCCAAATTATTTTACTTCTCAGGGCATGGAGCACCCAAATAAATGCTGGTTACAACTGATTATTTGCCATCAGTAAAGAGGAGGCTGTATTTTTCTGGAAGGACATCAACACTTTTCATGAGTCTGCCATAAGGCTGAAAGCAGTGCTGAACCTCTAGGGCTGGAGAACTCAGAGCCTGGCTCATGGGAAGCATAACATTATAGTGGCTGAATGACACCTAGTTGTGTCTGCAGTGGTGAACTGCAGAGATCACAAGCCCACATCTTCCTCTGTACAATGACATTTGGTACTGGCAAAACCTGTGTTTCTTCTTTTTCATAGATAGCCAAGTGCCTGGGCACCAGATGTCAGACTCTATCCACAGAACTCAGGGGACAAATTTCCTGTCAAAAATTGTGTCCCAGCAAATCATACTCAGGGCTTCTCACAAAATGGAGGTTTTCTTCTGTATCCTTGATTACACTGAATTCAGCCCCTAAAGCCATTTTTTTTTGGTGATTGGTTGGTCTGGTGCATTATTTACCCAGGGCTAGAAACTGTATCTGCTGATAGCTGAGGCTCAGGTGCCACATCTTTTTCTTTCCTAATGCAGCAAATACGGAGCTGGTTTTCATCAGTGCCAGGTGTGTATTTCTGACCACATGCTGTTGACAAAATAACCTCATGACTGACACCCTCCACGAATTTACAGGCTTCAACATTTTTGGTGTCATTGTCTTTCAACTGTCCCTTTTCATTTGTACCCCAGCCAGAATGCTTCCCTTCTGTGGCTATGAGAGGGCTGTAGGCCACACATAAGCCCCAAATCACTTACCTCTGATGAAGATTATGGTAAGCACTTTGTTGTTTATGGGCTTCTTTTCCACCTATCAATTCCCAGTTGGTTGCCCCCAAAATGAAGGCTGCCATTTCCACGTAGACCCTTCAAGTTTGTCATACTTCTTTGTGTGCTCAGCTTTGTAGTGACCACAGCTGTGCCACCTGCTTTGCTGGCTGCTGGGTCTGCTGGGAAGGGTGATTTCTCTGCAATGGCCACGTCAAGCTTCAGAACATCTTTATTATTTTTTTAAAATTTTATTATTATTATACTTTAAGTTTTAGGGTACATGAGCACAACGTGCATGTTTGTACATATGCATACACGTGCCATGTTGGTGTGCTGCACCCATTAACTTGTCATTTAGCATTAGGTATATGTCCTAATGCTATCCCTCCCCCTTCCCCACAACAGTCCCCAGTGTGTGATGTTCCCCTTCCTGTGTCCATGTGTTCTCATTGTTCAATTCCCACCTATAAGTGAGAACATGCAGTGTTTGGTTTTTTGTCCTTGCGAGAGTTTGCTGAGAATGATGGTTTCCAGTTTCATCCATGTCCTTATAAAGGACATGAACTCATCATTTTTTATGGCTGCATAGTATTCCATGGTGTATATGTGCCATATTTTCTTATCCAGTCTATTGTTGTTGGACATTTGGATTGGTTCCAAGCCTTTACTATTGTGAACAGTGCCACAATAAACACACGTGTGCATGTGTCTTTATAGCAGCAGGATTTATAGTCCTTTGGGTATATACCCAGTAATGGGATGGCTGGGTCAAATTGTATTTCTAGTTCAAGATCCCTGAGGAATTGCCACAGTGACTTCCACAATGGTTGAACTAGTTTACAGTCCCACCAGCAGTGTAAAAGTGTTCCTATTTCTCCACATCCTCTCCAGCACCTGTTGTTTCCTGACTTTTTAATTATCACCATTCTAACTGGTGTGAGATGGTATCTCATTGTGGTTTTGATTTGCATTTCTCTGATGGCCAGTGATGATGAGCATTTTTTCTTGTGTTTTTTGGCTGCATAAATGTCTTCTTTTGAGAAGTGTCTGTTCATATCCTTCACCCACTTTTTGATGGGGTTGTTTGTTTTTTTCTTCTCAATTTGTTTGAGTTCATTGTAGATTCTGGATATTAGCCCTTCATCAGACGAGTAGGATGCAAAAATTTTCTCCCATTTGGTAGGTTGCCTGTTCACTCTGATGGTAGTTTCTTTTGCTGTGCAGAAGCTCTTTAGTTTAATTAGATCCCATTTGTCAATTTTGGCTTTTGTTGCCATTACTTTTGGTGTTTTAGACATGAAGTCCTTGCCCGTGCCTATGTCCTGAATGGTATTGCCTAAGTTTTCTTCTAGGGTTTTTATGGTTTTAGGTCTAACATGTAAGCCTTTAATCCATCCTGAATTAATTTTTGTATAAGGTGTAAGGAAGGGATCCAGTTTCAGCTTTCTACATATGGCTAGCCAGTTTTCCCAGCACCATTTATTAAATAGGGAATCCTTTCCCCATTGCTTGTTTTTGTCAGGTTTGTCAAAGATCAGATAGTTGTAGATATGCAGCATTATTTCTGAGGGCTCTGTTCTGTTGCATTGGTCTATATCTCTGTTTTGGTACTAGTACCATGCTGTTTTGTTTACTGTGGCCTTGTAGTATAGTTTGAAGTCAGGTAGCATGATGCCTCCCACTTTGTTCTTTTGGCTTAGGATTGACTTGGTGATGTGGGCTCTTTCTTGGTTCCATATAAACTTTAAAGTAGTTTTTTCCAATTATGTGAAGAAAGTCATTTGTAGCTTGATGGGGATGGCATTGAATCTATAAATTAACTTGGGCAGTGTGGCCATTTTCACAATATTGATTATTCCTACCCATGAGCATGGAATGTTCTTCCACTTGTTTGTATCCTCTTTTATTTCATTGAGCAGTGGTTTGTAGTTCTCCTTGAAGAGGTCCTTTACATCCCTTGTAAGTTGGATTTCTAGGTATTTTATTCTCTTTGAAGCAATTGTGAATGGGAGTTTGCTCATGATTTGGCTCTCTGTCTGTTATTGGTGTATAAGAATGCTTTTGATTTTTGTACATTGATTTTGTATCCTGAGACTTTGCTGAAATTGATTATCAACTTGAGATTTTGCGCTGAGACAATGGGGATTTCTAGATATACAATCATGTCATCTGAAAACAGGGACAATTTGACTCCCTTGTTTCCTAATTGAATACCCTTTATTTCCTTCTCCTGCCTGATTGCCCTGGTCAGAACTTCCAACACCATGTTGAATAGGAGTGGTGAGACAGGGCATCCCTGTCTTGTGCCAGTTTTCAAAGGGAATGCTTCCAGTTAATGCCCATTCAGTATGATATTGGCTATGGGTTTGTCATAGATAGCGCTTATTATTTTGAGACACAGCCCATCAATACCTAATTTATTGAGAGTTTTTAGCATGAAGTGTTGTTGAATTTCGTCAAGTGCCTTTTCTGCATCTATTGAGATAATCATGTGGTTTTTGTCTTTGGTTCTGTTTATAGGCTGGATTACATTTATTGATTTGCATATGTTGAACCAGCCTTGCATCCCAGGGATGAAGCCCACTTGATCATGGTGGATAAGTTTTTGATGTGCTGCTGGGTTCAGTTTGCCAGAATTTTACTGAGGATTTTTGTATCAATGTTCATCAGGGATATTGGTCTGAAATTCTTTTTTGGTTGTGTCTCTGCCTGGCTTTGGTACCAGGATGATGCTGGCCTCATAAAATGAGTTAGGGAGGATTCCCTCTTTTTCTATTGATTGGAATAGTTTCAGAAGGAATGGTACCAGCTCCTCCTTGTACCTCTGGTAGAATTCGGCTGTGAATCCATCTGGTCCTGGACTTTTTTTGGTTGATAAGCTATTGATTATTGCCTCAATTTTAGAGCCTGTTATTGGTCTATTCAGAGATTCAACTTCTTCCTGGTTTAGTCTTGCTAGGATGTATGTGTTGAGGAATTTATCCATTTCTTGTAGATTTTCTAGTTTATTTGTGTAGAGGTGTTTATAGTATTCTCTGATGGTAGTTTGTATTTCTGTGGGATCAGTGGTGATATCCCCTTTATCATTTTTTATTGCACTTATTTGATTCTTCTCTCTTTTCTTCTTTATTAATCTTGCTAGTGGTCTATCAATTTTGTTGATCTTTTCGAAAAACCATCTCCTGGATTCATTAATTTTTTGAAGGGTTTTTT
Source organism: Homo sapiens (assembly GCF_000001405.40). NCBI lineage: Eukaryota > Metazoa > Chordata > Mammalia > Primates > Hominidae > Homo > Homo sapiens. The sequence continues at coordinate 19,990,853 of NC_000024.10, forward strand.
GTGTCTCTATCTCCGTCAATTCTGCTGTGATCTTAGTTATTTCTTGCCTTCTGCTAGCTTTTGAATGTGTTTGCTCTTGCTTTTCTAGTTCTTTTAATTGTGATGTTAGAGTGTCGATTTTAGATCTTTCTTGCTTTCTCTTGTGGGCATTTAGTGCTATAAATTTCCCTCTACACACTGCTTTGAATGTGTCCCAGAGATTCTGGTATGTCGTTACTTTGTTCTCGTTGCTTTCAAAGAAAATCTTTATTTCTGCCTTCATTTCGTTATGTACCCAGTAGTGATTCAGGAGCAGATTGTTCAATTTCCATGTAGTTGAGCAGTTTTGAGTGAGTTTCTTAATCCTGAGTTCTAGTTTGTTTGTACTGTGGTCTGAGACAGTTTGTTATAATTTCTGTTGTTTTACATTTGCAGAGGAGTGCTTACTTCCAACTATGTGGTCAATTTTGGAATAGGTGTGGTGTGGTGCTGAAAAGAATGTATATTCTGTTGATTTGGGGTGGAGAGTTCTGTAGATGTCTATTAGGTCCACTTGGTTCAGAGCTGAGTTCAATTCCTGGGTATCCTTGTTAACTTTCTCTCTCCTTGATCTGTCTAATGTTGACATTGGGGTGTTAAAGTCTCCCATTATTATTGTGTAGGAGTTTAAGTCTCTTTATAGGTCACTAAGGACTTGCTTTATGAATCTGGGTGCTCCTGTATTGGGTGCATATATATTTAGGATAGTTAGCTCTTCTTTTTGAATTGATCCCTTTACCATATGTAATGGCCTTCTTTGTCTCTTTTGATCTTTGTTGCTTTAAATTCTGTTTTATCAGAGACTAGGATTGCAACCCCTGCCTTTTTTTTGTTCTCCATTTGCTTGGTAGATCTTCCTCCATCCCTTTATTTTGAGCCTATCTGTGTCTCTGAAGGTGAGTTGGATTTCCTGAATACAACACTCTGATGGGTCTTGACTCTTTATCCAATTTGCCAGTCTGTCTTTTAGTTGGAGCATTTAGCCCATTTACATTTAAGGTTAATATTGTTATGTGTGAAATTGATCCTGTCATTATGATGTCTGCTGGCTATTTTGCTGATTAGTTGATGCAGATTCTTCCTAGCCTTGATGGTCTTTACGATTTGGCATGTTTTTGCAGTGGCTGGAACTGGTTGTTCCTTTCCATGTTTATTGCTTCCTTTGGGAGCTCTTTTATGGCAGGCCTGGTGGTGGCAAAATCTCTCAGCATTTTCTTGTCTGTGAAGTATTTTATTTCTCCTTCACTTAAGTAGCTTAGTTTGGCTGGATATGAAATTCTGGGTTGAAAATTATTTTCTTTAAGAATGTTGAATATTGGCCCCCACTCTCTTCTGGCTTATAGAGTTTCTGCAGAGAGATCAGCTGTTAGTCTGATAGGCTTCCCTTTGTGGGTAACCCGACCTTTCTCTCTGGCTGCCCTTAACAATTTTTCCTTCATTTCAACTTTGGTGAATCTGACAATTATATGTCTTGGAGTTGCTCTTCTCCAGGAGTACCTTTGTGGCCTTCTCTGTGTTTCCTGAATTTGAATGTTGACCTGCGTTGCTAGATTGGGGAAGTTCTCCTGGATAATATCCTGCAGAGTGTTTTCCAATTTGGTTCCATTCTCCCCGTCACTTTCAGGTACACCAATCAGACGTAGATTTGGTCTTTTCACATAGTCCCATATTTCTTGGAGGCTTTGTTCATTTCTTTTTATTCTCTTTTCTCTAAACTTCTCTTCTCACTTCATTTCATTCATTTCGTCTTCCATCACTGATACCCTTTCTTCCAGTTGGTCACATCGGCTACTGAGGCTTCTGCATTCATCACGTAGTTCTCGTGTCTTGGTTTTCAGCTCCATCAGGTCCTTTAAGGACTTCTCTGCATTGGTTATTCTAGTTATCCATTCGTCTTATTTTTTTTCAAAGTTTTTAACTTCTTTGCCATTGGTTCTAATCTCCTCCTGTAGCTCGGAGTAGTTTGATCACCTGAAGCCTTCTTCTCTCAACTCATCAAAGTCATTCTCCATCCAGCTTTGTTCCATTGTTGCGGGGAGCTGCGTTCCTTTGGAGGAGGAGAGGTACTCTGATTTTTAGAGTTTCCAGTTTTTCTGCTCTGTTTTTTTCCCATCTTTGTGGTTTTATCTACCTTTGGTCTTTGATGATGGTGACGTACAGATGGGTTTTTGGTGTGGATATCCTTCCTGTTTGTTAGTTCCTTCTAACAGACAGGACCCTCAGCTGCAGGTCTGTTGGAGTTTGCTAGAGGTCCACTGCAGACACTGTTTGCCTGGGTATCAGGATCGGTGGCTGCAGAAGAGTGGATATTGGTGAACCGCAAATGCTGCTGCCTGATCATTCCTCTGGAAGTTTTGTCTCAGAGGAGTACCCAGCCGTGTGAGGTGTCAGTCTGCCCCTACTGGGGGGTGCCTCGCAGTTAGGCTGCTTAGGGGTCAGGGGTCAGGGACCCACTTGAGTAGGCAGTCTGCCTGTTCTCAGATCTCCAGCTGCATGCTGGGAGAACCACTGCTGTCTTCAAAGCTGTCAGACAGAGACATTTAAGTCTGCAGAGATTACTGCTGTCTTTTTGTTTGTCTGAGCCCTGCCCCCAGAGGTGGAGCCTACAGAAGCAGGCAGGCCTCCTTGAGCTGTGGTGGGCTCCACCCAGTTCAAGCTTCCCAGCTGCTTTGTTTACCTAAGCAAGCCTAGGCAATTGAGGGCGCCCTTCCCCCAGCCTCGCTGCCACCTTGCACTTTGATCTCAGACTGCTGTGCTAGCAATGAGCGAGACTCCTTGGGCATAGGACCCTCCGCGTCAGGTGCAGATTATAGTCTCCTGGTGTGTCACTTTTTAAGCCTGTTGGGAATGAGCAGTATTAGGGTGGGAGTGACCTGATTTTCCATGTGCCGTCTTCACCCCTTTCTTTGACTGGGAAAGGGAATTCCCTGACCCCTTGTGCTTCGAGGGTGAGGTGATTCCTCGCCCTGCTTTGGCTCACGCACGGTGTGCTGCACCCACTGTCTGGCACTGGCACACCCCAGAGAGATGAACCCAGTACCTCAGTTGGAAATGCACAAATCACCTATCTTCTGCGTCTCTCACACTGGGAGCTGTAGACCAGAGCTGTTCCTATTTGGCCATCTTGGCTTCTCCCCCTCAGAACATCTTTATTCTTAAGCTGCTTCTGCCACTACTGCTGCCGCAACACTTCAGCCACTTGTACTTCTTGCCTGCCTAGCTGAAGAGTTTCTGGGCACACAGCTGTCTATGCCATTGCCTGAGCTTGGCTCTGGGGTCTCCACTTGGATTCTGCTGGGCTGGTCTTGAGTCTGAGCACAGCAAATAGGTGCATTGAGATGCCTTCAAAACCCATGAGGCAGTGAGTAAAATTCAGGCTTGCCCCATGCAGTCCTTCTAAATGGGGACCTCCATGAGTTTTATACTGTGAAGCCTCAGTCAGTCACCTTTTTTACTGTGGCAGGTGACATAGTTGAGGCAGGTTTTCTTTCGGAGGCAAGTACTTAATCCATTTTAAATTGTTGATAGCTGAATATCATTCTATTATACAGATAAAAAAATTTAAATTTTTGCTTGTTGATGAGTATTTGAGTTGTGTACAATTTGAGTTGGTACAAATAAGTGCTGGTATGAGCTTTTACCTGAGTCTTTATATTTTCACACATTTTAATTTTTTCTGAGTAAATGGGAGTGGAATTGCTGTGTCATATGATAATTCTACATATGACACTGAAAAACTGCAAAATTGTTCTTCAAAGTGGCTATATTAGTTTACATTTCTATAGACAATGTGTGAGGTTTATATTCTCTCCCTTCTTACCATCATTTCTTATTGTCTGTTGTTGGATTACAGCCATTCTAGTGAGTGTGAAGATATACCATATTGTGATGTTGGTATGAATGTGAATGACTAACAATAATATCCATATTTGAATAGTATGTTTTTCTTGGAGACATGTCATTGAAATTTATTTTGTATTTTAAACAGTTTGCTTTTTATTAATTATGACTAAGAAATATTTTTGGTTGAGTAGATCTCCATGATCACATATATAATTTGCAAATGTTTTGCCCCTTTCGGTAATTTTTCTTTTTATTTTAAACAAAAAGATGCAATGGGATAACAGTCAGCATGTATATAAAAACAGAACTCTTAAGACAACCTGCAGCCATAAGTCTCAGACAATCAAGTGTTGATTGTTAACTGACAGTGTGCCAATTTTTGCATCTGTCTTTAACATATAACCAAACTGAGAAAACCAAACCTGCACACTTAGCAAGAAAGTTGGCAATTTGACCTCTAATTAGCTCTCCTGCAACTTCTGTATGTAAACAGTCTTCAGTCAGGGCAAATCTGAAATCTTGCCTCTTTTTCTAGTAAAAAAACTTTCTCAACCCACTGTCTGCCTTTAAGTTTATACCAAACACAAGTGATGGTGGCTAATTCTTTTACTTGGGCAACTTTGGAATACGTATTTTCTTATTTTTATTTAGGTGGTGTCAATTTATTTTCAATGTTATGATTAAGGTCCTGCTAATGTATCTGCTGCACTGACTTTCACTTTAGCCCCAACTCCACCCCCACCAAGGCATCTTGTGTCTTCTGCTCATGGTTGAAAAATCAGCACTGAGGTGATAAATGAGCACTGGATCTGAAGTCAGCTTTGTTTTCACTGAATTTCTAAGTGCCTCACTCCCTTGCCCTGGCTGGAGTACAATGGCATGATCTTAGCTCACTGTAACCTTCACCCCCTGGTTCAAGTGACCTTCTTGCCTCAGCCCCCTGAGTAGCTGGGACTACAGGTGCAGGCAAACATACCCAGCTAATTTTTGTATTTTTTGTGGAAATGGGGTTTCATCATGTTGACCAGGTTAGTCCTGAACTCCTGGCCTCCAGCAGTCCACCCACTTTGGACTCCCAAAGTGTTAGGAACCCTGCACCCAGTAGGATAGCTGGCTGTTATTGATTCCTAATTTTTTTTGACATTCCTGATGAAATCAAGTTATCCTAGATAACTATTATGCTACTTTTATGTAACTACTTTATTTTGTGTCATAAAAAATATTGTTATAAGAAGGAGAATAAGAGGACAGAACATACTCATATTCATTATAAGACTGTTGTTCTGGGTAGCCTCACACAGGAGTTTGTAATTTCATTGTTCTCATACGATTTGGACATATTTTTCTATGGGTCACCAATAAAATTGTATTAGGTTTGCAATTCTCCTTCTTTCTTAATTGTAGGCATTCCTTTACATGATGACTGAGTGTACTGGACACACTTTTACCTTAACTCAAAAAATGTTTAAGTGGCAACATTAAAATTTGTACTGCTTTATAAGTAAAACTCCAGGAATATCATGTTTAAAAATTGACTTCTTTAGAGCATGTGTTAGCAAATTTTCTATAACAAGAGAAGTTGGAATTCTTCCTCAGTTCTTGGACACAAAAGCTTATATGTATTACGTATAAATAAGTACTTAAACTACATGTAATATTTTAGTTAGATTATATTTGTATCTGTAAGAGTGTTAGTTTAAAACGTAACTGTTTTTGAAGTATCTGGGGATGTGTGATGATAATTCTTCCTGTTGTTGTGAAAGACCCATGGAAGGGATGAGGGGAATAATCCAACATAATTTTAAGATGTAGGATATTTTTGTGAATAAAGATGATGGTTGCTGAACATTGTGATTGTGCTTTATGCCACTGAACTGCACAGTTAAGACTTGTTAAAATAGTAACATATAGTTAAATAAATAAATATAGATAGATATAGATATTTGGGCAACCATTATCTTCATTCATACAGATTATATACTTTAAAATTATAAAATTATATATCTCAATTGTGTCTAAATATATATTAGACACTTAAAAATTAAGAACAAAAACCAAAAGTTTTGAGCATGTAAAGAAATGGAAAACCTTGTGCACTGTGGACAAACCTGTAAAATGGTACAGGTTTTGGAAAACAGTACAGTACTTTGTTAAAAATAAACTAAAAGGTAAAATTTTCTTATTCTTTAGCAATGCCACATATAAAGGCAAACTCTCAATATTTCAAAGTATTGTGTGAAAGTTATTAATTTATTCATGTTGATAACAGCATTATTTATATTACCTAAAGACAGAAGTAACTCAAATATCCATTGATACATAAATGGATTTAAAATGTTAACAATAAAAATAATGGACTATAATTTATCCTTAAAAAGAAAGAAAATTCTGGCAATGCTTCAGCATAGATGAACCTTAAGGACATTATGTCAAGTAAAAAAAAAACAGTCACAAACAGTAAAATATTCTCTGATTCAACTTATATTCAAATGCATGGAGACAGAAAGCAGATGGTGGTTACAAAGAGCTGGGGTAAAAAGAAATGAGAAATTCCTAATTAATTGGTACAGGGTTTCACTTTTGCATGATGAAAAAATTCCTGTAAATAGATGATGCTGAGAGTTTTACAATTTAAATATACTAAAGCCAGTGAAAGACACACTTAGAAATGAAAAAATGATAAGTTTGACACTATTTGCATTGTACCACAATTTAAAAAAGTAAAGTTACTCATAGGTACAATAATAAAATAGACCAATAATAAAGGCCTAAAAATATATGAGAAAATTTATTATGTTGAAAGTATCAGTTCAGTTAATAAATTATGCTTTAAATCATATATAACTGATGAACTAGTCACTTATACTAACAAAAATGACCATTTAAAAACACCACATTAAAGCACAAGATTTCATGTGAATAATTGGAAAGACCTCTAAAATATAAAATAAAACCTTTGAAAAATAATGTATAAGAATATTTTATTTTAATGTGTTAATTTTTTAGAAATATAAACAAAGTAAAAATCAAAGACTAGATAAGAATTATAATTAGTTGTGTAAGAGTAATCATTTTAAGGGAAACTCTAGTATGTTAACAAAAATGTCAACTTATTTAAAATGTGTAAATACTGATAATCTGATAAATATGATTAGATATGTAATTAGAAGTTATTTAGATAAACTTATGTAATGAATAGGCAGTGTAAATTTTATATTTTTTGAAGGTGTTAAACAGAATTTCATAACTCATAAAAAAAAGGAGAATCAAGTTCCCAAAGATATCTGAAGCCCACATCATTAATCACATCTTTCTCAAAAATTGCCAAAACCCCAGTCCCCTAGTTGAAATTGTAATATTTTACAGGGAGAGTATCCTAAGAAAGCTCATTTATGAGTAAAGGCCTGAGTCCAGAAAAATGAGGCTTGTCTTACAGGTCCAGATCTAACTCTATGCCCCTAAATGTTCAATGTCACTACCACAAATTTACACTCATATCTCCCATGTAACTTCCACAGTTACACATGGAATTATTGTCAAACATCCCCAAAAGCACCAATACATTATCTTAATAGTTTGTTTAAATATATTGGCATGAACCTGGTCATGAATGTCTCAGATTTTAGATTCCAGCTGGGGACAAAAATGTACACCCAGAGTGAGAAACCGATGACTGTGAACCAAGTACAGTACTCAAAATCCAAGACAGACAAATAAAAATAAAACAGCTTTTATATATTTATTGGTACTTTCACATCTGTGTGACCTAGACAAGAATCCACTTAAAACAATGCATTGCCACCTGTGTATTTTTCTACATGTCCCTATAGGCCAACCATAAATGTGTAAAATAAATATCCATTCAGTCATTGTTCTGCAAGTAGTTTGCCTGGACAAAAGACATTAGAAATAACTGAGAACTTGTAAGGAAGGAACATTCTTTGACCACAGGCCAGACCAACGAATTAGTAGCATGCAGCCCAGAAATCTGTGAGGTTACAAGGCCTCTAGATGGTTCAGATGCATGCTGTGTTAATCAGCCTCTGTATAACCTAAGTAACAGCATACCCCTGAGTTAGCAGATAGATATAGCATACCTGAAATACACCATAAGATTATAATAATGTTAGAATTGTGACTCAAAACTCAATAAATGTATTTATAAATAAAATAAATATGACTGAAAATATAGCCTTATTCTTTTTAATCTTTCCAATTTCATTTTTCTCCCATTCTTCCAGGGATCACCTACTCAATAAATCACTTACACTCATATCAGGTCTCATGATAATCCAATTTAAAAGAATTTTTAATTTATTTGACATTTTATTAAGTTCTATATAAAACAGGTGGCAAAAATAATAGATATTATATTTGATAATTGAACTAATATTCTCATTATTATACTATTTTAAGAATTTATACTATGAAAGCATAAATAATAATCTAATACTTAACTCTTCAAGTGCACCTCAGAAGTTTAAGTACTCCATTTACACACAATTACATTGTGCATCTTGGAAGAGTATATTCTTAATTTGAGATTTTTTATCCTAACACACTGAGTACATGAGGTTGTAAGATTTTTGTCACCCTTGTGAAACAGCACAGGTAACAGCTCTTCTCAATCGTGTTCTCACGCCTTCCTGTGCTGCAGAAAGTTGCTGCTGCATGGGGTAAGCCTAAAAAAGAGTCTGTTCAATGAAACTTAGAAGTACCTAGGAATGATGGCCTTCTCTGAATTAAGAAACAATGGCTTCCAATCTAATTTTCTGTGATCTATCAGCTGCATATTTTCTCCCTTTTGCTGTCTGAAATGTGGTTTGAGAAAATGGAAACAAACTGGTATTCTATAAGGTCACTGTGCAATCTTATTAGTAATGGGCTGCTCCCTATTGACCATGTCCATAAGACAAAATATACATATTATTTGCTGATGTTATATAACAAGTCTTTTTTTGTATGAGATGAACACAAACTATTAGTTACAAAATTCAATCCCTTATTATATTTTAATCTTTATTATAATCATTATAATATCCCAGTAGTTACAAAAAGGATAAATGAATAAACATATGAAATAAACACTTCATAAAATATAAAAAAACCATAAAATCAATACTCTCCAAATTATTTGGGGTTCAATACTACTATAAATACGGAATGCTAAAAATAGCATTAGAGACTGTATTACCCAACAGTACATTATTATCATTTGCTACCTAGAAACTTGAGCAAGGTGAAACACATTAATATTTTTGGCGTGGTAAAAAACACAACAAAAAAAAGTATTTATTAAAATAAATTGAATTTAAACATAGACTAAATAAAGCATTTAAAAATACACTGTATTCTGAATTTGAGATGTATTCTCAATAGACAAAATACAGACTGCAAGCACTCACAAAACATTCTTGTTATTCTGATACAATGATGTATGTGAAAAATGAGCTTTCTTCTTTTTTAAACTAAGTATTTGTATAATTGAATTATGATAATCTATAATGTGTCCTATTAGAGAGCAGTTATTTGCACTTTTCTCTGATTGTGAAAATTTCTTCCTTGCCACCACAATTCATACACAGGACTTTTTACTGTTTCTAGTGTGAAGATACATCATAGTATTAATGGACTGATTATGCTTTTCTCCTTAATGGGCAGTTGATAAAATTATTTCTAAAACTCAGATTTTTCCACCTCTTAATTTAAGATAACTTATGCATGCCTTACAACACTATTGTAAGTCAAACAAAAAAAACACCTTGATTTAAATTATTTTATCTTACATGTAAGTGCCTTGAATCTTTTCTGGGAGAGCTGATGTGAATAATGTATACCTAACATAGAGTGGCCTCACATAGGTTAGAGGTGGCAATGATCAACCACATGCTTTTACATAAAGAGCAGTAATTTTAAAATAGCATCAAGTAATTTTAAATTAATTATATTAGTACTATTTTCTCAACTGATCTCAAATGATTTTGTTATAAAAATATGTTGAATATAATTATACTCAATGATTTATTAATGTCTTCACTTTTCTGAAACACATTATGTAATTGTTTTGAGTTTAGATTATCCTCTATAATAAACACAATTTAGAGTAATGTCTAACTGAAAATATTAGTACTTTAGTTCATTCTAGGATGATTCCTGTGATTTTTACTTTTATCTTATTTTTCATTAAATACTTCCTCACATTTATTTTAGCTACAAAGCTTTTTCTAAGCATAAACTCTTTAGTGCTTCTAATTTATATATTTTGGACAAAGCTTATTTCATATTTGTTATATTTTTAGGCATTCTTTGTTATGAAAATTCTCTGTAAAGTTGGATTAACATAACAGCTAAAGACTTTGCTAACTGCTTTACGTTTGTAAAAATAATATCCAGTATAAGGAATGTGGTGTTTTCTAAGGTAAATATTTTAAACAAAGATTCCCCCCACACACTCATATATATTATGAATATATGGGATTTCTATCCAGTATTGATTCTCTAATGCTGAGAAAGGTGTAAGCACCAGTTGAGAGTGTTGTTAAATTCTTTACACTTGCTGTGTTCTATTTGATATGTATTCTTTGATATTGGATAAGGGTTGAGCATTTTTTGAAAACTTCTCACATTCTTTACATTTGAAATATTTCTCACCGGTATGAATTATCTCATGTAAAGTGTGCATACCTTTTAAAGGTTTTGTCACATTCTTTAAAGATTCTTCTCCAGCATGTATTCTCTGATGCTGAGTAAATTTTAATTCTCAGTTAAAAGCTTTCCCACATTATTTACATTGGAAAAGTTTCTCTGCAAAATAGGCACTCTAATGTTGAGAAAGTTGTAAGCCTCAGTTAAATATTTGCCAAATTTTTCACATTTGAAAGTTTTTTTTTTCCAGGAGAGAGTATTTGATGTTGAGTAATATATAAGCCCCTGTTGGAGACTTTGCCACACTTATTACATTTGAAAGGTTTCTCTCCAGCATGGATATATGCATGTGTGTGTGTGTGTATATGTGTGTATATGTATATATGCATATGTGTATATATATGTGTGTGTGTGTATATATATATATGTATATATACATAAAACTTTAGATTACAACAAAAAATGTTGGAACTAATAAATTCAGTAAACTATCAAGATACAAAATTAACATACAATTGTTTGTTTTTGAGACATGGTCACACTCTGTTGCCCAGGATGGAGTACAGTGATAAAATCCACACGCATTGCAGTCTTAACCTTCCAGGCTCAAGTGGTCCTTTAACCTCAGCCTACCAAGTAGCTAGGACTACAGGTTTGTTCCACGAAGCTCAGCTAACTGTTGTTGTTTTATAGAGATAGTGTCTTGCTATTTTTGAATTCTTGGGACTTCAAGCAATCTGCTTTTGAACTCTTAGGACTTCAAGCAATCCACCTTCCTCAGCTCCCAAAGTGCAGGGACTGCAGGGGCAAACCAGTATGCCCAGCCTGACATACAAATATTAGTTACATTTTCATACATTAACAACAGACTTTCCAAAAATACATATTTCTATTTAAAATACTACAGAAATAAGAAATTTCTTCTGAATAGATTTAACCAAGGAAATGACAAATTTATACATTTAATGCAGTAATATATTGATGACAGAAATTAAAGTAGACAAAAGGCTGGGTGTGATGGCTCCTGCCTGTAATCCCAGCACTTTGGGAGGCCAAGGCGGGCAGATCACGAGGTCAGGAGATCAAGACCATCCTGGCTAACACGGTGAAACCCCGTATCTACTAAAAATACAAAAAAAAAAAAAAAAAAAAAATTAGCCAGGCGTGGTGGTGGGCACCTGTAGTCCCAGTTACTCAGGAGGCTGAGGCAGGAGAATGTAGTCAACCCAGAAGACATAGCTTGCAGCAAGCCAAGATCGCGCCACCACACTCCAGCCTGGGCAACAGAGTGAGACTCTGTCTCAAAAAAAAAAAAAAAAAAAGACAAAAATCAATGAAAAAATATTGCATATTTACAGATTAGAAAGATTAATATTCTCAAAGTAACATTTTATCACAGTGATCCATAGACTCAGTGTGATTCCTATCAATTTCAGTCCATTTTTTACAGTAACAAAAAAATTAACATTTTAGTGTAAACTTAACTCCAAATAACCTAAGTAATCTTGAGAAAAAACAAAGCCAGGGCATAATACTGCCTGATTTTTTAATCTATTTAATGTTTATGGTAATGAAAATGGTATGAAATAAGCATAAAATGGGAAAAAATAATGGAACAGAATAGGGAGCCAATACATAAATTCATGGTACAAGTTCAACTATTCTAGAAAAAGGGAACCAAGGCCTGGCCCGGTGGCTCAAGTTTGTAATCCCAGGACTTTGGGAGGCTGAGGCGGGTGAATCACAGGGTCAGGAGTTGGAGACCAGCCTGGCCAAGATCCTGAAACCCCCTCTCTGCTAAAAATACAAAAAGTTAGCCAGGCGCAGTGGCGGGCGCCTGTAATCCCAGCTACTCGGGAGGCGGAGGCAGGAGAATCACTTGAGCCCAGCAGGCTGAGGCTGCAGTAAGCCGAGATCCACTGCACTCTAGCCTGGGCGACAGAGCAAGACTCCATCTCAAAAAAAAAAAAAAAAAAAAAAAAAAAAGATGGAACAAAGATTATACAATGCAGAAAGTGTTGTGCCAGGGAAACTGGACATTCATGAGTAAAATAATAAAACTGACCATTTTTTTATATTGTACCTCAAAATTAACATGAAAGTGTTAAATGTAAACTATAAAACCTTAAAGCTCCTGGAAGGTAACATAAAAAAAGACTTTCTTAATATTGGCAATAATTTTGATGTTACACCAAATGCACATTAAAAATAGAAAATATAAACATGTTGGACTGCATCAAATAAAAGTTTCTGCCATTATAAAGCTCCGCAAAATTTTAAAAACTCTAGAAGATGAGAAAATACTTGCAAATTATGTACCTAAAAGGTTAATATTCAAATGTATGAGCTTATTCAGTTTGAAACAAATAACGATAATAACAGCCTACTTAAAAAAATAAGCAAAAAGTTAAATGCATGTTTATCCAAAGAAGTCATGTGTACAAGGGAAATGCTGTCTGCTCTTGGTGAGTTGTAAATTGCTAAAGTCATCATAAAAACCAGTAAGCAGGTTGTCTTAAAAATATAACCAAAAGTACCATATAATTCAGCAATTCCGCTTCTGGCCCTACTACCAAATAAATGAGTGCTTGAAGAAATATCTTTAGCTCCATGTTCATTATGGCATTATTTACAATAACCCAAATATGGTATATATTCACAGTGCAATACTATTCAGCCATAAAGGAAAAGTAAATCTAGCTATTTACAACAACATGGATGAGTCTGGAGAAGGTTTTGCTTAGTAAAAACAATTAAAGGATATATATGTATACACATACATACACATATATATATACACACACACAAACACACAGTAAACATGTACATATATCACAGTATAAGTATATTCATACTTAAGAAATGATATTGTAAGTCCTATATATGTTCTAATGGGACTACGTTCCTAGTAAACTTTCTATTATTACAAAAAAAATTACAAAATCATTATTAAGAAATGAGATAATTAATATTTAGTATCTTCTCAGCAATGTTGTAAGCTTTGCAATTATTAGCCCATTTAAGAAATCTAGAAGTTGAGTGATCCATTAAATTACATTATAATTGGAAAATTTACACATAGAGAGTTTAAGTTACAAACCTAATAAAAGACAATAACATTTTGAAGTTAAATAACATTCAATTTATTTATACCTAGGAAGATGCTATTCTAATAAAATTACTGAGTATTAATTTTATAGAAGCACATCTGCAACCTCTGTTCAAGTAAAAATCATAAAGCAAATAACATAGAGCATCTCTTCCTGGTGTTTCTAAAATTTCTTCTTCTTCTTTTTTTTTTTTTTTTTTTTTTTTTTTTTGAGAGGGAGTTTTGCTCTTGTTGCCCAGGCTGGAGTGCAGTGGCACAGTCTTGCCTCAATGCAGCCTCCGCCTCCTGGGTTCAAGCGATTTTGCTACATCAGGTAGCTGGGATTATAGGTGCCAGCCACCACACCTGGCTAACTTTTTGCAGTTTTGGCAGAGATGAGGTTTCATCATGTTGGTCAGGCTGGTCTCCAACCCCTGACCTCAGGTGATCCACCCACGTTGGCTTCCCAAAGTGCTGAGATTACTGGCATAAGCCACTGCACCCATACTGTTTCTGAAATTTCTAAACCATTTATCAACATCTGTACTATTCACTTCACACATTTCAGACACCAAACAAAAAGGAATATGAAAAACATAGTTTAATATAGTTTCTTAAAAAAAAGACACACAAATATTCTCATGTCCTCAAAAATCATGGAAGAGCACTCCAGTTATGCAGATTTATGCAGATTTATCAGTCTATGTGATAAAGTGGCCCAGACTGTAAACTTCAAAGAGTTCACTGAAATAAAAAGAGAATCACTGGCCGGGCATGGTGGCTGAAGCCTGTAATCTCAGCACTTTGGGAGACCGAGGTGGGCAGATCATGAGGTCAGGAGATTGAGATCAGCCTGGCTAACATGGTGAAATCCTGTCTCTACAAAAAATACAAAAAAAAAAAAAAAAAAAAAAAAAAAAAGAGCCTGGTGTGGTGGTAGGTGCCTGTAATCCCAGCTACTTCAGCGTGAGGCAGGAGAACCATTCAAAGGAAGCAGAGGTTGCAGTGACCTGAGATCACGCCACTACACTCCAGCCTAGGTGACAGAGCAAGACTCTCATCTCAAAAAAATAAAAATAAAAAAAGAGAATTATTTAAAAATTCAAGAACATAGGACAGGAAATGTCTCTATTTTTGAATATAGGAAAAAAAATTGAGGTTTCTTAGAAATTATTTTCATTGCAGCAGAGATTCCTAAACTACATGTTAAGACCTGAATTTCTGCTTGAACTTTTGTCCTCTTGCTTGTGTTGTCTATTAATACTACTTCTTTCACTCTCATCTTCCTGAGTGTTTGGCTACTATCTCACGTTTCTTCACATTTTAGGGACTTTTCCCTTACCCGAGACAGGTGATTAGGTCTGGGTTAGAAATAGTGGTACCTGTTTTATTTTTAAAAAGATTAACATATTCAAGAGATCGAGATCATCCTGGCTAACATGGTGAAACCCCGTATCTACTAAAAATACAAAAAAATTTGGCCAGGCATGGTAGCGGGTGCCTGTATTCCCAGCTACTCTGGAGGCTGAGGCAGGAGAATGGCTTGAACCCAGGAGACAGACGGAGCTTGCAGTGAGCCGAGATTGTGCCACTGCACTCCAGCCTGGGTGACAGAGTGAGACTCCATCTCAAAAAAAAAAAAAAAAAAAAAAAAAAAAAAAAAAAAAAAAAAAAAAAAGATTAACATAGTGCTTGCTGCAGATTTTTCAATTAACAACCTTGAAGTGTGCTTAGTAGAAAAGATACATTATATAAAATTTTAGATAATTAATCAAAAAATGGTTTTCTGACAGAATCTTTAAATATTTAAGAAATATTCTAAATATATGAGTTATTAGTTTTATTAGCCTAGTACTGTGTCTGGAGTTGGTTCCTTCTGGTGGGTTCTTGGTCTCACTGACTTCAAGAATTAAGCTGCAGACCTTCGCGGTGAGTGTTACAGCTCGTAAAGATGGTGTGTCCGAAGGTTGTTCCTTCAGATGTTCAGATGTGTCCAGAGTTTCTTCCTTCCAGTGGGTTCGTGGTCTCGCTGACTTCAAGAATGTAGCTGCGGACGTACATGGTGAGTGTTACAGCTCTTAAATGTGCTGCGGACCCAAAGTGTGAGAATCAGCAAGAATTATTGTGAAGAGCAAAAGCTTCCACAATGTAGACAGGGACCTGAGAAGGTTGCCACTGCTGGCTGGGGTGGCCAGCTTTTGTTCCCTTATTTGTCCCCACCCATGTCCTGCTGATTGGTCTGTTTTACAGATTGCTGATTGATGAGGTTATAATCCTTTAGCTAGTCACAGATCAATGATTGGTGCATTTTTACAGAGTGCTGATTGGTGTGTTTACAATAATTTAGCTAGACACAGCGTGCTGATTGGTGTGTTTTTGCAGAGTGCTGGCTGGTGTGTTGACAATCCTCTAGCTAGACAGAAAAGTTCTCCAAGTCCCCGCTCGACCCAGGAAGTCCAGCTGGCTTCATGTCTCAGTCCCCCCCTCTAAACAGGGCACCCCAACTGCTGTTGGGAATTGGGCGATGATTGCTCTAGCTACTTCCTGCTGGATAGGGGTGAAGAAGGGCCCTGCAGTTGTAGTGTCCTCTGGAGGGGAACACTTTAGGCCAGTCAAAGGGCCAGTGGGTTGGTCCAGGGGTCTGCAGTAGAAGTTGTTAGTTGAGGTCATTTGGGGTTCCATTTGTAAGACCATCTGTAGCTTGATGGTCTTGATCCTAGAGGAAACAAATTTGACAAGGAGATTAAAAATACAGGGACCAAAGGTGAGTAATAGCAAGATGGCTGTCATGGGAACTAGAAAGGGGAGAAGCCATGTCACCCAACTCCAGAGGTTGGTATAAGAGTTTGAAAGGTATTGTCTGATTTCATAAGCCTTTTCCTATAAATGCTTGGGTGCATCTTGTAACATCCCTGATTGGTTAGTGTAAAAACAACACTATTCCCCTAAGAAGGTGCAGAGTCCTCTTTTCTCAACAGTAGGAAGTCTAGGCCTTGGCAGTTTTGGAAAGTCACTGCTGTCAAAGAGTCTATTTGGGATTGTAGAGTAAGGATAGATTTTGTTATTTCTTGCAAACTGTCTGAGAAATTCTTTGAGAGTGTGTGTTAGTAGGATAATAAAGTAGATAAAGTGGCTATTCCGGTTCCTGCAGCAGTAGCCATTTCTAACCGTCTAAGTAGGGGTATTAGTTGTGTGGCTCTGTGCTGATGGACTTGAGCTTTGAGGGGTACTGATAGAGTCTGATTTCCTGGGGCAATGTCAATGTTGGGAATTAGGAAGACTCCCAGAATTGGGGTATTTCAGGGACTGGTGCATTTTCTTACTAGGACTTGAGCTTTTAAATGTCTAACAATATCCTGTAATCCTTTATGAACCTCAGGCCTTAGGATATTGCCTTTGATAAAGAAAAGTGGTGGGGTCTTTTCACCTGATTTGGACTGCATAGGCTTTTTTTCCCCTTCCAAATTGTCCTTCCAATGCCCAGACTTCAGGATTGATTCCCTCCTCAAGCAAGGGACAACAAATGATTAACTTGTGCCCCATATTCATGTAGATAATAGCTCCAGCTTTGGCTAATATGTCCCTCCCTAATAAGGGTGTGGGACTTTCAGGCATAACAAGAAGGGCATGTGAAAAGAGCAAAGTCTCCCAATTACAACTGACGAGGTGGGAGAAATACCTGGTTACAAGCTGCCCCAGGATTCCTCAATGGTAATGGACCTTGAGGACAGCTGTCTGGAACAGGAGATTAACACTGAGAAAGCCACACCAGTATCTTGGAGGAAGTCAATTTTCTGGCCTTCAGTGGTTAAACATACCCAGAGCTTAGTGAGAGTGATGAAACGAGCTGGTGCTTGCCCCAGGTGCCCTCAGTGTGGTTGTTGGATCATCTGGTTGGGGGCTTCTGGCCCAGAGAACCTTTGTCCTCTGGGGCAGGGCACCTTCCAGTGATTGCCTCAGCATAGTGAACATGGGTGAGGGGGCAGCTTGTTTCTTGTTGGACAGTCTTTTTTAAGGTATCCTTGCAAACCACACTGGTAACAAGCCCTACTGGGTGACTGGCCTGCTCCATTTTCTGTCCTCTCTGAACCACCAAGGTTTGTTTGTCTGAGGGCCATGACTAAGGCAGGGGAATTTATCTGATCTCACTTTTCCTTTTCAGCCTGTTCCTCTTGGTCCCTATTATAGAACACCAAGGTTGCCAGGTTTAATAATGCCTCCAGATTTTGTTCAGGGCCCAGGGCTCACTTTTGGAGCTTTCTCTTGATATCTGCAGCTGATTGGGTAATAAACTTATCTTTTAGGATCATTTGACCCTTGAGGGAGTCAGGTGATAGGGGAATATATTTTCTTAAGGCCTCTTGTAGCTACTGTGGAAGGCAGAAGGATATTCTTCCTTTCCCTGACTTATGGTGGATATCATTGTATAATTCATGGGCTTTTTCCTAATTCTCCTTAGTCCTTCTAGAGTACAGGTCAACAGATGTTTGTGACTCCAGTTCCCATGATGTGAGTCAAGATACCAGTGGGGATCTATGCTGGGTACAGCTTGCTGACCAGTAGGGAATTTATCCCTTTCTTTCGTTGTCATTCTATCATTTACTTGACTATGGTGCCAGATATCTCCAAACTCTCAGGCTGCAGCTAAAGCTGCATTCTTTCATTAAAGGCCAGGATTTGATCTATCACTAGCATGACATCTTTCCAAGTGAGATTGAAGGTTTGCCCTAGACCCTGTAGGACATCTATGCACCCATCAGCATCATCTGAAAACTTTCCCAGGTTTACGTTGATCTACTTTAAATCAGAGAGGGAGAAGGGGACATGTACCCAGGTTGGGCCAAATTCCCCTACTCCTACAGCTTGAAGGGGACATAACCGATAGCCCGGGGGAGGGGGCTGTGGTCCCTTGGAGATTTATTTCCTTGTTCCCTTCTGGGAAGGGGAGATTAGAGGAGGCTTATCATTAATAGGAAGGGGAGCTATAGGGAGACTAGGATATGGGGGTAAGCTGAGAGGTCCTCTTGTGGGAAGTAAATTGAAAGTTTTGTATAGTTGTGGATTCTCCTTCAATGAAAAGAAAGCTTGGACATAAGGTATTTCACTCCATTTGCCTTCCCTCTTACAGAAAATGTCAAGCTGCAGGCTAGTATTGCAATTTATGCTTCCCTCAGGTGGCCATTTTTCCCCTTCAGAGAGAGAATATTGGGGCTAGCCATAGTGCAGAAAAAAATAAGCTGCTTGTTTTTCAGGGTTTGTGGGTCAAATTGGTCTCAGTGGCTTAGGATGCATTTCAAGGGTGAGGCTGTTGATGCCTGAGTGTTTCCCATCTGAAACAAACAAAAAAATGCCTGGCTTTCGTTTGTTTGTTTCCCCCCTCTTTGCCCAAGAACCCTCAACAGTCCCTGGACCCTGCTCCTCAGAATAGTTGTGCTTAGCAATGCAGCAGCAGAAACCCCTCTTGCCCAAGAACTCATTATGGTCCCTGGACCCTGCTGATCGGAATAGTTGCACTCACTGAAGCAGCAGCAGAAACACTAGTTTTCCTCTTAGACCACAAAGAGGACCAAAGAAAGTTGGATTTAGTGGCCCTTACTGATGCATTCTTGAAAACCTGCACCCTTGCCTGTCCTCTTAGACCACAAAGAGAACTCAGAAAAATCAGCTTTAGTGGCCCTTACTGATGCATTCTCAAAAACCTGATAGAGTCCTAAGTGTTCTCCTGTTAGTCCTAGGACCTTACTCCTGTCCTATAAAGATGTTATGGACCCAAAATGAATTGGAGGGCCATACCCTGAGGGAGGGAAGGAATCTCCAGGCTTGGAAGAGTGACACCTTTTTTCATCACTTTTCATCATATGAATAAGAAGGATGTCATTTCTGGGCTCCCCATATCCTAGCTTCAGGAATAGCTTTTTTCTTAGGCCTGCTAGTCTGAGGAGGGATCCTAAAATTCCAGATGAAACTTTGGGCAAAAATTATGTCTTTCTGATTGGTGAGCTCAGGTACCTAAAGAAAGGAACAGAATCCTGAAGTTTATAATAGAAATAAATCTTATAGGAGAAAGTAGAAAAGCACCAGAGACAGGGAGTGGTTTTTAGAAGTGTGACTAGCCTTGGAGAAGAGAGGCAAGAGGAAGTTTGTCTGACAGGTATCAGGATCTAGGAGTCAAGGGTCAGGATAGATAGGATAAATGGGTAAGTCTCACTTGGGCGACATGACTTTGTGAGTTCTATTTATGGCTATGGGGTCAACCAACTTTTTTTGGGACCCTGGGGTTGAATGGCTTCCCTTTCTGTTGGCCCTCAGCTCAGCCCAGAAGTACAGGAAAAGCAGAAGCTTGTTCCAGGCAAACCAACACTCCCAACTCCATAGATTTGGGAGTTGTTAGGGAACCCTTTCCCAGAAGGCCTGACATCCGTGTCTTTAGTCTGGTGATAGCACTAGTTGCTTTTAACTGGCCCAACAGGTGCCCCGTATTTAGCACCCAGATTCTAAGGAAAAATAGGACAGAATAGCAAGTGAAAGGGGTAGGATGGTACTCACTGCTTGGCAATTGTCCTGCCACAGTCACCAAGATGTGTCCCTTCACGGTCACCAAGATGTGTCTGGAGTTGATTCCTTCCGGTGGGTTCTTAGTTTCACTGACTTCAAGAATCAAGCCACAGACCTTCATGATGTGTGTTCCAGCTCTTAAAGATGATATATCTGGAGTTTATTCCTTCAGATGTTCAGATGTGTCTGGAGTTTCTTCTTTTTGGTGAGTTTGTGGTCTTGCTGACTTCAAGAATGAAGCTGTGGACCTTTGCAGTAAGTGTTACAGCTCTTAAAGGTGGTGCATACCCAAATAGTGTGCAGCAGCAAGATTTATTGTGAAAAGCGAAAAAACAAAGATTTCAGAGTGTGGAAGGGGATCCGAGTGGGTTGCCGCAGCTGGCTGGGGTAGCCAGCTTTTATTCCCTTATTTGTCCCTGCCCACATCCTGCTGATTGGTCCATTTTACAGAGTGCTGATTGGTGAGTTTACAGTCTTTAGCTAGACACAGAGAACTGATTGCTGCATTTTTATGGAGTGCTGATTGGTGCATTTACATTCCTTTAGCTAGACACAGAGTGTTGATTGCTGCATTTTTACAGAGTGCTGATTGGTGAGGTTACAATCCTTTGGCTAGACACACAGTGTTGATTGGTGCATTTTTACAGAATGCTGATTGGTGCATTTACAATCCTTAAGCTAGACACAGAGTGCTGATTGGTGCGTTTTTACAGAGCACTGATTTGTGTGTTTACAATCCTCTAGCTAGACAGAAAAGTTCTCCAATCCCCACTCAACCCAGGAAGTCCAGCTGGCTTCACCTCTCAATACTACTGAATTAAAATTAGTGGTAAAAATTGAATATAAAGTTATGGGTAACAATATTTTACTCCACTAAGTTTTCAAAATTACTGCTAATCTAGAGTAAAGGACACAAAGTGGCTCAAGAAAAAAGAATGAGCTTCATGCCAAGATAAAACATCTTGAAGATTTTCTTTTCTGCAACAAAAACTCCCAATTCCTCTTGAAAAGTGAAACTAAAATTAATTCATGCAGAGCAGAAGCTCCCAACAGACATTCTACAAAGGAAAAAAAAAAAAAAAACTTAGGGAGACCCAGTTTCTCTAGTTCTCTAACATCACATCCCTACATAAATTTCACTGGGTAGTGTCCAAGGCATTTTCTCTACTCCAGAGAAAACTACATGGTCACATTTCTGAATGTAAACCATCCCTTAAAAAATACATGTATTTACTGAGTGACAGAGTTCTTAATTTGACTGCAGATGAAATGAGTTAAGAAAACTACTTCTGACTTATATGAGTGACTAATGTTATCCAGTAAAATAATTTTTAATACAGTAATATTCTGTAAAATTTACACCTCTTAGAACAAAAATGGCATGCCAGAAATTTTTGCTGCTAAAATGGAAATATGAGCCACAATGACCTGCCCTTTTCAAACCTGAACAGAGAAAGCCATGTCACCTCCTTTGTGAGCAAAAGATGAACTCAACCTTTTAGAAGCCCTCATGCTTGACTGTGGCCTCACCATAGAATCATGTGAGGCACTTAATTAAAACAAACAAACAAACAAAAAAACAGGGCTTCTCACACCCAGAACAATGCACAAAATCTATGTGGAGGGTACCAGTGATGGCATCTGTTTAAACTGTTCATATAATTCCTATTGAAAGACTGGGCTTAGACTCACTTAGTGAAGTTTTTCCTCAAAAACTTCAATGTGCATATAAATTATTTGGTATTCCATGCCTCACTGTAAGTAACATGATTCCACAGATTTTAAAAGGGTCTATGAATTAACTTTTTAAAACACACCACGTGTTAATGCTAATGATATTCCTTCTAAACTCATTATAGTAGCATTCAGCGAGAGAAAAGAGGGCACAGCACAGAAGGTCCCTTACCTTAACACACATATCACAACACAAATACTTTTAGTCCAAAGAAAAAGACTAAAAATCACCATCCTAAAATATGACATTTTCTGCAGCCTCTTTAAAGTTTACAGAAGCTATAAATTGTGCCAATGTCTGAGTCTGCATTTGAAAAACACATTTGCAAATGCATTAATGAAAAGATTACGTAGCATGTACTGTGTTCAGGATTCTGTTACAGAGTGGTGAGCTGGGACCTCACATAATGTGTGTTAATCCAGGTAAAACTGTGTGAGATGGGTACTAAGTTTTCCAGAATTTTCAGAATCTAAATGCAGGGTTCAGTATTTATAATCTACTTCTGTTTTTCTATCATTGATTTTAAAAAGATTTGTGCAAAAACAATGCTCAAAATAGATACATGAGAGAGATAAAGGAAGTGTTAAGTGTAGTTGAAAGAGATTTTTGTGTGTGTGTCTGCATTTACATTATTGAGACTTGTGGAAAAACTAGTGGAATTGTAGATATGGAAAATAGGTTTCTACGTGGGATGCCTATAGAAACACTGATTTCAATTTAAAAAAAAAAGAAATTAAGGCCCCCAAATATATGGCTTTGTTCTCACTTATTTGTTTTTTGGTTTCAGGAAATTGTGAGCACCAGCTAGCTCTGAAGAGGAAGCAGAAGCAACAACCCCAAATAATGATTAGTCCTCTAATTAGTTCAGTAAGAGATTCTGACATGGTTTGTCTCTGTCACTTCTGAAATATCATCTTGAATTCTCACGTGTGATGAATGAAACCCAGTGGGAGTTAATTGAATCATGGGGGCGACCTTTTTCGTGCTGCTCTCATGTTAGTCAATAAATCTCATTAAATCTAATGGCTTTGTAAGGGGGAGCTTCTCTGCACAAGCTCTCTGTTTGCCAGCTGCCATCCATGTAAGACGTGAATTTCTCCTGCTTGCTTTCTGCCATGATTGTGAGGCCTCCCCACAAACTTGGAACTGTAAGGTCATTAAATCTCTTTCTTTTGTAAATTGCCAAGTGCCTAGTATGTCTTTATCAGCAGCATGGAGATTGACTAATACAGTAAATTGGTACTGAGAGTGGGGTTCTGCTGAAAAGAAACCTGAAAATGTGGAAGTGACTTTGGAACTGGATAACAGACAGAGGTTGAAACAGTATGGAGGGCTGAGAAGAAGACAGGAAAATGTGGAAAATTTTGTAACTTCCTAGAGATATATTGAATAGTTTTGACCAAAATGCTGATAATGATATGGACAGTGAAATCCCGACTGTGTTGGTCTCAGATGGAGATGAGGAACTTGTTGGAAACTGGAGTAAAGGTGATGCTTGTTATGCTTTAGCAAAAACGACTGGCAGCATTTTGCCCCCTGCCCTAGAGATCAGTGGGACTTTGAACTTGGGAGAGATGATTCAGGGCATCTAGCAGAATAAATTTCTAAGCAGCAAAGCATTCAAAAAGTCACTTTGGTACTATCAAAGGCATTCAGTTTTAAAAGGAAAATACACATAAAAATTGAGAAAATTTGCATCCTGACTATGCAATAGAAAACAAAATTCCATGTTTTGAGGAGAAATTCAAGCCAGCTGAATATATCTGCATAAGTAATAAGAAACTCAATGCTAATCACCAAGACAGTGGGGAAAACATCTCCAGGATGTGTCAGAGACCTTTGTCAAAGCTGCTTTCATCACAGGCCCAGAGACCTAGGAGGCAAAATAAAATTATTTAGTGGACTGGGACCAGGCTTTTTCTGCTCTGTGCAATCTATGGACTTGGTCCCCTGCATCCCAGAAGCTTTAGCCATAACTTAAAAGAGCCAAGGTACAGCTCAGGCTATGGCTTCTGAGGGTCCAAGCCCCAAGCATTGACAGCTTCCATGTGGTTTTGAGCCTATGGGTGCACAAAAGTCAAGAATTGAAGTTTGGGAACCTCCACCTACATTCCAGAGAATATATAAAACATCTGGATAACCAGGCAGTAGTTTGCTGCAGGGGTGGGGCACTCACGGAGAACCTCTGCTATGGGAGTGCAGAAGGGAATCATGGGGTGGGAGTGCAGAAAGAAAAATGGAGTCTCCACTGAGGTGCTGCCTAGTGGAGCTATGAGAAGTGAGCCACCATCTTCAAGACACTGGAATGGTAGATCCAATAACAGCCTGCACTGTGCACCTGGAAAAGCTGCAGACACTCAACAGTAGCCTGTGAAAGTAGGTGGGAGGGAGGCTGCACGCTGCAAAGCCACAGGATGGGAGATTTCTAAGACCATAGGAACCACCCTCTTCCATCAGCATGATCCAGTTTAAGACATGAAGTCAAAGGAGATCATTTTGAAGTGCTAAGATTTGACTGTCCACTGGATTTTGGACTTGCTTGGGGCCTGTAGCCCTTTTGTTTTGACCAATTTCTCCCATTTAAAATGACTGTCATTATCTGATGCATATACCCCCATTGTACTAGGAAAGAACTAAATTGCTTTTGATTTTATAGGCTCATAAGTGGAAGGCACTTACTTTAGCTCAGATGAGACACTGGACTTCTGAGTTAATCCTGAAATGAATTAAGTCTTGGAAACTGTTTGGAAGACGTGATTGGTTTTGAAATGTGAGGACATGATATTTGGGAGGGGCCAGGAGTGGAATGATATGCTTTGGCTGTGTTCGCACCCAAATCTCATCTTGAATTCCACCGTGTTGTGGGAGGGACCAGGTGGGAGACAATTGAATCATGGGGGCAGGCCTTTCCCATGTTTTTCTCACAATAGTGAATAAGTCTCATGAGATCTGATTCTTTTACAAGGGACTTTTTATGCACAAGCTCTCTGTTTGCCTGTTGCCATCCATGTAAGACATGACTTGCTCCTCTGTGACTTCTACTATGATTGTGAGGCCTCCCCAGACACTTGGTACTCTAAGTCCACCA
This sequence comes from Homo sapiens, assembly GCF_000001405.40. Lineage (NCBI taxonomy): Eukaryota > Metazoa > Chordata > Mammalia > Primates > Hominidae > Homo > Homo sapiens. Next base: position 20,015,825 of record NC_000024.10, read on the forward strand.
AACCTCTTTTTTTTTAATTGCCCAGTCTAGGGTATGTCTTTATCAGAAGCATGAAAATGAACCAATACAGATTCTGTGGTAGGCCAGTCAGTCCTGGAAATAATTCAGATGAGAGTAGGTCTGATCTGAGTTTGGTTATGGAGTGAGCCTTATGCCTATAATTTCTATACCACTGGATATATTAAGTTCTGTGCTTCCTGATTCTGCTCCAGAGAAATATGACTCCAACAATTTTTGTCATCTTAATGTATTTTAGGCATTTTCCTGTCTCTTTTACAATATACCATAACAAGCAATTTAACCAAATCCCTTGGTTCTTTCTATGGCAGTTACATTAGAAGCTAAATATTTATTCTTAACAAAGTAAAAGCAATAAAGTAGTAATGATAAAAACAACGCATTTTCTATCCATGTACAGCTCATCAGGTCATGACATTAAAACTCCCAGAGAAGCAATATAAGGGAAATGGTCAAAATTAAGTCCAACTTCTTTATTGGTACTGACCACATGATGCTGAATTCAACCATTTATCTATATTCTCTAGAATGAGCATTCCTGGATAGTAGAGACCATGACTGCTTCCTGTGTTTTCTAATCGCATATAAAGCAGAAGCAAGCAGCTCATAGATAAATTCAAATCGCCAGACCTGATTTTTCACCAAAGAACCAGAAAATGGAGCAACTTCCAGCTGGATACAAGCCAGGACATTTCTGTGAAGGGAAGAACAAACCCTGGTTGAGTACTTTCTCCTCTGAAATGAAAGCAGAATAGACATCTTTTTTTTTTTTTTTGAGCAGAACTCTAGTTTTGAAAGGATGAACCCAAATGTCTCAAGGACTAACAGGTGCTGGTCAGAGTACCCAGTTACTGTAAGCTAATATCCCATGGTGTCCAGGCAGGAGACACTCAGGCTTACTTTGTGAGGTGCAAATAGAAAATGGAAATGTTCTGGTGGACTTGCAGACCCTGAATCCAGATGTAATAACCTCTGGAACTCTGAGGAGTTAACCTCTGCTACTGAAGAACCAACTGTTGGGTATGAGAAAAAACACAAATACTCTATTTCAGTAACGCAGTGGAAAGACAAGCATAGTTGAAATAAAGTTTCTAAATGTCTTGTGATCTAGGCCCGTCACTTTGAAGGTGATTCTTTAAACTTACATATTCTGCCATCAGATTCTGTTTATACCAGCTTGTCACAAAATTGTAGTGGATCACTGAATAAAATCTGGAAAACTCAAGAAGTTCTACTCTCTCAAAAAGTGGGGCTTCATATATCAATGTTGACCTCTCACAATTCTGAAAATGTCTCCTCTGAATTTCTGCATGTCCTAAACTGAGAGTGTGGCTGTGTCTTGTGAATCTCAGGAAAAGGCAAGTTTTATGTATAGATTCTTGATGAGATCAACCTGGCTCTGCATTTTTGTGAGTTGCAGCAAGTGGAGTAAAACCAGAGTAGAGATTCGCCTCATGGAGGCTCCTTTAATACATTCTAAGTAGTATTTTGACCTAAAAGTGGAGGATTAAACTTAATATATTAAGTAGAGAGTTTATTTGGGCCAAAGCTTGAAGATGCAACTCTAGAGTACAGTTACAGTTTCCCTGAATATACACTCCAATTAGCAGCAATTATAACTGTATACTTAAATGCAAAAAAAAAAAAAGTCTGATACCAAGTTCTTGTCAGATATCTTTATTACCAGATGCTAGGAAGAGTAACAGTGGGTTGATGGAAAGTAGGGATAGGGAAAGGGTACAAAAACTGTTAGAATTCAAACCTCAGAAAACAAAAGTCAGATGTTGTCTATAAATTTGTAGATACTCTTTATGATTTTATCACCTACTGTGTATCATCAAATAGGGTTTTATTTAATTTTTTACCTTTCACACTTTCTATCATAAAAAGATAAATTGGTATATTCAGTTTTTTTTCTCCAGGTTGTCAAAGACTTGTTATTTTTTCTCTCATGTAAGGAACATAGGAGCCATAATTTCCAGCTGTACAAGAGAACATATGACATAAATTGTAAACAACTCTTCTCAGATTCATCAGTAACTTCAGATCAAATGGAATATTCTTAACCCCAATTCAGATTAAAAACAGATGAACACATAACTTCAAAACTTATCTGTGCATTATAATTTCTCAGTTTACAAACCCATAAGCATGAACATCTGCATGAACCAGTACCAAGATAGAAAAATCCAAAGTGTAACTGGCAAATAAAGGTTGAGTGCAGACAAACGTGACACTATAAAATAACAGAGAAACCAGACTTAGGGAATCTTCATAAGCTTATGAGTTTTATATACTTAGGTATTCCAGATTAGCAGTGAAGATTATAGAAAAATCCCTTTATGCTTTTGGTAGGGGGAGTGGAAAATATTCCTGGGTAAAGTTAGCCATTTTAAACTATTCTCAGGGCGTTCTTAGCATCCGTGGTGGTCTACACTCACTTTGTTTTTTTCCTGTCTCCAGAGGTGGTCACTCTCCCTAATTTTGTAGATATTCTTTATAACATTATCGTTTTGTATCAAAAATAGTGTCTTCTTAATTTGTCTTCTTTTCACTTTCTATGAAAGTAAATTAATCGATTCGTATCTCTGGTTTTGGCCCCCAGGTTGTTTCATGCCTGCTGGCGTCTAAGGCTTGAGTTATCCACTTTTCTCATTTATTCCACTTACTGTAGGATTTAAATTGTTTCAATTTTATATTTGGTTATGTAAAATGGTTTGCTTGTAATACTTGTTTAGGTTTCCAAATGCTTATGCATAAATAGTAAAATATACATTAGAGAAAACTAGTTGGGTTGTAGATTTTGGGAAATCTCAAGGTTACCAGAAATTTCCAATAAAGTGTATGAAGTTACCCTTCCATCATTTTGCACATACATTTATTTATTAAATTGGAATTATGTAATGTATTAATTTTTGCCTATCAGTATGTGTAAAATGAGATCACATTAGATTTTAAGTTTATTTTTTACTAATTAATGCTGAGACTGATCATTTTTAAATATAGTCTCACACTTCTAGATAATGGTTTCAGTCATGTTGTCATTGTTCACTATCTTGTTTCTTTCTCATGATTTTTAAATATAGTCTGGGCATTTATTTTCATGTTTGGTTTTAACTGATGTTTTCAACTCATTAAATTAAACACTATGAAGTGCTAATGCTAAATCATTTGTCAGATAAGGTTTTGTTCATAATACATTGCCAACTGTCTTTGAACATGGGCATATCAACTTGAATTCACAACAGAAATAAAGTACTGTTTTGTCTTTTACTCTGGATTTTTGGAATTGTTTGTGTTGTGTTTTGGAATTTAGACATTCTAATAGTTGTTTAGTAATACTAATTCACCAAACATTATAAAAATAATAAATGTCTTAAAAAGCCAAATTTTTTCAAGAACAAGATGAGATCATGATGAATATAACTCAAAGTTTTTAAAGTACAATAATTCTGACTGTATGGTATTAGCAAAGGAAATTCATAAATAAACCAATGGAAATCAGAAGTGTCTTTGAACAGACAGATGTATTTGGTAATTTGACTTAATAGGCATGGCAAAATAAAGGCAGAAATGAGTTTCACATTAATACATAGGTAGAAAAAACTTTGGTCTAAGCGAAAAATATGCACTCTCTTCCCATCTATGCTGAGGGAAAAATAGTTTATTATAGATATAAATGTGACAGGCAAAGCTAGAACGTATTTATAGGTCCTAGAGAAATAAATTTACTGCATGATATTACATAGTGTACTTTATTGGTATCCTCATGGAGTACCTTAACAGCTTTTCCCGTCATTATTACCAGCATCATATTAACTCCACAAAACTTGTTTTGGAAACTCAGAAATTGTGTTATTTTGCTGACATTCTCTTGCAAGGAAATTGAAAAGATAACCTTCACATGGGGTACAAATACTTGTCACAGAAACTTTTATTTAGAATAACCTGTTTTGCCTCCACTAGAGTCAAGGCCCCAGAACTTTGGTTAAATTTATGGGTGCTAGACCATGCTGTAACAAAACAGCATGGTACTGTTACCAAAACAGAGATATAGATCAATGGAACAGAACAGAGCCCTCAGAAATAACACTGCATATCTACAACTATCTGATCTTTGACAAACCTGAGAAAAACAAGCAATGGGGAAAGGATTCCCTATTTAATAAATGGTGCTGGGAAAACTGGCTAGCCATATGTAGAAAGCTGAAACTGGATCCCTTCCTTACACCTTATACAAAAATTAATTCAAGATGGATTAAAGACTTAAACGTTAGACCAAAAGCCATAAAAACCCTAGAAGAAAACCTAGGCATTACCATTCAGGGCATAGGCATGGGCAAGGACTTCATCTGTAAAACACCAAAAGCAATGGCAAAAAAAGCCAGAATTGACAATTAGATCTAATTAAACTAAAGAGCTTCTGCACAGCAAAAGAAACTACCATCAGAGTGAACAGGCAACCTACAGAATGGGAGAAATTTTTTGCAAACTACTAATCTGACAAAGGGCTAACATCCAGAATCTACAATGAACTCAAATTTACAAGAAAAATACAACCCCATCAAAAAGTGGGCAAAGGACTTGAACAGACATTTCTCAAAAGAAGACATTTATGCAGCCAAAAAACACATGAAAAAATGTTGACCATCACTGGCCATCAGAGAAATGCAAATCAAAACCACAATGAGATACCATCTCACACCAGTTAGAATGGCAATCATTAAAAAGTCAGGAAACAACAGGTGCTGGAGAGGATGTAGAGAAATAGGAACACTTTTACACCGTTGGTGGGACTGTAAACTAGTTCAACCATTGTGGAAGTCAGTGTGGTGATTCCTCAGGGATCTAGAACTAGAAATACCCTTTGACCCAGCCATCCCATTACTGGATATATACCCAAAGGACTATAAATCATGCTGCTATAAAGACACATGCACACGTATGTTTACTGCGGCACTGTTCACAATAGCAAAGACTTGGAACCAACCCAAATGTCCAACAATGATAGACTGGATTAAGAAAATGTGGAACATATACACTATGGAATACTATGCAGCCATAAAAAATGATGCGTTCATGTCCTTTGTAGGGACATGGATGAAACTGGAAATCATCATTCTCAGTAAACTATTGCAAAAACAAAAAACAAACACCGCATATTCTCACTCATAGGTGGGAATTGAACAATGAGAACACATGGACACAGGAAGGGGAACATCACACTGTGGGGACTGTTGTGGGGTTGGGGGAGTGGGGAGGGATAGCTTTAGGAGATATACCTACTGCTGAATGACGAGTTAATGGGTACAGCACACCAGCATGGCACATGTATACATATGTAACTAACCTGCACGTTGTGCACACGTACCCTAAAACTTAAAGTATAATAATAATAAAAATAAAATAAAATAAAATAAAGGGATTCAAGTATGCTCAATAAAAAAAGTATGATAGGTAAAAATTTTAATAGTCTCTTCACTCATCTCAGTGGATATACAGCTTATCACCTGTAATTCATGCCCTTCACTCTATAAATGACTGTCACATACTGTAAAAAGTGTATCTTCAGGACTATTGACATAATTTGCTTTGTCCCCAAATCTTATCTTGAATTGTAATTCTCTGTTTCAAGGGAGAGGCCTGGTAGCAGGTGATTGGATCATGGGAGTGGTTTTCCCTCATTCTCTTCTTGTGATAATCTGATTGTGAGAGCTCTCATCATGAGTTCTCCTGAGATATGATGGTTTTACAGGTGATTGGTTTTCCTTCTTTGCTTACACTCTATCCTGCTGCCTTTTAAAAAAGGAGATGTTTGCTTCCTCCTTTGCCATAATTTTGCGTTTCCTGAGGCCTCCCCAGCCATGTGGAATTGGGAGTCAATTAAACCTCCTTTATTGATTAACTAACCAGTCTCAGGTAGTATCTTTATAGCAGTGTGAGAATGAACTAATACAACCATCATGTGGTTTTCCTCTCCAAGTAGACTCTGGAGGACGTTGGTGCTAAGCCTGAACTGGGGAGGACTATGGTTCTTTTAGACTGAAGTCAAGAAATTAAGTACAAGGTACTCTGTTGATTACAAGAATCAGATGTGTATACTCTATGCAATACCTCTTACTATATAGAATAATTGCATTGCAAATACCAAATTTTTATACATACTGAAAAGTTATTGTTTTTTCTGATATTGTTTTTGAATATTAGATATCAAATCAAATATTGTTAAGTATTGAAAATAACTTAAAAATTAAACTTTACTTTGGTGCCTGAATTTATATTTGATAAATCTCATAATCCCAATTAACATAAACAAACCCTGGGATCTAGGAATCCCAGGATTAGTATACCACCTACTAAACATGGTATAGACATAGGAGAGTTGGAATAGAAAAAAAAATGAGTAATGCATTTTGGTCTGAGTGTAAAGGTAAATTGTGTCCTAAGTGACAGCATCAAAATATAAATCTGACGGAACATCTCAGATTAGTATAAACAGTTACTGCTTGTCCTTCGTCTGAAAGTGAAGTTCCTTAGAACTCTTAGAAATAGACAATACATATTAAGTTCATCTTCCTTATTGGCACTTCCATCTTAGAATATCCTTAATATTGTAAACCACAAAACATATATATAATCATAGAAATATTGAGGGAAACAACACCATTAAAAGGACCAAGAAACAGTCATTAATCACAAGGTTGATGGGTTTAGATTTGGTTTTATAAAAGAACTATAATGAAAAAAATTATTTACAAATAACTATGTGTGTGTGTGCACGCGTGCTTGGCCTAAGTATAATGTAAAAACATCCCAGAAAAAGTAGAAATAACGAATTTAGAGAATTTCCTTTATGGTAGAAGAATGCTATATAGTTCACCTTTGCAAAACATTACCTTATGACATCATTATTTAAATAATATTAAAGTATTAAAAGCAAACTAATATTTTGCCCAAATTAAAAACAAACATAGAGAAGTGTGATTAAATTCTGGGGAATTTGTTCACATTCACTGAGCCTTAAAAGAATTGTTTATAAATTGATAAAATTAGTTAATAATTTAAATGTAATATCCAAAAATAACAAATTTCATCTTAAAATCCATACATTTATATGCTTATATTAATCTAATTTATACGTTATCCAGAAACAGCTCCTGATTAGTTATCATTTAGTGAGATAAAGAAGGAAAATATAACAGACTTACAGAAATTATTCAGGAAAACCTGCCTTCTCCAACCACCTCAGTCTTGAGCATTTGCTGTTACTGAAACTGAGAAAAAGACACACAGCTGAGTCTTGGGGTTATTCTGTGTATGTAAATTATGGTCCCAAGGACATGGTATAAGGAAGGAATGCCACTGGTTTATCTCCCTCCAGGTCGATAACTATCAAGCTGTCTGTAGAAGCAGAAGAGCTCTAACTCTGTGACTGTTAGGAAGAGCGGACACCAAAGGGAAAATTGAACTTATCTAATTAATGGCAAACAGGAGAGTAGCAACAGCTGGATTCCAAACTTTATATGAGTTCATTTTCTTAGGTATGTATACCAGGTTTCTTGTCTGGTCACAGCTCTTGGCAACAAAACATATGTTAAACAATAACTCTGACTCAATCTAAAAAAAAAAAAATCATCAGCCAGGCGCGGTGGCTCACGCCTGTAATCCAAGCACTTTGGGAGGCCTAGGCAGGCGGATCACGAGGTGAGGAGATCGAGACCATACTGGCTAACACGGTGAAACCCTGTCTCTACTAAAAATATTTAAAAAATTATGTGGACGCGGTGGCGGGCGCCTGCAGTCCCAGCTACTCGGGAGGCTGAGGCAGGAGAATGGCGTGAACCCTGGAGGTGGAGCTTGCAGTGAGCCGAGATCGCGCCACTGCAGTCCAGCACTTCAGCCTGGGTGACAGAACGAGACTCACCTTCAAAAAAAAAAAACAAAAAAAACAAAAAAAAACATCATGTTGGATTATCCAGTATATCCTCCTTATCTCAGCAGATTTCTGGTGGCCTTCACACAGGTTCTCTAGTGGTCCCTGGATTTCAGGGTCATAAGTAGTTTTTATACCAGTATCTTAAAAATAAATACAATGACCCGTGCTCCAGACCTACATATGTGAAGAGCTTTTTTTTTTTTTTTTTTTTTTTTTCCCTAGAAGGTGAAACCCACCCTGAGTCAGGGCACCTAGGAAAGGAAGCAGAATGCAGACGTCTTTTTTTTTTTTTGCTGTATCTCAGCCTATTGAGGGAGGTGTATTTTGGGAGACAGGAAAAAAACTTCCACTCAGGCAACATGGAGAGTTGTAATTTGCAGTGTCTTTACCATGTTACCTTATTTCAACTTGAACATCTAAGGTCTCATAGAGGATCTTCTGTGACCCTATGCTTCAGCCTCTTCTGTTACTTATACTCACAGGAAAGTTTCACTTTAAACACTCGAATTTACACTGTGTGAAATAATATGATTTGAGCACCAGAGGCAACTGTTTTATATGCTTCTGCAATGAACATCAACCACACATTTGTTTGGAGTATTCTTCATTTCAACCCTAACATTAACCACACATTTGTTTGGACTATACTTAATTTCAACCCTAACCTTAATGATAACTGACACATTTGTGAGACTTTTTAAAATAAAATATTGTCTGCTTTTAAAGGGATCAGTTTCCGTCACTGAACATATGGATCTTTTTCCAGGACATAATGTTTAATTATATTTGACTTTAGACTGGTGTCCCTCTCATGTGCCATTTTTGATGCTCTAACAAATTCTTCATTTGGATAAAGTCAGAATCACTCTCCCCACTTCTACAGTTTCTAATTATAATTCTTTCTGCCATCTTCAACCTAGTCCACTATCTGTCATCACTATGACACTGCTGCCCAACATAGTCATCATTCTTAGGTCTTGAATTCTTTTTCTGCATAGAAGATTTTTAACTCCTCCCTTATGTGTGTATATGCATGTATTTCAGTTCTCAAAAAAAAAAAAAAAACTGTCCACCAAGAATTCTATACTCATTGCATGTAAACTTCATATTCAATTGACAGAAAACTGAGATGCTTCATTAATAGCACGCAGACTTTATGGAAAATACTGGAAAACAGTTGTTCATATAAAGAGCAAATACTCCCAGAAAATAATTTATATGAATAAGAAAGACAAAGAGTACTGTTAAAGCAACTTGTAAGACAATTTTGTGACTATTTCCTGTTTTAACTGATTTTACAAACAAATATATGATGCTGTTTATAATAGTATCCTTGGTGCTAAGTCATATAGAAATTCAATGTAATTGCAAATAACAACCTAGGGGAGGTAGATAAAAGAAAAGGCATATTTGGCTAAAAAATATGTTCAGATAATAACTTGAATCCATAAACAATGAGAAAAAAATTGGAAAACAGGAAAACTTAACATTTCAAAATTGTAAATATGTAAATGTTCTTCTTTCTTCTTTATGCTTATTTAAAACAAACATATATAACCAAGTAACTGTTAAGAACAGGTTTTTCAATTTGTAGCATGTCTAAATGCAATAAGTATAACATTACTGCCACAAAAATGAGGAAAAGGGAAATAAAGATGTACAAGAGTGACATTTCTATAAGAAGAATATAGAAATAAGATGCAATATTTTAGTACCTGTATACATTGTGTAATAATCACATTAATATAATTAGCGTGTACCATTATCACATATCAATCACAAACAAAACAATACTTTAAAATAATACTGAAAATCCATTGTATAAATTAAAAGTCATAAGAAAAACTTTCACTTAATGGAAATAAAAAACAGTAAAGGTGAAATAAAGAATAAAAAAAGAACTAGAAAACAAAAAGTAAGTGTGCCCATGTGTTACAATCTCTCCAGTACACCACAACATAACAGTCTCTTATTGTGAAATATCGCCCATAGTTTTTTTGGTCAAAGGTGTTTCTATGTTAGTTCTAATTTACGTATCAGAGTAGTTCCAGGCATGCTTTTAGACACAAAGGACAAAGTCGTTTTTCTGTTGAGCCTCATTCTGTTTCGTGAGTAGCCAGAGGTTTGTGCTAGCGTCCTTATCTGTGCCTGCAGGCTGATTTTTCAGGCTGTTTCTCTGTTTAAAGAAGTTTAATCAAGACTCATCCTAACTACCTAATGTTTCTCTCTCACATGCACAATGGGTAAATATATGTAACTTCTATCTCATGTTCACCTTGAGGCAGGGTTTTAGCAATAAAGATAAGACAGAATTTTGCTTTTATATCAAAGGTGAATTATAGAATACAGAGATAGTTTGTGTATAATCTGTACAAGCTAATTGAAACTGGCAAGGGCCACAGTCTCTAATTGGAAGAGTGTTTGTAAGGTCACCCACTTTCCAGTCAGCATTTCAGTAATTTGGGTTTTAAATTTGAGTAAGGATGGGGGTCTGAAAATTTGACTAATGGCTCCTATTGTTAGAGAATATAATGAGAGTGTGTTTTGTCTTGTAGCTCTAAGAATTTAGAAATTTGCCATGCCATCCAGGCCATGAACTTTAAACTCACAGATAACTTTTGGTAACCTTAGTGCCCTTCTGAATTAATAAGAACACAAGTTAGATCACATCTAAGGAGAACTCACAGCAATAAATTTCTTTCTTAAAAATGAAGAAAAATCTCAAATCAATGGCTTAATATTTGTCAAAAACATTTAAGTGATAGTGAACTGCCAAGCAAACCTGGTGCAAAGGTTATGATTTGGAAAAAGTCATGCTGGAAAACTCTAGGAGGAAATACTGGAGAATAAGACCCTTGGAGGGAATTTCAGAGGCCCAAGGCAGAGGAGGACCAGGTTTGGTAAGGAAAGACCAAGGAAGATCTTCGGCTCTCACTAGTCTTTGACCTTCAAATTCTGCACAGAAAGTAAAGGCAAAGGCCAAGTACTTTCTGGCTGACTGGCAAAGGCCTGCCCCAAACACACACACACACACACACACACACACACACACACACACACACACAGCTTCAGGCCAATATCTCTGATGAACATAGATACAAATTAAATCTAGCAGCCTATCCAAAAGCTAATTGTTTATAGACAAGTAGGATTTATCCTTGGGATGCAAGGTTGATTCAATGTATGCATATTAATAAATCTGATTCATCACATAAACAAAACTAAAAATAAAGATGTGATTATCTCAATAGATGCATAGAAGGTTTTAGGTAAAATTTCACATACTGTTGGGTATGGTGGCTCATGTCTATAATCTCAATACTTTAAGAGGCCTAGGCAGGTGGATTACCTGAGGTCAAGAGTTCGAGATCAGCCTGACCAACATGGTGAAACCCTGTCTGTACTATAGATAAAAAAACTAACTGAGTGTGGTGGTGCATGCCTGTAATCCCAGCTACTTGGGGAACTGAGGCAGGAGAATTGCTTGAATCTGGGAGGTGAAAGTTGCGGAGCTGAGATCGTACCATTGCACTTCAGCCTGGGCAACAAGAGGAAAATTCCATCTCAAACAAAAAAAAAAAAAAAAAGGAATTTATATCCCTTTAGGTTGAAAACCCTCAACAAAGTATTATAAGAACATAACTTGTTTTATTAAGAGCAACTTTTGACAAATTCATAGTCAACATCATAGTGATGGAAAAAAAAGCTAGAAACATTCCCTCTGAAATCTAGAACAAGACCTGGATGCTCATTCTCACCACTTCTATTGAACCCAGTCCTGGAAATCATGGTAATCAGCCAAGAGAAAGAAATGGAAAACAGTCAAATAGAAAGAGAAGAAGTCATACTGATTTTCTTTACAGATTATGTAATTCTACACTGAGAAAATTCAATAGTCTCTGCCCAGAGGCTTCTAGAACTGACAAACAACTTCTGTAAAATTTCAGCATAAAAAAATGAACATAGATGCAAATTGAATCTAGCAGCCTATCCAAAAGAAATTCTACTGATATACAAAAATCAGTAGCAATTTCACAAAACAACTATTTCCAACTGAAAGCCGTAACAAGGAGGCAATTCTACTCACAATAGCCACATAAAGAATAAAATACCTAGAAACACAGATAACTAAGGAGATAAAAGATCTCTACAGTGAGAATTACAAAACACCTCAAAAGAAATTACAGATTACAAACAAATGAAAATGCTTTCCATTTTACTTTCCTATCCTATCCTTAATAGATAGGAAGCATCAATATTGATAAAATGGCCATACTGTTCAAAGCAATTTACAAATTCAATGCAATTCCTATCAAACTACCAGTCTCATTTTTTGCATAATTAAAAACAAATTCTAAAATGTATATAAAACCAAAAAAGAAGACCAAGCAGTCAAAGCAATTCTAAGGAAAAACAAACAGACAAACAGCTGGTACCGGTACAAAAATAAAGACCTAGACAAATGGAATAAGTTACAGTGACCAGAAATAAAGCTGCAAAACTATTTTGTCCAAGCCAAAAGTAACAAGCAATGAATAAACATCCTCCTATTCAATAAAGTGTTTGTGAATAACTGGCTAGCCATATGCAGAATATTGAAACTGAACTTCTTCATTTTAGTATGTACAAAAATAAAGTCAAGATAAATTAAAGAATTAAATGTAAGCCCTAAAACTAGAATAATCCTGGGAGAAAATCTAGGAAATGCCATTCTGGATTCCTAGGCAAATATTTCATGACAAAGTCTCCAAAAGTAGTTGCAGGAAAAACAAAAATGGACTTGAAGGACCTAATTATGTAAAAGAGATTCTTCAGAGCAAAAGAAGTTATCAACAAAATAAGCAGACAAACCTAGAGAATTGGGTAAAATATGCAAACTATCCATCCCACAAAGGACTGATACATAGAGTCTATAAGAAAATAAGAAAAATGTGGGCAAAGGATATAAGGAGACACTTCTCAAAAAATATATATATATATGCAGCCAACAAACATGAAAAAAAATTAAAAAGCTCAACATCCCTAATCATCAGAGAGAAGTAAATGAGACCCATAATGAGATACCATTTCCTGCTAGTTAGAATAAATATTATTCAAAATTCAAAAAATAACAGATGGTGGGGTTGTGGAGAAAAGAAAATGCTTATACACTGTTGGTGGAAATGCAAATTTTTAGTAGTTCAGCCACTGTGGAAAACTATTTGACATTTTCTCACAGAACTTAAACCAGAAGTACCATTTGACCTCCCCAAAAAACTCATTACTCAAAGTAATATAAATAGTTATACCCAAAAGTCACATGAACTAATGTGTTCGTTGCAGTACATTTGCAATAGCAAAGACATGGAATTACCGAAAATGCCCATCAAAGGTGGGCATTATACACAATGGACTACTGTGCAGCTATAAAATATATATCTCTATGTGTCCAACTTAGATGCAGCTGGAGGCTGTTATCCTGAGCACATTAAATGAGAAACCAAAAACCAAATACCATATATCTCATTTATAACTAAGAGCTAAACATTGAATACACATAGACACAAAAAGGTGAATACATCCTGGAACATACTTGAGAATGGAAGGTAGGAGGAGGGTAAGCGTTTAAAAAACTACTTATCAGGTACTGTCCTACTACCTGGTTGATGAAATTATTTGTAAATTAAACGTCACTGGCACAAAATTTATTCTGGTAACAAATCTGCACATCTACTCTTTGAACCTAAAATAAAAGTTAAAAAAAAATTAAATAAATAGGCTGAGTGTGGTGTCTCACATTTGTAATCCCAGCACTTTGAGAAGCCAAGGTGGGTGGATCACGAAGTCAGGAGATTGAGATCATCCCAGCCAGCATGGTGAAACCCATCTCTAGTAAAACATAGAAAATTAGCTGGGCATGTTAGTGAATTCCTGAAATCTGAGCTACTCAGGAGGCTGAGGCATGGGAATCACTTGAACCTGGAAGGCAGAGATTGCATTGAGCCAAAATAGTGCCACTGTACTCCAGCCTGGTGACACAGCAAGACTTCATCTTAAAAAAAAATAAAATTAAAAATAAATACATACATAAATAAATAAATAAATAGGAAGCATTATTTACTATAAAAAATTTTAGAATAAAAATCTTCAATTTTAAAATGGTTTTGCAAAGTAATATTCCTAATTCCTAACATTCAGTATGCGATTATGTACATTTATATATGAGAGAGTACAAATGTGGTAAGATACTAATGATTTGGAAACCTGGGTAAATAAAATATAAAATCTTAAAATACGTTTCTCATAATTTATCTGTAAATTTGAAATTCAAAATAAGTTACTACAGTTGGTCAATCCAAAATGGAGTAGTCATAATAATAATAAGGTAATTAATAAGTAAACCAAGGATGAAGGATATTTAGAGCTTCAGGAGGTAAGGCTATATAAAGTCTTTAGGGAGTGCAGCAAATTGAATTAAATTCTGAATTGTACATAGGGTTTTTATAATAAGAATAGAGGGAGAAAAAAGGGAGTTTCTGTTCACATAAACAATAACAAAATATTTTAGAAATGAAGACGTTGTGCTTGGAAAATCATAAGTAGACTGGGTAGGCTGGAGTGGAGAGCTCATGGTGAGAAATAAGTAGGAGATGGGTTGAAAATATGAAAGAGCTCAGAGCATGAATGGTGCATCAACATAAAGCAGAATAAATTAGGGTTTGACCTCATTTTCATTGGAGTTTACAGAGCAAAATTGCAAGAATAGCAAAATGGAGAGTAATTACTTCATTTATTAAAAATTTTATTTGTTGAGCTTTTTGTTTTTAATGCAACCTTAAGCAAGAAAATGTGTCAAGGAAAGCAAAATAGAGAATAATGACTTCGTTTTTTATTTTCTTTGTTCAGGTTTTTGTCTTTAAAGCAACTGTACCTAAGAAAATATGTCAATTAAAGCTTATCATCAGTTTAATGTTACTCTAAGACCCTCATTATTTTGGGACAACTTCATCTAGTAAATAAATATACATTACATACTTACTACAGTTTATTGAGCACTCTCAAACCAAAATTCACCTAAGCTTTTTAAACTTGCTCTTCTTTCTCAAGGAAAACTTCTTCCAAAAGGAAATTATATTTATTTCATTTCATTTCATTTATTATCTTTTTGGTTTTAAAGAAATAGCTGGGGGAGGAGCCAAGATGGCCGAATAGGAACAGCTCCGGTCTACAGCTCCCAGCCTGAGCGACGCAGAAGATGGGTGATTTCTGCATTTCCATCTGAGGTACCAGATTCATCTCACTAGGGAGTGCCAGACAGAGGGTGCAGGACAGTGGGTGCAGCACACCATGCACCAGCCAAAGCAGGGTGAGGCATTGCCTCACTTGGGAAGTGCAAGGGGTCAGGGAATTCCCTTTCCTGGTCAAGGAAAGAGGTGACAGACAGCACCTGGAAAATAGGGCCACTCCCATCTGGATACTGTGCTTTTCCAAAGGTCTTAGGAAATGGCACACCAGGAGATTATATCCCGCACCTGGCTCAGAGGGTCCTACACCCATGGAGTCTTGCTGATTGCTAGCACAGCAGTCTGAGATCAAACTGTAACATGGCAGCGAGGCTGGGGGAGGGGTGCACACCATTGCCCAGGCTCCCTTAGGTAAACAAAGCAGCCGGGAAGCTCCAACTGGTTGGAGCCCACCACAGCTCAAGGAGGCCTACCTGCCTCTGCAGGCTCCACCTCTGGGGGCAGGGCACAGAAAAACAAAAAGACAGGAGTAACCTCTGTAGACTTAAATGTCCCTGTCTGACAGCTTTGAGGACAGCAGTGGTTCTCCCAGCATGCAGCTGGAGATCTGAGAATGGGCAGACTGCCTCCTCAAGTGGGTCCCTGACCCCTGAACCCCGAGCAGCCTAACTGGGAGGCAGCCCCCAGTAGGGGCAGACTGACACCTCACATGGCCGGGTACTCCTCTGAGACAAAACTTCCAGAGGAATGATCAGACAGCAGCATTTGCGGATCACTAAAATCCGCGGTTCTGCATACACTGCTACTGATACCCAGGCAAACAAGGTCTGGAGTGGACCTCTAGCAAACTCCAACAGACCTGCAGCTGAGGGTCCTGTCTGTTAGA
This sequence comes from Homo sapiens, assembly GCF_000001405.40. Taxonomy (NCBI): domain Eukaryota; kingdom Metazoa; phylum Chordata; class Mammalia; order Primates; family Hominidae; genus Homo; species Homo sapiens. The sequence continues at coordinate 20,031,888 of NC_000024.10, forward strand.
AGGAAAACTAACAAACAGAAAGGACATCCGCACCAAAAACCCATCTGTACATTGCCATCATCGAAGACTAAAACTAGATAAAACCACAAAGACTGGGAAAAAAACAGAGCAGAAAAACTGGAAACTCTAAAAAGCAGAGTGCCTCTCCTCCTCCAAAGGAATGCAGTTCCTCACCAGCAATGGAACAAAGCTGGATAGAGAATGACTTTGACGAGTTGAGAGAAGAAGGCTTCAGATGATCAAACTACTCCGAGCTACAGGAGGAAATTCAAACCAAAGGCAAAGAAGTTGAAAACTTTGAAAAAAAATTTAGGCAAATGTATAACTAGAATAACCAATACAGAGAAGGGCTTAAGGGAGCTGATGGAGCTGAAAGCCAAGGCTCGAGAACTACGTGAAGAATGCAGAAGCCTCAGGAGCCAATGTGATCAACTGGAAGAAAGGGTATCTGTGATGGAAGATGAAATCAATGAAATGAACTGACAAGGGAAGTTTAGAGAAAAAAGAATAAAAAGAAATGAACAAAGCCTCCAAGAAATATGGGACTATGTGAAAAGACCAAATCTACATCTGATTGGTGTACCTGAAAGTGACGGGGAGAATGGAACCCAGTTGGAAAACACTCTGCAGGATATTATCCAGGAGAACTTCCCCAATCTAGCAAGGCAGGCCAACATTCAGATTCAGGAAATACAGAGAATGCCACAAAGATACTCCTCGAGAAGAGCAACTCCAAGACACATAATTGTCAGATTCACCAAAGTTGAAATGAAGGAAAAAATGTTAAGGGGAGCCAGAGAGAAAGGTCGGGTTACCCACAAAGGAAGCCCATCAGACTAACAGCGGATCTCTAGGCAGAAACTCAACAAGCCAGAAGAGAGTGGCAGCCAATATTCAACATTCTTAAAGAAAATAATTTTCAACCCAGAATTTCGTATCCAGCCAAACTACACTTTATAAATGAAGGAGAAATAAAATACTTTACAGACAAGCAAATGCTGAGAGATTTTGTCACCACCCAGCCTGCCCTAAAAGAACTCCTGAAGGAAGCACTAAATATACAAAGTCACAACTGGTACCAGCCACTGCAAAATCATACCAAAATGTAAAGACCATCGAGATTAGGAAGAAACTGCATCAACTCAAGAGCAAAATAACCAGCTAACATCATAATGACAGGATCAAATTCACACATAACAATATTAACTTTAAATGTAAATGGACTAAATGCTACAACTAAAAGACACAGACTGGCAAATTGGATAAAGAGTCAAGACCCATCAGTGGGCTGTATTCAGGAAACCCATCTCACGTGCAGAGACACACATAGGTTCAAAATAAAAGGATGGAGGAAGATCTACCAAGCAAATGGAAAACAAAAAAAGCCAGGGGTCGCAATCCTAGTCTCTGATAAAACAGACTTTAAACCAACAAAGATCAAGAGACAAAGAAGGCCATTACATAACACAAAAGGGGTCAATTCAACAAGAAGAGCTAACTATCCTAAATATATATGCACCCAATACAGGAGCACCAAGATTCATAAAGCAAGTCCTGAGTGACCTACAAAGAGACTTACACTCCCACACAATAATAATGGGAGACTTTAACATCCCACTGTCAACATTAGACAGATCAATGAGACAGAAAGTTAACAAGGATACCCAGGAATCGAACTCAGCTCTGCACCAAGTAGACCTAAGAGACATCTACAGAACTCTCCACCCCAAATCAACAGTATATACATTTTTTTCAGCACCACACCACACCTATTCCAAAACTGACCACATACTTGGAAGTAAAGCACTCCTCAGCTAATGTAAAAGAACAGAAATTATAACAAACTGTCTCTCAGACCACAGTTCAATCAAACTAGAACTCAGGATTAAGAAACTCATTCAAAACTACTCAACTACATGGAAACTGAACAACCTGCTCCTGAATGACTACTGGGTACATAATGAAATGAAGGCAAAAATAAGGACGTTCTTTGAAACCAATGAGAACAAAGACACAACATACCAGAATCTCTGGGACACATTCAAAGCGGTGTGTAGAGGGAAATTTATAGCACTAAATGCCCACAAGAGAAAGCAGGAAAGATCCAAAATTGACACCCTAACATCACAATTAAAAGAACTAGAAAAGCAAGAGCAAACACATTCAAAAGCTAGCAGAAGGCAAGAAATAACTAAAATCAGAGCAGAACTGAAGGAAATAGAGACACAAAAAACCCTTCAAAAAATTAATGAATCCAGGAGCTAGTTTTTTGAAAGGATCAACAAAATTGATGGACCACTAGCAAGACTAGTAAAGAAAAAAAGAAAGAAGAATCAAATAGACGCAATAAAAAATGATAAAGCGGATATCACCACCGATCCCACAGAAATACAAACTACTATCAGAGAATACTACAAACACCTCTATGCCAATAAACTAGAAAATCTAGAAGAAATTGATAAATTCCTTGACACATACACTCTCCCAAGACTAAACCAGGAAAAATTTGAATCTCTGAATAGACCAATAACAGGATCTGAAATTGTGGCAATAATCAATAGCTTACCAACCAAAAAGAGTCCAGGACCAGATGGATTCACCGCCAAATTCTACCAGAGGTACAAGGAGGAACTGGTACCATTCCTTCTGAAACTATTCCAATCAATAGAAAAACAGGGAATCCTCCCTAACTCATGTTATTAGGCCAGCATCATCCTCATACCAAAGCTGGGCAGAGACACAACCAAAAAAGAGAATTTTAGACCAATATCCTTGATGAACATTGATATAAAAATCCTCAATAAAATTCTGGCAAACTGAACCCAGCAGCACATCAAAAAGCTTATCCACCATGATCAAGTGGGCTTCATCCCTGGGATGCAAGGCTGGTTCAATATACACAAATCAATAAATGTAATCCAGCATATAAATAGAACCAAAGACAAAAACCACATGATTATCTCAATAGATGCAGAAAAGGCCTTTGACAAAATTCAACAATGCTTCATGCTAAAAACTCTCAATAAATTCGGTATTGATGGGATGTTTTTCAAAATAATAAGAGCTATCTATGACAAAACCACAGCCAATATCATACTGAATAGGCAAAAACTGGAAGCATTCCCTTTGAAAACTGGCACAAGAAAGGGATGCCCTCTCTCACCTCTCCTATTCAACATAGTGTTGGAAGTTCTGGCAAGGGCAATTAGGCAGGAGAAGGAAACAAAGGGTATTCAATTAGGAAAAGAGGAAGTCAAATTGTCCCTGTTTGCAGATGACATAATTGTATATCTAGAAAACCCCTTGTCTCAGCCCAAAGTCTCCTTAAGCTGATAAGCAACTTCAGCAAAGTCTCAGGATACAAAATCAATGTACAAAAATCACAAGCATTCTTATACACCAATAACAGACAAACAGAGAGCCAAATCATGAGTGAACTCCCATTCACAATTGCTTCAAAGAGAATAAAATACTTAGGAATCCAACTTACAAGGGACGTGAAGGACCTCTTGAAGGAGAACTACAAACCACTGCTCAATGAAATAAAAGGGGATACAAACAAATGGAAGAACATTCCATGCTCATGGGTAGAAAGAATCAATATCATGAAAATGGCCATACAGCCCAAGGTAATTTATAGATTCAATGCCATCCCCATCAAGCTACCAATGACTTTCTTCACAGAGTTGGAAAAAAATACTTTAAAGTTCATATGGAACCAAAAAACAGCCCGCATCACCAAGACAATCCTAAACCAAAAGAACAAAGATGGAGGCATCACGCTACCTGACTTCAAACAATACTACAAGGCTACAGTAACCAAAACAGCACGGTACTGGGACCAAAACAGAGATATAGATCAATGGAACAGAACAGAGTCCTCAGAAATAATGCCACATATCCACAACTATCTGATCTTTGATGAATCCAAGAAAAACAAGCAATGGGGAAAGGATTCCCTGTTTAATAAATTGTGCTGGGAAAACTGGCTAGCCCTATGTAGAAAGCTGAAACTGGATCCCTTCCTTACAACTTACACAAAAATTAATTCAAGATGGATTAAAGACTTAAACATTAAACTTAAAACCATAAAAACCCTAGAAGAAAACCTAGGCATTACCATTCAGGACATAGGCATGGGCAAGGACTTCATCTGTAAAACACCAAAAGCAATGGCAACAAAAGCCAAAATGACAAATGTGATGTAATTAAACTAAAGAGCTTCTGCACAGCAAAAGAAACTACCATCAGAATGAACAGGCAACCTACAAAATGGGAGAAAATTTTTGCAACCTACTCATCTGACAAAGGGCTAATATCCAGAATCTACAATGAACACAAACAAATTTACAAGAAAAAAACAACCCCATCAAAAAGTGGGCAAAGGATATGAGCAGATACTGCTCAAAAGAAGACATTTATGCAGCCAACAGACACATGAAAAAATGCTCATCATCACTGGCCATCAGAGAAATGCAAATCAAAACCACAGTTAGAATGGCAATCATTAAAAAGTCAGGAAACAACAGGTGCTGGAGAGGATGTGGAGAAATAGGAACACATTTACACTGTTGGTGGGACTGTAAACTAGTTCAACCATTGTGGAAGTCAATGTGGTTATTCCTCAGGGATCTAGAACTAGAAATACCATTTGACCCAGCCATCCCATTACTGGGTATATACCCAAAGGACTATAAATCATGCTGCTATAAAGATACATGCACACGTATGTTTATTGCAGCACTATTCACAATAGCAAAGCCTTGGAACCAACCCAAATGTCCAACAATGAAAGACTGGATTAAGAAAATGTGGCGCATATACACCATGGAATACTATGCAGCCATAAAAAATGATGAGTTCATGTCCTTTGTAGGGACATGGATGAAATTGGAAATCATCATTCTCAGTAAACTATCACAAGGACAAAAAACCGAACACCGCATGTTCTCACTGATAGATGGGAATTGAACAATGAGAACAGATGGACACAGGAAGGGGAATATCACACTCTGGGGACTGTTGTGGGGTGGGGGGAGGTGGGAGGGATAGCATTAGGAGATATAACTAATGCTAAATGACAAGTTAATGGGTGCAGCACACCAGCATGGCACATGTATACGTATGTATGAAACCTGCACATTGTGCACATGTACCCCAAAACTTAAAGTGTAATAACAATAAAAAAAAGAAAAAAAAGAAATAGCTTTAGGTTTTAATTTTAGAAACAATTAAGAATTCAGACTTATTTATTTATGATAAGGATAGTTTTGGTTTGTTTGTTTTTTTTTAATCCAAATCTAGTTACAGATTTTCCTTGCAAATTTCTCCACAAGTGTTTTTTTAAAAGAGGTGTTTAAAGTTCTTAGAGACCCTGCAAAGAGACAGACTCCAACACAATAATAGTGGAACACCATGGCTGGGTGCGGTGGCTCATGGCTGTAATCCCAGCACTTTGGGAGGACAAGGCAGGTAGATCACAAGGTCAGGAGATGGAGACTATCCTGGCTAACACAGTGAATCCCCATCTTTACTAAAAATACAAAAAAATTAGCCGGATATGGTGGCATGCGCCTGTAGTCCCAGCCAACTCGGGAGGCTGAGACAGGAGATATGCTTAAACCCAGGAGGTGGAGATTACAGTGAGCCAAGACCACACCACTGTACTCCAGCCTGGGTTACAGAGTAAGAGTCTGTCTCAAAAGAAAAACAAATAATAGGACACCCTAACTCATCACTGTCAGTATTAGACAGAGCATTGAGATAGAAAATTAACAAAGATATTCAGAACTTTAACTTGTTCCTCGATCAAGTGGACCTAGTAGATATCTACAGAAATCTTCACTCATAACAACAGAATAATTCACCTCATCACCACATGGCGCTTACTCTAAAACTGATGATACAATTCAAAGAAAAACAATCCTCAGTAAATGTGAAAGTACTGAAATCATAATGAAGAGTGACTCAGATGACTGCACAATTAAATTAGAACTCAGGAGTAAGAAACACACTCAAAACCATAAAACTACATAGAAATTGGCAGAAGATGAGAAATAATCAAGATTAGAGCAGAACTGAAGGAGACAGAGATTGAAAAACCCTCCAGAGGATCAGCAAACCCAGGATCTTTTTTTTGACAAAAAGCAATAAAACATAGACTGCTAGCTAGACTAATAAAGAAGAAAAGGGAGAAGAATCAGACACAATAAAAAATAATAAAGGGGATATCACCAGTGATCCCACAGAAATACAAACAACTATCAGAGAATATTATAAACAATTATATGCAAATAAACTGGAAAATCTAGAAGAAATTGATAAATTCCTGGGCCCACATACCCCCTACCCCCAAGATTGAATCAGGAAGTTAAATCCCTGAATAAGCTCTGAAATTGGGTCAGTAATAAACAGACAGCAACCAAAAAAATCTCAGGACCAGATGGACTTACAGCTGAATTCTACCAGAGGTACAAAGAAGAACTGGTACCATTTCTATTAAAACTATTTCAAAAAATTGGAAAACATTAACTCATTCTATAATGCCAACATTATTCTGGTAGGAAAATATGACAGAGATCCAAAAAAAAAAAAAGAAGAAGTAGGAAAACTTCAGGCCAATATCCCTGATAAACATTAATGCAAAAATCCTTGATGAAATACAGGCAAACCAAACCCAGCAGCACATCGAAAAACTTATTCAAAACAATCAAGTTGGCTGTATCCTTGGGATGCAAGGTTGTTTCAACATATGCAAGTTAATAAATGTAAATTTATTACATAAACAAAAAAAGTCTAAAATTACAAGATTATCTCAATACATGCAGAAAAGTCCTGTGATAAAATTCAACACCCCAGTCATGTTAAAAACTCTAATAAACTAGGTAATGAATGAACGTACCTCAAAATAATAAGAGCCATTATGTCAAGTCCATAGCTAATATCATACTGAATGGGCAAAAGCTGAAAACATTCCCCTTGAAAACTGGCACAAGATAAGGATGCCTTGTCTCACCACTCCCTTTCAACATAGTGTTGGAAGTTCTAGGCAGGGGAATCAGGCAAGAGAAAAAATTAAATTGTATTCAAATTGCAAGAGAGGAAGTCAAATTTTCTCTGTTTGCAGATGATGTAATTCTATATTTGTAAAACCCCATATTTCAGCCCAAAAGCTTCTGAGCTGATAAGCAACTTCAGCAAAGTCTCAGGATACAAAATCAACATGCAAAAATTATAAGCATTCCTATCCATCAACAACAGACAAGCTGAGAACCAAATCATAAGTGAACTCCCATTCACAATTACTACAAAGAGAATAGAACACCTAGAAATACAGCTAACAAGGGAAGTGAAGGACCTTTTCAAGGAAAACTACAAACCAATGTTCAAGGAAATGAGAGAGGACACAAACAAATGAAAAAACATTCATATATAGAAAAAAATCAGTATCATGAGAATGGCCATACTGCCCAAGGTAATTTACAAATTTAGTGCCTTTCCATTAAACTGTCATTAACGTTTTTCACAGGATTAGAATAATAGTTTAAAAATTCATATCGAACAAATAAACAGCCCATAGAGTCAAGCCAATCTTAAGCGAAAAGAACAAAGATAGAGGCATCACACTACCTGACTTCAAACTACACAACAAGGCTATAGTCACCCAAATAGCATGCTGCTGACACAATTACAGATGCATAGCCTAATGGAAAAGAATAAAGATCTCTTAAATAAAACTCATATCTATAACCATCTGATCTTTGACAAACTTGACAAAAACAAGCAAGGGGAAAGAATTTCTTATTTAATAAGTGATGCTGGGAGAACTGGCTAGCCATATGCAAAAATTGAAATCTGGCCTCTTCCTTACACCTTATATAAAAATTAACAAAGATGGATTAAAGACTTAAATGTAAAACCCAAGATTATGAAAACCCTAGAAGAACAACTAGGGAATACCTTTTAGGACATAGGCACAGTCAAAGGTTTCATGACAAAAATATCAACAGCAATTGCAATAAAAGCAAAGATTGACAAATGGGATCTAAATAAGCTAAAGAGCTTCTGCAAAGTAAAAGAAACTATCATCACATCATAACAGTAAACGTCAACCTACAGACTAGGAGGAAATTTTTGCAACCTATTTAATTGCCTGAGGTCTAATGTCCAGAGTCTACAAGGAACTTAAACAAATTTACAAGGAGAAAAAAAAATTACAAAGAGGGAAAAAGACACAAACAGACACTTCTCAAAAGAAGATATTTATGTCCCCACCAAAGATATGAATAAAAGCTTAACATCACTAATCATTAGAGAAATGCAAATCAAAACGACAATGAGATACCATCTCACACCATTCAGAATGGCAATTATTAAAAAGTAAAGAAACAACAAATGCTGGTGAGGATGCGGACAGATAGGAACACTTTTACACTGTTGGTGGGAAGGTAAATTACTTTATACATTGTTGAAGACAGTATGGTAATTCCTCAAAGACCTAGAAGCAGAAATGCCATTTGACCCAGCATTCAGAGAAATATAAGTTATTTTATTATAAAAGTACATGCACATGTACGTTCATGACAGTGATATTCACAATAGCAAAGACATGGGGTTAACCCAGATGCCCATCAACTATAGGCTGCATAAATAAAATATGGTACACATATACAATGGAATACTATGCAGCCGTGAAAAGGAATTAGATTATGTCCTTTACAGGGACATGGATGGAGCTGGAAGCCATTATCCTGAGCAAACTAATACTGGAACAGAAAATCAAACACACATGTCCTTACTCATAAGTGGGAGCTGAAAAATGAGGACACATGGACACAGTGGGGGAACAACACACACTGGGGTCTGGGCTGGGGTAGAGGTAGGGAGAGCATGATGCATGAGGGGTTTAATACTTAGATGATGAGTTGATAGGTGCAGTAAACCAACATGGCACACATTATTCTATGTAAAAAAATGTACATCATGCCCATGTACCTCAGAACTTAATTTTTTTTAAAAGATATTTATTATCTATCCCTTTCCTTATTCATCATTGCCCATAGAGAGTCCAAAGGCTTCCCATGGTAGTGGGTGAGGTGTGAAGGGGCAGGTTATGCCTACTACCTGAGAAATAGAAGAGTTTATTATTATTATTATTTTTATTATTATTATTATTCTTAGAAAGTTTATTTACAAAAGTTGTATTTACTTACACAATTTCCAGTTCTTATTCACTTATTGCCTTACCTACAGTTATTTTTAAAGTATGGAGTCAAATATACATTATAAAGCAATGTCTCAAAGTTGATTTTTTATTCTTGGTGCAAATAGCTAAAAATTGTTTTGATAGTACTTATTGAGTGAGCATTCATCTTCTGTTTGATTGATGAGGCCCTTCTCACTTCCTACCTTATTACTATGCATAATTCTGCACTATTGCTTATTTCTAATGATCTATCCCACACGTTATATCATTACCACAAAATGCACTAAAATATTAAATGTATGTTTTCATTTCTTAGCAAATACATTTGTTTCATTCTTTTAATAGCTGTTCTCACACATTTGTTTATCCTAAATATCTTTAGAAACAATTTTTTTAAGTTCCAGAATAGAGGCGTAAATTTTTCTTGGAATTGAATTTTGCTATAATTTAAATTGGAAATAAGAAAAAATGAATAAAGTCTGTGTTTTTTAGATTGTGTTTCTACTCAGGATGAAGTACATTCAAGAAAATTGCACTTGCATAAAATATGGAAGGTGGTTGTTAAGTGGATGCTCTTCTCTCTGTGATGGTGATGGTTTTCAGCTCCATCAGGTCATTTAAGGACTTCTCTACACTGTTTATTCTAGTTAGCCATTCACCTAATCTTTTTCAAGGTTTTTAGTTTCTTTGCGACGGGTTTGAACATCCTCCTTTTGCTCAGAGAAGTTTGTTATTACTGATTGTCTGAAGCCTTCTCCTCTCAAATTGTCAAAGTCATTCTCTGTCCAGGTTTGTTCCAATGCTGAGAAGGAGCTGTGTTCCTTTGGAGGAGAAGCGGCACTCTGATTTTTTGTATTTTTAGCTTTTCTGCTCTGGTTTCTCCCCATTTTTGTGGTTTTATCTACTTTTGGTCTTTGATGATGGTGATGTACAGATGGGGCTTTGGCGTGGATGTCCTTTCTTTTTGTTAGTTTTCCTTCTAACAGTCAGGACCCTCAGTTGCAGGTCTGTTGGAGTTTGCTAGAGGTCCACTCCAGACGCTGTTTGCCTGGTTATCACCAGTAGAGTCTGCAGAACAGCAAATATTGCAGAACGGCAGATGGTGCTGCCTGATCCTGCCTCTGGTAGCTTCATCTCAGAGGGGCACCCAGCTGTATGAGGTGTCAGTTGGCCCCTACCACCAGGTGTCTCCCAGTTAGGCTACTCAGGGTTCAGAGACCCACTTGAGGAGGCATACTGTCCGTTCTCAGATCTCAAACTCTGTGCTGGGAGAACACTACTCTCTTCAAAGCTGTCAGACAAGGATGTTTAAGTCTGCAGAAGTTTCTGCCTCCTTTTGTTCAGCTGTGCCCTGCCCCCAGAGGTGGTGTCTACAGAGGCAGGCAGGTCTCCTTGAGCTGCAGTGGGCTACATCCAGTTCCAGCTTCTAGGCTGCTTTGTTTACCTTTTCAAGCCTCAGCAATGGTGGATGCCCCCCCGATCTTTGCTGCCACCTTGCAGTTCCATCTCAGACTGCTGTGCTAGCAGTGAGCAAGGCTCTATGGGTATGGGACCCTCTGAGCCATGCGCAGGATATAATCTCCTGGTGTGCTATTTGCTAAGTCCACTGGAAAAGCACAGTATTAGGGTGTGAGTGTCCTGAATTTCCAGGTACTGTCTGTCATGGTTTCCCTTTGCAAAGAAAGGGAATTCCCCAACCCCTTGTGCTTCCCGGATCAGGTAATGCTGTGCCCTTCTCTGTGGGCTGCACCAACTGTCTGACAAGCCCCAGTGAGATGAACCCAGTACCTCAATTGGAAATGCAGAAATCACCTGTCTTTTGTATTGTTCACGCTCAGAGCCGCAGACTGGAGCTCTTCCTATTCAGCCATCTTGGAACCACCAAGGACAGTTGCTCCTTTCTCCATTACTCTGTCCCAGGTTGATGGGGGTTTTATATCTATAAGTCCCTGACTGGGGCTGCTGCCTTTTTTTCTGTGATGCCCTGCCCAGAGAGGAGAAATCTGGCAGTCCAGCCACAGCAGCCTTGTTGAGCTGCAGTGGACTTAGCCCAGTTTGAACTTCCTGGCAGCTTTGTTTACACTGTGAACATAACACCACCAACTCAAGCCTCAGCAATAGTGGACGCCCTTCCCCCATCCAAGCTCAGGCATCCCAGTTTGATCTCAGACTGCTGTTGTGCTGGCAGTGAGAATTTCAAGCCAGTGGATGTTAGTTTCCCGGGCCCCATGGGGGTGGCACCTGCCAAGCCAGGCCACTTGGCTCCCTAGCTTCAGCACCTGTTTCCAGAGAAGTGAACAGTTCTGTCTCACTGACATTCTAGGCACCTCGGGGTATGGATTAAAAAAAAACAAAACAAAAAAAACCTCCTACCGCTAGTTCGATGTCTGCCCAAATGGCTGCCCAGTTTTGTGCTTGAAACCCAGGGCCCTGGTGGGGTAGGCACCACAGGGAATATCCTGGTTTGTGGGTTGCAAAGACTGTGGGACAAGGGCAGTATCTGGGCTGGAGTTCTTGGTTCCTCAGGCTCGGTCCCTCATGGCTTCCCTTGGGTAGGGGAGAAAATTCCCTGACCCCTTGCACTTCCTGAGTGAGGTGACATCCTACCCTGCTTTGGCTCCTCCTCCATGGGCTGCATCCACTCTCCAACAAGTCAAAGTGACACGAACCGGGTACCTAATTTAGAAATGCAGAAATCACCCACCTTCTGTATCAATCTGGCTGGGAACTGCAGAGCAGAGCAATTCCTATTTGGCCATCTTGATCAGTAGACCAGTATATTATTTTTAAATAACCATAGTGGATAAAAGTTTCTAATCAAAAGTGTCCAAAAATGTAAGAGAGAAAAAAAGTAAAAGTGTTGAAATGTTAGCATATCAGAAGGACTATTAGCTAATACTTTTTCAATTGTTTTGGTAATTCATAAGGATTAGCATAAAAGTTTATTCAATTCAACTGTGTACCTATAATTGAGTAGTTTGTGTATGTTCATAGTATCAATGAAATAGAAAAGGACAGAGTGCAGAATAAAGAGATAATTTCAAAAGAGTGAGGTCTCAGTATAGTGAGAGCACAAATAGTGTGTATACTAGAAGGGTGAGACTGTGGATATGTTTATGTTTTTTTAATCCCTTGGTGTAGAAAATAATGCAAAGGCTGGTGTATCAAGAATTTATATGTGATAGCTAAGGTTTATCCAGAGTAAGAGGATAAAATAAAACAAGAAAAAAGATGTGTGGTAAATTTGACTGCTAAAGAATGAATATTGATGAGGTAAGATTCTTTAGCTTTTTTTCCAGATACATATTTTTAAACTTCTTCTGTCATTAGGAAGAAAAATTTTTCCACTCATGTTATCGGACTCTCAGTCAACACCTTTCTCCTTTTCCTCTAAATCTTCATACTCCTCAAATGCAGGCCTAAGCTCCATGTTGTGATCACCTTTCACTTGGCATTCACCCATGTAATGATGCTCCTCACTGCAGCATTTTTCTTCAGGCCTCTTTGAGTCCAATGTGATCATCTCAACAGCAGAAAACACATTCTCCAGTGAGCTTCATTATCAGAGGAATGTTTTTTATTGTGAAAGAAATTCTTCCAGAATGTATTCTGTGTAGGAATCTTGTTACTTTCAAGTGCATACATGGTGATTCTCTTTTCCAGGCATACAGGCAATTTCAGAACATTCAGAACCAAACTCTCCACCAAAATGTCCCCAGAGAACAGAGCCAACCAGACCATTCTGTGCTGGTCAGTTTCTGTTTGATCACGTACTGAGTGAATATCATTAGTTTGTCTTTTCTAACCATGTTGTGAGCCTACAACCCAGTCACCCTGGAAATTTGAAAGCTGATTCTCAATCTCTATGTACTGTCTGTCCTTTGTACAAATCAGTTCTGATAAAATAATGACAAATATTCTGTAAAATGTACATAGTGCCACTCATTTTTCATAAAGCTTTACTGGACAAAATTCTTCTGAAAAGAAACTGATTACTCTGCTGTGAGTTAAACTATTCATGTAGCATATAGTTTTTTAACTGACTTAGGTAAAACACGTAAAGAAAAATTTCATTATATCTAAATACTTTCAGTGCTGCTAGAGACTATTTAGTTTCTTTAGTTCAATGTCCACTCAGATTTACTGTTACTAATTCAAATCTTTTACTATTTTGTTTTTATTTTTAATTTTATAAAAAAGAACTTTTTTTCTCATTTTTTATTAAAGCTAGGATTTTGCTCTGTAGCATAGGCTGGAGGACAGTGGCACAATCACAGCTTACTGCATCCTTGACATCCCAGGCAAACACGACACTCCCACCTCACCTTTCTGAGCAACTGGGACTACAAGCATGTGCTACCAAGTCCAGCTAATTTTTACATTTTTTGTAGAGATGGAGTTTTGCCATGTTGCCCACTCTTCCCTGGAAATCTTGGCCTCAAGCAATCCCGCCCCTCAGTCTCCTAAAGTGCTTGGATTGCAGGCATAAGCCAGTGTGCCGAGAATTCTACATTTTAAGTACTTTTTAAACTTATTTTTCTTTTTCAAACATAATGCTTTTCTGAATTCAAAAATTTATATATTTTTTTCTGAAACTAGAAAAAAAATTTTACTGAATAGTTAATTTAAAAATATTGATTATTTTTATTTTAGAAGGATAAATCCCTATGAATGTTGACTTTAATGATTTTAATATATCCTAGAGAAACAACTAGATTACATTTATTTTATTTCATTCTACTCTTCATATGTGTATAATTTTATTTGTATTTTTTATTAACTTTTCTTCTTTTAGTGTACTTAACTATATTGTGTTCAATATTCTGGTTCATTAATATTCTCATTGACTCAAGAGTAATCTAACATTTACCTATATGTTATATATTAAGTAGATTAGTCACACTTTCAGTTGTTTATATTTGACTGTTTTCTAAATATGGCTTACTGGGCTATGGTTTCTTGATCTTTTCACATTGTTATTATTTTTCTGTTGCATTGGCTTGAACACATTGAATATGAGTCTTATAACTGGTGTAATATAAGTTGTAATTTGGTTCTCACTTATGGGTGATATCACAATTGTAATGTGATTCATTTACGCCTGATGCTTTTTGGTTTTCTCCATTTGCCTTATGGATGGTTGGACAACCCACATGGATTTGACATCTGTGTAATCATATCTAAGAGGATAACTTGTTTTGTAGTTTGACCACTTTCTTGATTTTTTTTTTTTGTTTACTTAGGTACCTAGAATGTTCTCATGTTTTTCTTTTAACTCTGTTGAGCATTTTAAAGATAGTTACAACTTTCTGAGAAGTTGAGCTTTTCAAATTTAAAAATTTTAGAATCTGTAGTACTTTTCCAAAAGGTCAAAATATGGAGAGTGCACACATGAGGAAAATATTTCACATTTTTAATAACATGTAACAGCGTGTCATGAGAAATTTCAAATATTTTATTTAGAACTCTTCTAAATATTCTGCAAAGTAATAATAATTTGTGGCATGGTTTTTTTATACTAGAAAATTGATTTTATATTTTTCACAAATTTCTGAAATAAAAATACTCCTCTGCAGAGAATAGCACCTACATATGACCAGAATTACTATTTTTCTCTGCCATTACACTAAAATTAGCAGAATTATTTACCTGAATTCAAGTTTTTGGCTTCCGATACTATGCTTCTTCTTTAACACTTTTCTGAGTTTATAAAAATCTCAATTTGAATTCTCTGTTTATTCATAACTTAATTTCAAAAATCATTATGGGCTGGGTGTGGTGGCTCACGCCTGTAATCCCAGCACTTTGGCCGAGGCCGATGCAGGTGGATCAGGAGGTCAGGAAATTGTTACCATCCTGGTTAACACGGTGAAACCTCCTGTCTACTACAAAAAAAAAAAAAATACAAAAAATTAGCCGGGCAGATGGCAGGCACCTGTAGTCCTAGCTACTTGGGAGGCTGAAGCAGGAGAATGGCATGAACCCGGGAGGTGAAGCATGCAGTGAGCCGAGATCACGCCACTGCACTCCAACCTGAGTGACAGAGCAAGACTCTGTTTCAAATAAAATAAAATAAAATAAAATAAAATAAAATAAAATAAAATAAAATAAAATAAAATAAAATAAAACAAAAATAAATAAATGAAAATAAAAATCATGAAATTTGTATGTGATGACATATTACTTATTGGTTACACATTAAAAATTACTGTTGTTATTTACAATTCTCAGAAAATATATTCTGCTTAGTTTCAGCTATTAAATTCAATGGCATATTGCAAACTTAAAATATTTCCATTCAAATTACTTGTGTCTGGTATTTGAATATAATGGAGATCATTTGTGTATTGGTCAAAAACTATGCTCATTTGTTTCTATGCCTAATTAGTTTATAATAATTCATGTTTATTTAGTTGAATAACAAAACAGTTAATTTCTATAAGTGCACAAAATCTTAATTAGACAAGAAGAATAAGATTTAGTTATCAGTTGCACAAAGTAATGAATATAATACATAATACGTATTGTGCTTTTCAAAATTGCTATGAAGAGTGGATTGTAAATGTTTTCAATACAAAAATTGTGAGGATAAGTGATAATGAATTTCTTAGTTTCATTTAATCATTTACAACATAAACTATCAAAATATGACACTCCATTAAAAATTTATACAATTGTTTTCAGTTAAAAAGATAATTTTTAAAAAGATATCAACTTTTTCATCTTTGATTTACCCTATTTAAACTTAGATATTAAGAATAGTGTTTAACATATTATATATGTTAAATAATAACTATTCTGATTGTCAAATTATATTTTATTCATAGCACTCTACACAACCAAAGACAAAAACCACATGATTATCTCAATAGATGCAGAAAAGGCCTTTGACTAAATTCAACAGCCCTTCATGTTAAAAACTCTCAATAATTTAGGTATTGATGGGAGTATCTCTAAATAATAAGAGCTATCTATGACAAACCCACAGCCAATATCATACGGAATGGGCAAAAAGTGGAAGCATTCCCTTTGAAAACTGGCACAAGACAGGGATGCCCTCTCTCACCACTCCTATTCAACATAGTGTTGGAAGTTCTGGCCAGGGCAATCAGGCAGGAGAAAGAAATAAATGGTATTCAATTAGGAAACGAAGAAGTCAAATTGTCCCTGTTTGCAGATGACATGATTGTATAGTTAGAAAACCCCATTGTCTCAGCCCAAAATCTCCTTAAGCTGATAAGCAACTTCAGCAAAGTCTCAGGATACAAAATCAATGTGCAAAAATCACAAGCATTTCTATACACCAATAACAGACAAACAGAGAGCCAAATCATGAGTGAACTCCCATTCACAATTGATTCAAAGAGAATAAAATACCTAGGAATCCAACTTACAAAGGATGTGAAGGCCCTCTTCTAGGAGAACTACAAACCACTGCTCAATGAAATAAAAGAGGACACAAACAAATGGAAAAACATTCTGTGCTCATGGATAGGAAGAATCAATATCATAAAAATGGCCATACTGCCCAAGGTAATTTATAGATTCAAAGCTATCCCCATCAAACTACCAATGACTTTCTTCACAGAATTGGAAAAAACTACTTTAAAGTTCACATGGAACCAAAAAAGGCCCAACATTGCCAAGATAATCCTAAGCCAAAAGAACAAACCTGGAGGCATCACACTACCTAACTTCAAACTATACTATAAGGCTATAGTATCTAAAACAGCATGGTACAGATATATAGAACAAACAAAGCCTACAGGAAATATGTAACTATGTGGAATGACCAGATCTACAGTTGACAGGTTGTACCTGAAAGTGATGGGGAGAATGGAGCCAAGTTGGAAAACACTCTTCAGGATATTATCCAGGAGAACTTCCCCAACCCAGCAAGGCAGGCCAACATTCAAATTCAGGAAATACAGAGAACACCACAAAGATACTCCTTGAGAAGAGCAACTCCAAGACAAATAATCGTCAGATTCACCAAGGTTGAAATGCAGGAAAAAGTGTTAAAGGCAGCCACAAAGAAATGTTGGGCTACCCACAAAGAGAAGCTCAACAAACTAATAGCAGATGTTTCTGTAGAAACACTTCAAGCCAGAAGACAGTAGGCGCCAATATTCAACATTCTTAAAGAAAATAATTTTCAAGCCAAAATTTCATATGTAGCCAAACTAAACTTCAAAAGTGAAGGAGAAATAAAATCCTTTACAGGCAAGCAAATGCAGAGAGATTTTGTCACCACCAGGCCTCTCTTACAAGAGCTCCTCAAGGAAGCACTAAACATGGAAAGGAACAACTGGTACCAGCCACTGCAAAAACATACCAAATTGTAAAGAACATCAACATTATGAAGAAACTGCATCAACTAACGGGCAAAACAACCAGCTAACATAATAATGACAGGAATAAATTCACATTTAACAATATTAATCTTAAATGTAAATGAGCTAAATGCCCCAATTAAAAGACACAGAATGGCAAATTGGATAGAGTCAAGACCCATCAGTGTGCTGTATTCAGGAGACCCATGTCTCGTGCAAAGATACACACGGCCTCAAAATAAAAGGATGGAAGAATATTTACCAAGCAAATGGAAACCAAAAAAACAAGAGCTGCAATCCTGATCACTGATAAATCAGACTTTAAACCAACAAAGATCAAAAGAGACATAGAAGGCTATTACATAACGGTAAAGGGATCAATCCAGTAAGGGAGCTAACTATCCTAAATATATGTGCACACAATACAGGAGCACCCAGATTCATAAAGCAAGTTCTTAGAGAGCTACAGAGACTTGGCCTTCACACAATAATAGTGGGAGATTTTAACATCCTATTGTCAATATTAGACAGATAAATGAGGCAGAAAATTAGCAAGGATATTCAGGACATGAACTCAGCTCTGGACCAAGCAGACCTAATAGATTTCTACACAACTCTCCACCCCAAATCAATAGAATATACATTCTCCTCAGGAGTTCCTCGGACTTATTCTAAAATTGACCACATAATTGGAAGTAAAACACTCCTCAGCCAATACAAAAGAATGGAAATCATAACACTCTCTCAGACCACAGTGCAATCAAATTGGAACTCACAATTAAGAAACTCACTCAAAACCGCACAACTACGTGGAAACTGAACAGGCTGCTTCTGAATGACTACTGGGAATACAATGAAATGAAGGCAGAAATATTTTCCTTGAAACCAATAAGAACAAAGGCACAATGTGTCATAATCTCTGGGACACATATAAGGCACTTTTTAGAGGAAAATTTATAGTACTAAATGCCCATAAGAGAAAGGAGGAAAGATCTAAAATTGACACCCTTCTAATGTTGTTGGGTAAAATAGAGACATGAGTGTCCTATCAAATTAATTTAATTCAGTGCTTAGATAAATGCAGTTTAATGGCACAAGAAAACAGAAAAACAACATAAATTCAAATTTTTCTGAGATGTAAATGTGTCCAATTAAAATTATAATTTGAAGGTCATGAAAACAATGCAGAAATGTTGACAATTAGTCTTACTTTGTCCTATTCATAAATGACTGAGATAGAACATTGCACTGAAACCACTTAATATGTACTTATAAAAGATATAATGTGCAGTTGAAATGTTGTTAATGTAAAACTCCAAAACTTGAGCCAGTAAATAAACATTTGTTTTAACTCCCAGAACCAAACAATGGATAGATTTATCAACATGCATTTTCACCCTCAGTTCACTGTGGTTCTGTTGTCATGATGGAACCAGAAAAAAAGTATCAGGACTTAAAAGTGTAATGGCTTTCATATTTTGAAGACTATGGTTTTCCTGTATAATACTTGAACTTGGCCTAATAAGATGTGTGCAATTGCTTAAAAACTACAGTTCATTTACTTTTATTAAAAGTACATACAGTATAAGCAATCCAATAAAAAGTAAAACAATTAGATAAATAATAGATTAGAGTTTTAATAATTTATTTTTTCCCCATGGTGTATTCTGTTTATACCATGTATTTCATGCTCCTCTCACTGTAAATGACTATCATGCACCGAAAAATACTGATTTGCTGAATTATCAGATGGAGTATTTTTCCAACAAGGCTCTTGAGGTCACTGGTCCTGATGCTGGACAAGAAAAGACTATCATAGCATTGATGGCTAAAGTATAATTATTTTTATATTTCTTTTGGAAATTTAGCTACACTCACAGAAGCTAACAACTAATAGTTTTCAATAGCATATATGTGCATCCCAAAGATATTCATTGTGTTTTTAAATTTTAAAATTAGTTTCCTGTTTGTATTTTTACTTGAGGCATCTGCATACTTTGCTATGAAAAAAATTGATATTTGCAATAATATGCTGCCAACCTGAGAGGAGTGTTATAGAAGAAAATAATCACAAAAGTCACCTGTATTTTGTCCACAGTGCAAAGAACTGGGATCTACTAGATCGAGTAAGAACTTTTGGTTCTTACTGTGATATGAAGCCCAAGGATGATTACAGCTGAGGGATAAACCAAGCACTATCAGGAGAGAGAAAATGCAGGTTCAGTGCATCCTTATTATATTGGATTTCACTATAGACTGTTTTTAATATTCTAAGTCCAATGTGTCTACATAATGATGGATAAAGTGGAGAAAATGTTATTATTAAATTAACCAGAAATCAATGATTGATTATGTAGGCTTAAATTAGATATCTGAAAAAAAGAGAAGTCTACTAAAAAGAAGCCATTTACACAAATTCAGGAGCTGTTTTGCGTGCAACTAATATTTTCACTGAAAATAAAAGAAGTTTTCTAAAACCTCTTTCCTCATCTTTGTCAAAATATATAATTTTTAGAGTAGGGTTATTTATGATAAAATTTATTGTCATTTTATGTACAAATGTCCAATGGTCATCACAGTCATTTAAAAATATAATTTATATGATAAAATATTCATTCATTTTATGTTTAATCAAAAGTGTTATATATAGCTATATACACTGAGCAGCATTTTCAGACGTGACTGCTTATTGACAATATATAATTGTTATGAAAATTTTCTATGACAAATCAACAGGGGATTTGTTGATGTGGTAGCTATAGGTGGGAAAAAGTATAAATCAACAGGAACATTTAGAAAAGGTAAACACCATTTCCACCAATATTAATTCCACAAAAGAAGCTTTTTCAAATAGACAAATGCCAGAAGAGCAAATACGGTAATCAATCAAAACCATCAAGTGACTGCAATGAAATTACTCTTTGTTGGTAATTGAACTTAGTGTAGGTGCTACTGAAAACACAAAGCTACTGGCAAGCATATTCCTAATCTCACACATATGTCAGTTCTCTAAAGAAAAAGAGTAAGTAGCGTAAGTGTCAATACAGAGGACAGAAAAAGATCAGCAGAAGTCTGACTACAAGTTGTATGGTATGATTTTTTTATTTTATTTTTACTTTTATTATAACAAATTCTGGGATACATGTACAGAACGGGCAGGTTTGTTACATAAGTATACAAGTCCCTTGGTGGTTTGCTCTGCCCATCAACCAATCATATACATTAGGTATTTCTCCTAATGCTATCCTTCCCCTAACCCCCACCCTCTGACAGGCCCTGGTGTGTGATATTCCCCTCCATGTGTCCATGTGTTCTCATTATTCAACTCCCACTTATGAGTGAGAACATGTGGGGTTTCGCTTTCTGTTCCTGTGTTAATTTGCTGAGAATGATGGTTTCCAGCTTCAACCATGTCCCAGCAAAAGGACATAAACTCATTCTTTTTTGTGGCTGCATAGTATTCCATGGTGTATATAAGCCACATTTTCTTTATCCAGTCTATCATTCATGGGCATTTGGATTGGTTCAAAGTCTTTGCTGTTGTGAATAGTGCTACAGTAAACACACATGTGCATGTGTCTTTATAATAGAATAATTTATAATCCTTTGGGTGTATACACCATAATAGGATTGCTGGGTCAAATGGTATTTCTGTTTCTAGATCTTTGAGTAATCAGCACACTGTCTTCTATTAGTTCTATGTTGAACTGATTTACACTCCCACCAACAGTATAAAAGTGTTCCTATTTCTCCACATCCTCTTCAGCATTTGTTGTTTTCTGACTTTTTAATGATCACCATTCAAACTGGCATGAGATGGTATCTCATTGTGGTTTTCATTTGCAATTCTCTAATGACCACTGAGGATAAGCATTTTTTTATGTGTTTATTGGCTGCATAAATGTCTTTTTTTTTTTTTTTTTGAGACTGAATAGCCAGGATGGTCTTGATCTCCTGACCTTGTGATCTGCCCACCTCGACCTCCCAAAGTGCTGGGACTACAGGGATGAGCCACAGCACCCGGGCCATAAATGTCTCCTTTTGAGAAGTGTCTGTTCATATACTTCATCCACTTTTTGATAGGATTATTTTTGTTTATTGTAAATTTGTGTAAGTTATTTGTAGATTCTGGATATTAGCCCTTTGTCAGATGGATAGATGGCAAAAATTTTCTCTCATTCTGTAGGATGCCTGTTCACTCTGATGACAGTTTCTTGGTATAAATTTTTGGAAATCCTAAAAGTGCTCTTTAAAGTGTGATCTTTTGAACACTGGAAATACGAAGACACCAGGAAAGCATAATACCCTATTTTCAAGAGTTGATGACCTGAATCCCTGTGTAGCTCTCTAATGCAAAGATGAGAGTCACAGCAACTGGGTCAAATAATAAATTTTGAAGAAAATGAAGACTGTGTTCTCAGTTCCAGGTGCTTCATCAGGCTCATTGTGGATCCAGACTACCAGACACAAGACATTACACATTGTAATGCATTAAATGCATAGTTTTAACAGTAATAATTTAAAAGAGATTTAGAATTTTATAATGTTTGGAAAAATACATAGAGGCTTACTTTTTATTTTATTTTTTTGAGATAGGAAGCCTTTTTTTTTGTTTTTGTTTTTGTTTCTGTTTTTGTTTTTTGAGACAGAGTCTCACCATGTCACCCAGACTGGAGTGCAGTGGTGCAATATCGGCCCATTGCAAGCTCCACATCCCAGGTTCACACCATTCTCCTGCCTCAGCCTCCCAAGTAGCTGGGACTACAGGTGCCCGCCACCACATCCAGCTAATTTTTTTTTGTACTTTTAGTAGAGACGGGGTATCACCATGTGAGCCAAGATGGTCTCCATCTCCTGACCTCGTGATCTGCCCACCTTGGCCTCCCAAAGTGCTGGGATTACAGGGGTGAGCCACCACGCCCAGGCATAGAGGCACTTTTAACCATAAATGAACACTGTTATGATTTGTATTACCACAGTATCATTATTCTGTCCTGTTTGCCTTACATTTTATTTATTTATTATACTGTAAGTTCTGGGATACATGTGCAGAATGTGCAGGTTTGTTACAGAGATATATGCTTGTTTGCTGCACCTGTCAGTTTTTCATCTACATTAGGTATTTCTCCTAATGCTATTCCCTGTTAGGTCCCCACCCTCCAACAGTCTCCAGTGTTTGATGTTCCCCTCCCTATGTCCATGTATTCTCATTTTACAACTCCCACCTATGAGTGAGAAATTGCAGTGTTTGTGTGTTTGGAACTTATTCCTTCCAGTGGGTTTGTGGTCTCGCTCACTGCAAAAATGAAGCTGTAGACCGTTTCGGTGTGTGTTACAACTCTTAAAGGTGGTGTGTCTGGAGTTTGCTACTTCACATGAGCTCATGGTCTTGCTTACTTCAAGAATGAAGCTGCAGACATTTACGGTGAGTGTTACAGCATTTAAAGCTGTTATGTCCAGAGTTTGTTCCTTAAGATGTGTCCAGAATTTCTTCCTTCAGGCAGGTTCATGGTCCTGCTTAATTCAAGAACGAAGCTGCAGACATTTACGGTGAGTGTTACAGCACTTAAAGGTGTTATGAACACAGATTGTTCCTTCAGATGTGTCCAGAGTTTCTTCCATCTGGCAGGTTCATGGCCTTGCTTACTTCAAGAATGAAGCTGCAGACCTTTACTGTGAGTGTTACAACACTTAAAGGTGTTATGTCCAGAGTTTGTTCCTTCAGATGTGTTCAGAGTTTCTTCCTTCTGGCAGGATCATGGTCTTGCTCACTTCAAGAATAAAACTGTAGAACTTAGTGGTGAGCGTTACAGCACTTAAAGGTGTTACGTCCAGAGTTTGTTCATTCACATGTGTCCAGAGTTTCTTCCTTCTGGCAGGTTCATGGTCTTGCTCACTTCAAGAATGAAGCTGCAGACCTTAGTGGTGAGTGTTACAGCACTTAATGGTGTTATGTTCAGAGATTGTTCATTCAGATGTGTCCGTAGTTTCTTCCTTCTGGCAGGTTCATGGTCTTGCTCACTTCAAGAATGAAGCTGCAAAGCTAAGTGTTGAGTGTTACAGCACTTAAAGGTGTTATGTCCAGAGTTTCTTCCTTCAGATGTGTCCAGAGTTTCTTCCTTCTGGCTGGCTCAAGGTCCTGCTTAATTCAAGAATGAAGCTGCAGACCTTAGTGGTGAGTGTTACAGCACTTAAAGGTGTTATGTCCAGAGTTTCTTCCTTCAGATGTGTCCAGAGTTTCCTCCTTCTTGCAGGTTCATGGTCTTGCTTACTTCAAGAATGAAGCTGCAGACATTAGTGGTGACTGTTACAGCACTTAAAGGTGTTATGTCCAGAGTTTGTTCCTTCAGATGTGTCCAGAGTTTCTTCCTTATGGCAGGTTCATGGTCTTGCTCACTTCAAGAAAGAAGCTGAAGACCTTTACGGTGAGTGTTACAGCACCTAAAGGTGTTATGTCCAGAGTTTCTTCCTTCAGATGTGCCCAGAGTTTCTTCCTTCTGGCAGGTTCATGGACTTGCTCACTTCAAGAATGAAGCTGCAAACCTTTACGGTGAGTGTTACAAAACTTAAAGGTGTTATGTCCAGAGATTTTTCCTTCAGATGTGTTCAGAGTTTCTTCCTTCTGGCAGGTTCATGGTCTTGCTCACTTCAAGAATGAAGCTGCAGACCTTTACGGTGAGTGTTACAGCACCTAAAGGTGTTATGTCCAGAGCTTGTTCCTTCAGATGTGCCCAGAGTTTCTTCCTTCTGGAAGGTTAATGGACTTGCTCACTTCAAGAATGAAGCTGCAGACCTTAGTGGTGAGTGTTACAGCACTTAAAGGTGTTATGTCCAGAGATTGTTACTTCAGATGTGTCCGGACTTTCTTCCTTCTGGCAGGTTCATGGTCTTTCTCACTTCAAGAATGAAGCTGCAGACCTTAGTGGTGAGTGTTACAGCATTTAAAGGTGTTATGTCCAGAGTTTGTTCCTTCAGATGTGTCCAGACTTTCTTCCTTCTGGCAGGTTCATGGTCTTCTCACTTCAAGAATGAAGCTGCAGACATTTACGGTGAGTGTTACAGCACCTAAAGTTGTTATGTCCAGAGTTTGTTCCTTCAGATGTGCCCAGAGATTCTTGCTTCTGGTAGATTCATGGTCTTGCTCACTTCAAGAATGAAACTGCAAACCTTTACGGTGAGTGTTACAACACTTAAAGGTGTTATGTCCAGAGTTTGTTCCTTCAGATGTGTTCAGAGTTTCTTCCTTCTGGCAGGTTCATGATCTTGCTCACTTCAAGAATGAAGCTGCAGAAGTTAGTTGTGAGTGTTACAGCGCTTAAAGGTGTTATGTCCAGAGGTTCTTCATTCAGATGTGTCCGGAGTTTCTTCCGTCTGGCAGGTTCATGGTCTTGCTCACTTCAAGAATGAAGCTGCAGACCTTAGTAGTGAGTGTTACAGCACTTAAAGGTGTTATGTCCAGAGTTTGTTCATTTAGATGTGTCAAGAGTTTCTTCCTCCTGGCAGGTTCATGGTCTTGCTCACTTCAAGAATGAAGCTGCAGACCTTTACGGTGAGTGTTACAGCACTTAAAGGTGTTAGGTCTAGAGTTTGTTCCTTCAGATGTGTCCAGATATTCTTCCTTCTGGCAGGTTCATGGTCTTGCTCACTTCAAGAATGAAGCTGCAGACCTTAGTGGTGAGTCCCACAGCACTTAAAGGTGTTATGTCCAGAGTTTGTTCATTCAGATGTGTCCGGAGTTTCTTCCTTGTGGCAGGTTCATGGTCTTGTTCTCTTCAAGAATGAAGCTGCAGAAATTAGTGGTGAGTGTTACAGCACTTATAGGTGTTATGTCCAGAGTTTATTCCTTCAGATGTGTCCAGAGTTTCCTCCTTCTGGCAGGTTCATGGTCTTGCTGACTTCAAGAATAAAGCTGCAGACCTGTACGGTGAGTGTTACAGCACTTAAAGGTGTTATGTCCATAGTTTGTTCCTTCAGATGTGTCCAGAGTCAATTCCTTCTGGCAGGCTCATGGTCCTGCTCACTTGAAGAATGAAGCTGCAGACCTCACTGGTGAGTGTTACAGCACTTAAAGTTGTTATGTCCTGAGTTTGTTCATGCAGATGTGACCGGAGTTTCTTTCTTCTGGCAGGTTCATGGTCTTGCTCACCTCAAGAATGAAGCTGCAGACCTTAGTGGTGAGTGTTACAGCACTTAAAGGTGTTATGTAGAGAGTTTGTTACTTCATATGTGTCCAGAGTTTCTTCATTCTGGCAGATTCATGGTCTTGCTCACTTCAATAATGAAGCTGCATACCTTTACGGTGAGTGTTACAGCACTTAAAGGTGTTAGGTCCAGAGTTTGTTCCTTCAGATGTGCCCAGAGATTCTTGCTTCTGGTAGATTCATGGTCTTGCTCACTTCAAGAATGAAACTGTAAACCTTTACGGTGAGTGTTACAACACTTAAAGGTGTTATGTCCAGAGTTTGTTCCTTCAGATGTGTTCAGAGTTTCTTCCTTCTGGCAGGTTCATCATCTTGCTCACTTCAAGAATGAAGCTGCAGAAGTTAGTTGTGAGTGTTACAGCGCTTAAAGGTGTTATGTCCAGAGGTTCTTCATTCAGATGTGTCCGGAGTTTCTTCCGTCTGGCAGGTTCATGGTCTTGCTCACTTCAAGAACGAAGCTGCAGACCTTAGTGGTGAGTGTTACAGCACTTAAAGGTGTTATGTCCAGAGTTTGTTCATTTAGATGTGTCCAGAGTTTCTTCCTTCTGGCAGGTTCATGGTCTTGCTCACTTCAAGAATGAAGCTGCAGACCTTTACGGTGAGTGTTACAGCACTTAAAGGTGTTAGGTCTAGAGTTTGTTCCTTCAGATGTGTCCAGATATTCTTCCTTCTGGCAGGTTCATGGTCTTACTCACTTCAAGAATGAAGCTGCAGACCTTAGTGGTGAGTCTCACAGCACTTAAAGGTGTTATGTCCAGAGTTTGTTCATTCAGATGTGTCCGGAGTTTCTTCCTTGTGGCAGGTTCATGGTCTTGTTCTCTTCAAGAATGAAGCTGCAGAAATTAGTGGTGAGTGTTACAGCACTTATAGGTGTTATGTCCAGAGTTTGTTCCTTCAGATGTGTCCAGAGTTTCCTCCTTCTGGCAGGTTCATGGTCTTGCTGACTTCAAGAATAAAGCTGCAGACCTGTACGGTGAGTGTTACAGCACTTAAAGGTGTTATGTCCATAGTTTGTTCCTTCAGATGTGTCCAGAGTTTCTTCCTTCTGGCAGGTTCATGGTCTTGCTCACTTCAAGAATGAAGCTGCAGACATTTACGGTGAGTGTTACAGCACCTAAAGGTGTTATGTCCAGAGTTTGTTCCTTCAGATGTGCCCAGAGTTTCTTGCTTCTGGCAGATTCATGGTCTTGCTCACTTCAAGAATGAAGCTGCAAACCTTTACGGTGAGTGTTTCAACACTTAAAGGTGTTATGTCCAGAGTTTTTTCCTTCAGATGTGTACAGAGTTTCTTCCTTCTGGCAGGTTCATGATCTTGCTCACTTCAAGAATGAAGCTGCAGAAGTTAGTTGTGAGTGTTACAGCGCTGAAAGGTGTTATGTTCAGAGGTTCTTCATTCAGATGTGTCCGGAGTTTCTTCCGTCTGGCAGATTCATGGTCTTGCTCACTTCAAGAATGAAGCTGCAGACCTTAGTGGTGAGTGTTACAGCACTTAAAGGTGTTATGTCCAGAGTTTGTTCATTTAGATGTGTCCAGAGTTTCTTCCTTCTGGCAGGTTCATGGTCTTGCTCACTTCAAGAATGAAGCTGCAGACCTTTACGGTGAGTGTTACAGCACTTAAAGGTGTTAGGTCTAGTGTTTGTTCCTTCAGATGTGTCCAGATATTCTTCCTTCTGGCAGGTTCATGGTCTTGCTCACTTCAAGAATGAAGCCGCAGACCTTAGTGGTGAGTCTCACAGCACTGAAAAGGTGTTATGTCCAGAGTTTGTTCATTCAGATGTGTCCGGAGTTTCTTCCTTCTGGCAGGTTTATGGTCTTGTTCTCTTCAAGAATGAAGCTGCAGAAATTAGTGGTGAGTGTTACAGCACTTATAGGTGTTATGTCCAGAGTTTGTTCCTTCAGATGTGTCCAGAGTTTCCTCCTTCTGGCAGGTTCATGGTCTTGCTGACTTCAAGAATAAAGCTGCAGACCTGTACGGTGAGTGTTACAGCACTTAAAGGTGTTATGTCCATAGTTTGTTCCTTCAGATGTGTCCAGAGTTAATTCCTTCTGGCAGGCTCATGGTCCTGCTCACTTGAAGAATGAAGCTGCAGACCTCACTGGTGAGTGTTACCGCACTTAAAGTTGTTATGTCCTGAGTTTGTTCATGCAGATGTGACCGGAGTTTCTTTCTTCTGGCAGGTTCATGGTCTTGCTCACCTCAAGAATGAAGCTGCAGACCTTAGTGGTGAGTGTTACAGCACTTAAAGGTGTTATGTAGAGAGTTTGTTACTTCATATGTGTCCAGAGTTTCTTCATTCTGGCAGATTCATGGTCTTGCTCACTTCAATAATGAAGCTGCATACCTTTACGGTGAGTGTTACAGCACTTAAAGGTGTTATGTCTAGAGTTTGTTCCTTCAGATGTGTCCAGAGTTTCTTCTTTCTGGCAGGTTCATGGTCGTGCTCACTTCAAGAATGAAACTGCAGACCTTTACGGTGACTGTTACAACACTTAAAGGTGTTAGGTCCAGAGTTTGTTACTTCAGATGTGTCTAGAGTTTCTTCCTTTTGGCAGGTTCGTGGTCTTGCTCACTTCAAGAATGAAGCTGCAGACCTTTACAGTGAGTGTTACAACACGTAAAGATGTTAGTTCCAGAATTTGTTCCTTCAGATGTGTTCAGAGTTTCTTCCTTCTGGCAGGTGCATGGTCTTGCTCACCTCAGGAATGAAGCTGCAGACCTCAGTGG
The DNA here is from genome assembly GCF_000001405.40 of Homo sapiens. Classification (NCBI taxonomy): domain Eukaryota; kingdom Metazoa; phylum Chordata; class Mammalia; order Primates; family Hominidae; genus Homo; species Homo sapiens. The sequence continues at coordinate 20,060,352 of NC_000024.10, forward strand.
TGAGTGTTACAGCACGTAAAGGTGTTATGTCCAGAGATTGTTAATTCAGATATGTACAGAGTTTCTTCCTTCTGGCAGGTTCATTGTCTTGCTCACTTCAAGAATGAAGCTGCAGACCTTTACGGTGACTGTTACAGCCCTGAAAGGTGTTAGGTCCAGAGTTTGTTCCTTCAGATGTGTCCAGAGTTTCTTCGGTCTGGCAGGTTCATTGTCTTGCTCACTTCAAGAATGAAGCTGCAGACCTTTACGGTGAGTGTTACAGCATATAAAGGTGTTATGTCCACAGCTTGTTCCTTCATATGTGTCCAGAGTTTCTTCCTTCTGGCAGGTTCATGGTCTTGCTCACTTAAAGAATGAAGCTGCAGACGTTAGTGGTTAGTGTTGCAGCACTTAAAGGTGTTATGTCCAGAGATTGTTCATTCAGATGTGTCCGTAGTTTCTTCCTTCTGGCAGGTTCATGGTCTGGAGCTTCATTCTTGAAGTGAGCAAGACCATGAAACTGCAAGAAGAAAGAAAATCTGGACACATCTGAAGGAACAAATTCTGGATATAACACCTTTAAGTACTGTAACATTCACCGTAAAGGTCTGCAGCATCATTCTTGAAGTGAGCAAGACCATGAACCTGCCAGATGGAAGAAACTCTGCACACATCACAAGGAACAAACTCTGGACATAACACCTTTAAGTGCTGTAACACTCACCACTAAGGTCTGCAGCTTCATTCTTGAAGTGAGCAAGACAATGAACCTGCCAGAAGGAGGAAACACTATATACATCAGATGGAACAAACTCTGGACATAACACATTTAAGTGCTGTAACACTCACCACCAAAGTCTGCAGCTTCATTCTTGAAGTGAGCAAGACCATGAACCAGCCCGAAGGAAAAAATTCTGGACACATCTGAAGGACCAAACTCTGGACATAACACCTTTATATGCTGTAACACTCACCGTAAAGGTCTGCAGCTTCATTCTTTCTTGAAGTGAGCAAGACCATGAACATGACAGAAGGAAGAATATCTGGACACATCTGAAGTAAGAAACTCTGGACATAACACCTTCAAGTGCTGTAACACTCACCACTAAATTCTGCAGCTTCACTCTTGAAGTGAGCAAGACCATGAACCTGCCAGATTGAAGAAACTTTGGACACATCTGAAGGAACATACTCTGGACATAACACCTTTAAGTGCTGTAACTCTCACCACTAAGGTCTGCAGATTCATCCTTGAAGTGAGCAAGACCATGAACCTGCCAAAAGGAATAAACTCTGGACACATCTGATGGAACAAACTCGGGACATAACACCTGTAAGTGCTGTAACACTCACCACCAAGGTCTGCAGCTTCATACTTGAAGTGAGAAAGACCATGAACCTGCCAGAAGGAAGAAACTCTGGACACGTCTGAAAGAACAAACTCTGGACATAACACCTTTAAGTGCTGTAACACTCACCATAAAGGACTGGAGGTTCATTCTTGAAGCTAGCAAGACCATGAACCTGCCAGAAGGAAGAAACTCTGTACACATCTGAAGGAAAAAACTCTGGACATAATACCTTTAAGTGCTGTAACACTCACCGTAAAGGTCTGCAATTTCATTCTTGAAGTGAGCAAGTCAATGAACCTGCCAGAAGGAAGAAACTCTGGACACATGTGAAGGAACAAACACTGGATATAACAACTTTAAGTACTGTAACTTTCACCGTAAATGTCTGCAGCATCATTCTTGAAGTGAGCAAGACCATGAAACTTCCAGAAGGAAGAAATTCTAGACACATCTGAAGGAACAAACTCTGGACATAACAGCTTTAAGTGCTGTAAAACTCACCGTAAAGGTCTGGAGCTTCATTCTTGAAGTGAGCAAGACCATGAAACTGCAAGAAGAAAGAAAACCTGGACACATCAGAAGGAACAAACTCTGTATATAAGACCTTTAAGTACTGTAACATTCACCGTAAAGGTCTGCAGCATCATTTTTGAAGTGAGCAAGAAATGAACCTGCCAGAAGGAAGAAACTCTGCACACATCAAAAGGAAGAAACTCTGGACATAACACCTTTAAGTGCTGTAACACACACCACTAAGGTCTGCAGCTTCATCCTTGAAGTGAGCAAGACCATGAACCTGCCAGAAGGAAGAAACTCTAGACACATCTGATGGAACAAACTCTGGACATAACATATTTAAGTGCTATAACACTCACCACCAAGGTCTGCAGCTTCATTCTTGAAGTGAGGAAGACCATGAACCAGCCCGAAGGAAGAAATTCTGGACATATCTGAAGGACCAAACTCTGGACATAACACCTTTATATGCTGTAACACTCACCGTAAAGGTCTGCAGCTTCATTCTTTCTTGAAGTGAGCAAGACCATGAACCTGACAGAAGGAAGAATATCTGGACACATCTAAAGTAACAAACTCTAGACATAACACTTTTAAGTGCTGTAACACTCACCACTAAATTCTGCAGCTTCACTCTTGAAGTGAGCAAGACCATGAACCTGCCAGATTGAAGAAACTTTGGACACATCTGAAGGAACAAACTCTTTACATAACACCTTTAAGTGCTGTAACACTCACCACTGAGGTCTGCAGCTTCATTCTTGAAGTGAGCAAGACCATGAACCTGTCAAAAGGAAGAAACTCTGGACATATCTGATGGAACAAACTCGGGACATAACACCTGTAAGTGCTGTAACACTCACCAAAAAGTTCTGCAGCTTCATGCTTGAATTGAGCAAGACCATGAACCTGCCAGAAGGAAGAAACTGTGGACACGTCTGAAAGAACAAACTCTGGACATAACACCTTTAAGTGCTGTAACTCTCACCGTCAGGGTCTGCAGTTTCATTCTTGAAGTGAGCAAGACCATGAACCTGCCAGAAGGAAGAAACTCTGGACACATCTAAAGGAACAAACTCTGGACATAACACCTTTAACTGCTGTAACACTCACCGTAAAGGACTGGAGGTTCATTCTTGAAGCTAGCAAGACCATGAACCTGCCAGAAGGAAGAAACTCTGTACACATCTGAAGGAAAAAACTCTGGACGTAATACCTTTAAGTGCTGTAACACCCTCCGTAAAGGTCTGCAGTTTCATTCTTGAAGTGAGCAAGACCATGAACCTGCCAGAAGGAAGAGACTCTGGACACTACCGAAGGAACAAACTCTGGACATAACACCTTTAAGTGCTTTAGAACTCACCGTAAAGGTCTGGAGCTTCATTCTTGAAGTGAGCAAGACCATGACACTGCAAGAAGAAAGAAAATCTGGACACATCTGAAGGAACAAACTCTGGATATAACACCTTTAAGTACTGTAACATTCACCATAAATGTCTGCAGCATCATTCTTGAAGTGAGCAAGACCATGAACCTGCCAGAAGGAAGAAACTCTACACACATCACAAGGAACAAACTCTGGTCATAACACCTTTAAGTGCTGTAACACTCACCAATAAGGTCTGCAGCTTCATCCTTGAAGTGAGCAAGACCATGAACCTGCCAGAAGGAACAAACTCTAGACACATCTGATGGAACAAACTCTGGACATAAAACCTTTAAGTGCTGTAACGCTCACCGCTAAGGTCTGCAGCTTCATTCCTGAAGAGAAGAAGACCACGAACCTCCCAGAAGGAAGAAACTCTGGACACATCACAAGGAACAAACTCTGGACATAACAACTTTAAGTGCTGTAACACTCACCACTAAGGTCTGCAGCTTCATTCTTGAAGTGAGCAAGACCATGAACCTGCCAGAAGACAGAAACCCTGGACACATCTGAAGGAACAAACTCTGGACATGACAACATTAAGTGCTGTAACACTCACCGTAAAGGTTTGCATCTTAATTCTTGAAGTGAACAAGACCACGAACCTGCCAGAAGGAAGAAACTCTGGACACATCACAAGGAACAAACTCTGGACATAACACCTTTTAGTGCTGTAACACTCACCACTAAATTCTGCAGCTTCACTCTTGAAGTGAGCAAGACCATGAACCTGTCAGATTGAAGAAACTTTGGACACATCTGAAGGAACATACTCTGGACATAACACCTTTAAGTGCTGTAACTCTCACCACTAAGGTCTGCAATTTCATTCTTGAAGTGAGCAAGACAATGAACCTGCCAGAAGGAAGAAACTCTGGACACATCTGAAGGAACAAACACTGGATATAACAACTTTAAGTACTGTAACTTTCACCGTAAATGTCTGCAGCATCATTTTTGAAGTGAGCAAGACCATGAACCTGCCAGAAGGAAGAAACTCTAGACACATCTGAAGGAACAAACTCTGGACATAACACCTTTAAGTGCTGTAAAACTCACCGTAAAGGTCTGGAGCTTCATTCTTGAAGTGAGCAAGACCATGAAACTGCAAGAAGACGGAAAATCTGGACACATCAGAAGGAACAAACTCTGGATATAACACCTTTAAGTACTGTAACATTCACCGTAAAGGTCTGCAGCATCATTTTTGAAGTGAGCAAGAAATGAACCTGCCAGAATGAAGAAACTCTGCACACATCAAAAGGAAGAAACTCTGGACATAACACCTTTAAGTGCTGTAACACTCACCACTAAGGTCTGCAGCATCATCCTTGAAGTGAGCAAGACCATGAACCTGCCAGAAGGAAGAAACTCTAGACACATCTGATGGAACAAACTCTGGACATAAAACCTTTAAGTGTTGTAACGCTCACCGCTAAGGTCTGCAGCTTCATTCTTGAAGAGAACAAGACCATGAACCTGCCAGAATGAAGAAACTCTGGACATATCTGAAGGAACAAACTCTGGACATGACAACGTTAAGTGCTGTAACACTCACCGTAAAGGTCTGCAGCTTCATTCTTGAAGTGAGCAAGACCATGAACCTGCCAGAAGGAAGAAACTCTGGACACATAACAAGGAACAAACTCTGGACATAACACCTTTAAGTGCTGTAACACTCACCACTAAGGTCTGCAGCTTCATTCTTGAAGTGAGCAAGACCATGAACCTGAAAGAAGGAAGAAACACTATACACATCAGATGGAACAAACTCTCGACATTACACATTTAAGGGCTCTAATACTCACCACCAAGGACTGCAGCTTCATTCTTGAAGTGAGCAAGACCATGAACCAGTACGAAGGAAAAAATTCTGGACACATCTGAAGGACCAAACTCTGGACATAACACCTTTATATGCTGTGACACTCACCGTAAAGGTCTGCAGCTTCATTCTTTCTTGAAGTGAGCAAGACCATGAACCTGCCAGAAGGAAGACTATCTGGACACATCTGAAGTAACAAACTCTAGACATAACAACTTTAAGTGCTGTAACACTCACCACTAAATTCTGCAGCTTCACTCTTGAAGTGAGCAAGACCATGAACCTGCCAGATTGAAGAAAATTTGGACACATCTGAAGGAACAAACTCTTTACATAACACCTTTAAGTGCTGTAACTCTCACCACTGAGGTCTGCAGCTTCATTCTTGAAGTGAGCAAGACCATGAACCTGCCAGATTGAAGAAACTTTGGACACATCTGAAGGAACAAACTCTTTACATAACACCTTTAAGTGCTGTAACACTCACCGTAAAGGTCTGCAGCTTCATTCTTTCTTGAAAGTGAGCAAGACCATGAATCTGCCAGAATGAAGAAACTCTGGACACATATGAAGTAACAAACTCTCTACATAACACCTTTAAGTGCTGTAACACTCACCACTAAGGTCTGCAGCTTAATTCCTGAAGTGAGCAAGACCATGAACCTGCCAGAAGGAAGAAACTCTGGACACATCACAAGGAACAAACACTGGACATGACACCTTTAAGTGCTGTAACACTCACCACTAAGGTCTGCAGCTTCATTCTTGAAGTGAGCAAGACCATGAACCTGCCAGAAGGAAGAAACTCTGGACACATCTGAAGGACCAAACTATGGACATAACACCTTTAAGTTCTGCAACACTCACCACTAAGGTCTGCAGCCTCATTCTTCAAGTGAGCAAGACCATGAACCTGCCAGAAGGAAGAAACTCTGGACACATCTGAAGGACCAAACTCTGGACATAACACCTTTATATGCTGTAACACTCAACGTAAAGTTCTGCAGCTTCATTCATTCTTGAAGTGAGCAAGACCATGAACCTGCCAGAAGAAAGAAACTCTGGACACATCTGAACGAACAAACTCTGGACATAACAACTTTAAGTACAGTAACACTCACCACTAGTGTCTGTAGCTTCATTCTTGAAGTGAGCAAGATCATTTACATGCTAGAAGGAAGAAACTCTAGTCATATCTGACGGTACAAACTATGGACATAACACCTTTAAGTGCTGTAACACTCACCACCTAGGTCTGCAGCTTCATTCTTGAAGTGAGGAAGACCATGTACCTGCCCGAAGGAAGAAACTCTGGACACATCTAAGGGAACAAACTCTGGACATGACACGTTTAAATGCTGTAACACTCACCGTAAAGGTCTGCAGCTTCATTCTTGAAGTGAGCAAGACCATGAACCTGCCAGAAGGAAGAAACTCTGGCCACATCTGAAGGAACAAACTCTGGACATAACACTTTTACGTGGTGTAACACTCACCCTAAATGTCTGCAGCTTCTTTCTTGAAGTGAGCAAGACAATGAACCTGCCAGAAGGAAGAAATTCTGGACACATCTGAATGAACAAACTCTGGACATAACACCTTAAAGTGCTGTGACACTCACCACTAAGGTCTGCAGCTTCATTCTTGAAGTGAGCAAGACCATGAACCTGCCAGAAGGAAAAAACTCTATACACATCTAATGGAACAAACTCCGAACATAACAACTGTAACTGCTGTAACACTCACCACCAAGGTCTTCAGCTTCATTGTTGAAGTGAGCATGACCATGAACCTGCCCGAAAGAAGAAATTCCGGACACATCTGAAGGACGAAACTCTGGACATAACACATTTATATGCTGTAACACTCACCGTAATGGTCTGCAGATTCATTCTTTCTTAAAGTGAGCAAGAACATGAACATGCCAGAATGAAAAATATCTGGACACATCACAAGGAACAAACTCTGGACATAACACATTTAAGTCTTGTAACAATCACCACTAAATTTTGCAGCTTCACTCTTGAAGTGAGCAAGACCATGAACCTCCCAGAAGGAAGAAACTCTAGACACATTTGATGGAACAAACTCTGGACATAAAACCTTTAAGTGCTGTAACGCTCACCACTAAGGTCTGCGGCTTCATTCTTGAAGAGAACAAGACCATGAACCTGCCAGAATGAAGAAACTCTGGACACATCTGAAGGAATAAACTCTGGACATAACAACATTAAGTGCTCTAACACTCAACGTAAAGGTCTGCAGCTTCATTCTTGAATTGAGCAAGACCATGAACCTGCCAGAAGGAAGAAACTCTGGACACATCACAAGGAAAAAACTCTGGACATAACACCTTTAAGTGCTGAAACACTCACCGTAAAGGTCTGCAGCTTCATTCTTGAAGTGAGAAGACCATAAACCTGCCAGAAGGAAGAAATTCTGGACACATCTGAATGAACATACTCTTTATATAACACCTTTAAGTGCTGAAACACACACCGTAAATGTCTGCAGCTCCATTCTTGAAGTAAGCAAGACCATGAACCTCTCAGAAGGAAGAAAGTCTATACACATCTGAAGGAACGAACACAGGATATAACACCATCAAGTGCTGTAAAACTCACCGTAAAGGTCTGCAGCATGATTCTTGAAGTGAGCAAGACCATGAACCTGCCAGAAGAAAGAAACTCTACACACATCTGACGGAACAAACTCTGGACATAACACCTTTAAGTGCTGTAACACTCACCACCTAGGTCTGCAGCTTCATTCTTGAAGGCAGTAAGACCATGAACCTGACAGAAGGAAGAAACTCTGGCCACATCTGGAGGAACAAACTCTGGACATAACAACCTTATGTGCTGTAACACTCAACACTAAGGACTGCAGCTTCATTCTTGAAGTGAGCAAGACCACGAACCTGCCCGAAGGAAGAAACTCTGGACACATGTGAAGGAACGAACACAGGATATAACACCATTAAGTGCTGTAAAACTCACCGTAAAGGTCTGCAGCATGATTCTTGAAGTGAGCAAGACCATGAACCTGCCAGAAGCAAGAAACTCTAGACACATCTGACGGAACAACCTCTGGACATAACACCTTTAAGTGCTGTAACACTCAACACTAAGGTCTGCAGCTTCATTCTTGAAGTGAGCAAGACCATGAACCTGTCAGAAGCAAGAAACTCTATACACATCTGATGGAAGAAACTCTGGACATAACACCTTTAACTGCTGTAACACTCACCAACAAGCTCTGCAGCTTCATTCTTGAAGTGAGCTAGACCATGAACCTGCCGAAGGAAGAACTCTGGACACATCTGAAGGACCAAACTCTGGACATAACACCTTTATATGCTGTAACACTCACCATAAAGGTGTGCAGCTTCATTCTTGAAGTGAGCAAGACCATGAACCTGCCAGAAGGAAGAAACTCTGGACATATCTGAAGGAACAAACTCTGGACATGACATGTTTCAGTGCTGTAACACTCACCGTAAGGGTCTGCAGTTTCATTCTTGAAGTGAGCAAGACCATGAATCTGCCAGAAGGAAGAAACTCTGGACACATCTGAAGGAACAAACTCTGGACATAACAACTTAATTGCTGTAACGCTCACCACTAAGGTCTGCAGCTTCATTGTTGAAGTGAGGAAGATCATGAACCAGCCAGAAGGAAGAAACTCTGGACACATCTAAAGGAACAAACTCTGGACATAACAACATTAATTGCTGTAACACTCACCGTAAAGGTCTGCAGCTTCATTCTTGAAGCTAGCAAGACCATGAATCTGCCAGAAGGAAGAAACTCGAGACACATCTGAAGGAACAAACTCTGGACATAATACCGTTAAGAGCTGTAACACTCACCGTAAAGTCTGCAGCTTCATTCCTAAAGTGAGCAAGACCATGAACCTGCCAGAAGGAAGAAACTCTGGCACATCTGAGGGAACAAACTCTGGACATAACACCCTTAAGTGTTGTAAAACTCACCACTAAGTTCTGCAGCTTCATTCTTGAAGTGAGCAAGGACATGAACCTGCCAGATGGAAGAAACTCTGGACACATCTGAAGGAACAAACTCTGGACATAACAACTTTCAGTGCTGTAACACTAACCGTAAAGGTCTACAGTTTCCATTTTGAAGTAAGCAAGACCATGAACCTGCCAGAGGGAACAAACTGGACATATCTGAAGGAACAAACTCTGGACATAAAACCTTTAAGTGCTGTAACACTCACCGTAAGGGTCTGCAGTTTCATTCTTGAAGTGAGCAAGACCATGAACCTGCCAGAAGGAAGAAACTGTGGACACACCTGAAGGAACAAACTCTGGACATAACACCTTTAAGTGCTGTAACACTCACCGTAAAGGACTGGAGCTTCATTCTTGAAGTGAGCAAGACAATGAACCTGCCAGAATGTAGAAACTCTGGACACATCTAAAGGAAAAAACTCTGGACATAACACCTTTAAATGCTGTAACACTCACCGTAAAGGTCTGCAGCTTCATTCTTGAACTGAGCAAGACCATGAACCTGCCAGAAGGAAGAAACTCTGGACACATCTGAAGGAACAAACTCTGGACATAACAGTTTTAAGAGCTGTAACACTCAGCGTAAAGGTCGGCACCTACATTCTTGAAGTGAGCAAGACCATGAACCTTCCAGAAGGAAGAAACTCTGGACATATCTGAAGGAACAAACTCTGGACATAACACCTTTAAGTGCTGTAACACTCACCGTAAAGGTCTGCAGCTTCATTCTTGAGTTCAGCAAGACCATGAACCTGCCAGAAGGAAGAAACTCTGGAGACATATGAAGGAACAAACTCTGGACATAACATCTTTCAGTGCTGTAACACTCACCGTAAAGGTCTACAGTTTCATTCTTGAAATGAGCAAGACCATGAACCTGCCACAAGGAAGAAACTGGACACATCTGAAGGAACAAACTCTGGACATAACACCTTTAAGTGCTGTAACACTCACAGTAAGTGTCTGCAGTTTCATTCTTGAAGTGAGCAAGACCATGAACCTGCCAGAAGGAAGAAACTCTGGACACATCTGAAGGAACAAACTCTGGACATAATACCTTTAAGTGCTGTAACACTCACCGTAAAGGTCTGCAGCTTCATTCTTGAAGTGAGCAAGACCATGAACCTGCCACAAGGAAGAAATTTTGGACACATCAGAATGAACAAACTATGGATATAACACCTTTAAGTGCTGTGACACTCACCGTAAAGGTCTGCAGCTTCATTCTGGAAGTGAGCAAGACCATGAACCTGCCAGAAGGAAGAAACTCTATACACATCTGATGGAAGAAACAATGGACATAACACTTTAACTGCTGTAACACTCACCAGCAAGGTCTGCAGCTTCATTCTTGAAGTGAGCAAGACAATGAACCTGCCCGAAGGAAGAAACTCTGGACACATCTGAAGGACCAAATTCAGGACATAACACCTTTATATGCTGTAACACTCACCGTAAAGGTCTGCAGCTTCATTCTTTTTTGAAGTGAGCAAGACCATGAACATGCCAGAAGGAAGAATATCTGGACACATCTGAAGGAACAAACTCTGGACATAACACCTTTAAGTACTGTAACACTCACTACTAAATTCTGCAGGTTCACTCTTGAAGTGAGCAAGACCAAGAACCTGCCAGATGGAAGAAACTCTGGACACATCTGAAGGAAAAAACTCTGGACCTAACACCTTTAAGTGCTGTAACACTCACCACTAAGGTCTACAGTTTCATTTTTGAAGTGAGCAAGACCATGAACCTGCCCGAAGGAAGAAACTCTGGACATATCTGAAGGACCAAACTCTGGACATAACACCTTTATATGCTGTAACACTCACCGTAGAGGTCTGCAGCTTCATTCTTTCTTGAAGTGAGCAAGACCATGAACCTGCCAGATGGAAGAAACTCTAGACACATCTCAAGGAAAAAACTCTGAACATAACACTTTTAAGTGCTGTAACAGTCACCACTACGGTCTGCAGCTTCATTCTGGAAGTGAGCAAGACCATGAACCTGCCAGAAGGAAGAAATTCTGGACACATCTGAAGGAACAAACTCTGGACATAACAACTATAAGTGCTGTAACACTCACCACTAAGGTCTGCAGCTTGATTCTTGAAGTGAGCAAGACCATGAACCTGCCAGAAGGAAGAAACTCTGGACACATCTGGAGGAACAAACTCTGGACATAACACATTTAAGTGCTGTAACACTCACCACTAAGGTCTGCAGCTTCATTCTTGAAGTGAGCAAGACCATGTGCCTGCCAGATGGAAGAAACTCTGGACACATCTGAAAGAACAAACTCTGGACATAACATCTTTCATTGTGTAACACTCACCGTAAAGGTCTACAGTTTCATTCTTGAAGAGAGCAAGACCATGAACCTGCCAGAAGGAAGAAACTGGACACATCTGAACTAACAAACTCTGGACATAACACCTTAAAGTGCTGTAACACTCACCGTAATGGTCTGCAGTTTCATTCTTGAAATGAGCAAGACCATGAACCTGCCAGAAGGAAGAAACTCTGGACACATCTGAAGGAACAAACTTTGGACATAACACAATTAAGTGCTGTAACACTCACCATCAAATTCTGCAGCTTCATTCTTGAAGTGAGCAAGACCATGAACCTGCCAGAAGGAAGAAACTCTGGACACATCTGAAGGACCAAACTCTGGGCATAACACTGTATGTGCTGTAAAACCCACCGTAATGGTCTGCAGCTTCATTTTTCTTGAAGTGAGCTAGACCATGAACCTGTCAGAAGAAAGAAACTCTGGACACATCTGAAGGAACAAACTGTGGACATAACACTTTTAAGTGCTGTAACACTCACCCTAAAGGTCTGCAGCTTCATTCTTGAAGTGAGCAAGACCATGAACCTGCCAGAAGGAAGAAATTCTGGACACATCCGAATGAACAAACTCTGGACATAACACCTTTAAGTGCTGTAACACTCTATCAGTAAGGTCTGCAGCTTCATTCTTGACGTGATCAAGACCATGAATCTGCCAGAAAGAAGAAACTCTGGACACATCTGAAGGAACAAACTCTGGACATAACACCTTTAAATGCTGTAAAACTCACCGTAAAGGACTGCAGCTTCATTCTTAAAGTCAGCAAGACCATGAACCTGCCCGAAGGAAGAAACTCTGAATATAACTGAAGGACCAAACTCTGGACATAACAGCTTTATATGCTGTAACACTCACCATAAAGGTGTGCAGCTTCATTCTTGAAGTGAGCAAGACCATGAACCTGCCAGAAGGAAGAAACTCTGGACATATCTGAAGGAACAAACTCTGGATATAACACCTTTAAGTGCTGTAAAACTCACCGTAAGGGTCTGCAGTTTCATTCTTGAAGTGAGCAAGACCATGAAACTGCAAGAAGAAAGAAAATCTGGACACATCTGAAGGAACAAATTCTGGATATAACACCTTTAAGTACTGTAACATTCACCGTAAAGGTCTGCAGCATCATTCTTGAAGTGAGCAAGACCATGAACCTGCCAGATGGAAGAAACTCTGCACACATCACAAGGAACAAACTCTGGACATAACACCTTTAAGTGCTGTAACACTCACCACCAAGGTCTGCAGCTTCATTCTTGAAGTGAGCAAGACAATGAACCTGCCAGAAGGAGGAAACACTAAACACATCAGATGGAACAAACTCTGGACATAACACATTTAAGTGCTGTAACACTCACCATACAAGTCTGCAGCTTCATTCTTGAAGTGAGCAAGACCATGAACCAGCCCGAAGGAAAAAATTCTGGACACATCTGAAGGACCAAACTCTGGACATAACACCTTTATATGCTGTAACACTCACCGTAAAGGTCTGCAGCTTCATTCTTTCTTGAAGTGAGCAAGACCATGTACAGGACAGAAGGAAGAATATCTGGACACATCTGAAGAAACAAACTCATGGACATAACACCTTTATGTGCTGTAACACTCACCACTAAATTCTGCAGCTTCACGCATGAAGTGAGCAAGACCATGAACCTGCCAGATGGAAGAAACTCTGGACACATCTGAAGGAATAAACTCTGGACGTAACACCTTTAAGTGCTGTAACACTCAACACTAAGGTCTGCAGCTTCATTCTTGAAGTGAGCAAGACCATGAACCTGCCTGAAGGAAGAAACTCTGGACACATCTGAAGGAACAAACTCTGGACATAAAACTTTTAAGTGCTGTAACACTCACCATAAAGGTCTGCAGCTTCATTCTTGAAGTAAGGAAGACCATGAACCTGCCAGAAGGAAGAAATTCTGGACACATCTGAAGGAACAAACTCTGGATATAACAAATTTAAGTGCTGTAACACTCACCGTAAATGTCTGCAGCTTCATTCTTGAAGCTAGCAAGACCATGAACCTGCCAGAAGGAAGAAACTCTGGACACATCTGAAGGAACAAACTCTGGACATAATACCTTTAAGTGCTGTAACACTAACCTTAAAGGTCTGCAGTTTCATTCTTGAAGTGAGCAAGACCATGAACCTGCCAGAAGGAAGAAACTCTGGACACAACTGAAGGAACAAACTCCGGACATAACACCTTTAAGTGATGTAAAACTCACCATAAACGTCTGGAGCTTCATTCTTGAAGTGAGCAAGACCATGAACCTGCCAGAAGGAAGAAACTCTATACACATCTGATGAAACAAACTCTGGACATAACACCTTTAAGTGCTGTAACACTCACCACCAAGGTTTACAGCTTCATTCTTGAAGTGAGCAAGACAATGAACCTGCCCGAAGGAAGAAACTCTGGACACATCTGAATGACCAAACTCTGGACATAACACCTTTAAGTGCTGTAACACTCACCGTCAAGGTCTGCAGTTTCATTCTTGAAGTGAGCAAGACCATGAACCTGCCAGAAGGAAGAAACTCTGGACACATCTGAAGGAACAAACTCTGGACATAACAGCTTTAAGTGCTGTAAAACTCAACGTAAAGTTCTGCAGCTTCATTCTTGAAGTGAGCAAGACCATGAACCTGCAAGAAGGAAGAAACTCTATACACATCTGATGGAACAAACTCTGGACATAACACCTTTAAGTGCTGTAACACTCCCCACCAAGGTCTGCAGCTTCATTCTTGAAGTGAGCAAGACCATGAACCTGCCAGATGGAAGAATATCTGGACACATCTGAATGAACAAACTCTAGACATAACACCTTTAAGTGCTGTGACACTCACCGTAAAGGTCTGCAGCTTCATTCTTGAAGTGAGCAAGACCATGAACCTGCCAGGAGGAAGAAACTCTTGACACATCTAGATGAACAAACTCTGGACATAACACCTTTAAGTGCTGTAACACTCACTACTAAGGTCTGCAGCTTCATTCTTGAAGTGAGCAAGACCATGAACCTGCCAGACGGAAGAAACTCCGAACACATCTGAATCAAGAGCCTCTGGACATAACACCTTTAAATAATGTAACACTCACCGTAAAGTTCTGCAGCTTCATTCTTGAAGTGAAGAAGACCATGAACCTGCCAGAAGGAAGAAACTCTGGACACATCTGAAGGAACAAACTCTGGACATAACACCTTTAAGTGCTGTAACACTCACCGCTAAGGTCTGCAGCTTCATTCTTGAAGTGAGCAAGACCAAGAACCTGCCAGAAGGAAGAAACTCTGGACACATCTGAAGGAACAGACTCTGGACATAACACCTTTAAGTGCTGTAAAACTCACCACTAAGTTCTGCAGCTTCTTTCTTGAAGTGAGCAAGACCATGAACCTGCCAGAAGGAAGAAACTCTGGACACATCTGAAGGAACAAACTCTGGAAATAACATCTTTCAGTGCTGTAACACTCACCGTAAAGGTCTACAGTTTCATTCTTGAAGTGAGCAAGACCATGAACCTTCCAGAAGGAAGAAACTGGACATATATGAAGGAAAAACTCTAGACATAACCCTTTAAGTGCTGTAACACTCACCGTAAGGGTCTGCAGTTTCATTCTTGAAGTGAGCAAGACCATGAACCTGCCAGAAGGAAGAATCTCTGGACTTATCTGAAGGAACAAACTGTGGACATAAAAACTAAAGGGCTGTATCGCTCACCACTAAGGTCTGAAGCTTCATTCTTGAAGTGAGCAAGACCATGAACCTGCCAGAAGGAAGAAACTCTGGACACATCTGAAGGAACAAACTCTGGGCATAACTCCTTTAAGTGCGGTAAAACACACCGCTAATGTCTGCAGCTTCATTCTTGAAATGAGCAAGTACATGAACCTGCCAGAAGGAAGGAACTCTAGACACATCTGATGTAACAAACTTTGGACATAACACCTTTAAGTGCTGTAACACTCACCACTAAGGTCTGCAGCTTTATTCTTGAAGTGAGCAATACCATGAACCTGCCAGAAGGAAGAAACTCTGCACACATCTGAAGGAACAAACTATGGACATAACACCTTTAAGTGCTGTAAAACTCACCACTAACTTCTGCAGCTACATTCTTGAAGGGAGCAAGACCATGAACCTGCCAGAAGGAAGAAACTCTGGACACATCTGAAGGAGCAAACTCTGGACATAATATTTTTCAGTGCTGTAACACTCACCGTAAAGGTCTACAGTTTCATTCTTGAAGTGAGCAAGACCATGAACCTTCCAGAAGGAAGAAACTGGACACATCTGAAGGAACAAAGTCTAGATATAACACCTTTAAGTGCTGTAACACTCACCGTAAGGGTCTGCAGTTTCATTCTTGAAGTGAGCAAGACCATGAACCTACCAGAAGGAAGAAACTCTGGATATATCTGAAGGAACAAACTCTGGACATAAAAACTTAAGTGCTGTAACGCTCACAACTAAGGTCTGCAGCTTCATTCTTGAAGTGAGCAAGACCACGAACCTGCCAGAAGGAAGAAACTCTGGACACATCTGAAGGAACAAACTCTGGACATAACACCTTTAATTGCTGTAAAACTCACCACTAAGGTCTGCAGCTTCATTCTTGAAGTGAGCAAGACCATGAACCTGCCAGAAGGAAGAAACTCTGAACACATCTGAAGGAACAAACTCTGGACATAACACCTTTAAGTGCTATGACACTCACCGTAAAGTTCTGCAGCTTCATTCTTGAAGTGTGCAAGACCATGAACCTGCCAGAAGGAAGAAACTCTGGACACATCTGAAGGAAAAACTCTGGACATAACACCTTTAAGTGCTGTAACCCTCACCACCTAGGTCTGCAGCTTCATTCTTGAAGTGAGCAAGACCATGAACATGCCTGAAGGAAGAAACTCTGGACACATCTAAAGGAACAAACTCTGGACATAAAATTTTCAAGTGCTGTAACACTCACCCTAAAGGTCTGCAGCTTCATTCTTGAAGTGAGCAAGACCATGAACACGCCAGAAGGAAGAAATTCTGGACACATCTGAAGGAACAAACTCTGGATATAACAAATATAAGTGCTGTAATACTCACCGTAAATGTCTGCAGCTTCATTCTTGAAGTGAGCAAGACCATGAACCTGCCAGAAGGAAGAAATTCTGGACACATCAGAAGTAACAAACTCTGGGCTTAATACCTTTAAGTGCTGTAACACTCAACACTAAGGTCTGCAGCTTCATTCTTGAAGTGAGCAAGACCATGAACCTGCCAGAAGGAAGAAACTCTGGACACATCTGTAGGAAAAAACTCTGGACATAACACCTTTAAGTGCTGTAACCCTCACCACTAAGGTCTGCAGCTTCATTCTTGAAGTGACCAAGACCATGAACGTGCGAGATGGAAGAAACTCTGGAAATATCTGAAGGAAAAAACTCTGGACATAACATCTTTCAGTGCTGTAACACTCACCTTAAAGGTCTAAAGTTTCATTCTTGAAGTGAGCAAGAGCATGAACTTGCCAGGAGGAAGAAACTGGACACATCTGCAGGAACAAACCCTGGACATAACACCTTTAAGTGCTGTAACACTCACCATAATGGTCTGCAGTTTCATTTTTGAAGTGAGCAAGACCATGAACCTGCCAGAAGGAAGAAACTCTGGACACATCTGAAGGAACAAACTCTGGACATAACACTTTTTAGTGCTGTAACACTCACCGTAAAGGACTGGAGCTTCATTCTTGAAGTGAGCAAGACCATGAACCTGCCCGAAGAAAGGAACTCTGGACACATCTGAAGGAACAAACTCTGGACATCACACCTTTAAGTGCTGTAACACTCACCACCTAGGTCTGCAGCCTCATTCTTAAAGTGAGCAAGAACATGAACCTGCCAGAAGGAAGAAACTCTGGACACATCTGAAGGAACAAACTTTGGACATAACACTTTATATGCTGTAACAATCACCGTAAAGGTCTGCAGCTTCATTCTTACTTGAAGTGAGCAATACCATGAACATGCCAGAAGGAAGAAACTCTAGACACATCTTACGGAACAAACTCTGGATATAACAACTTTAATTGCTGTAACACTCACCGTAAATGTCTGCAGCTTCATTCTTGAAGTAAGCAAGACCATGAACCTGCCAGAAGGAAGAAAGTCTATACACATCTGATGGAACAAACTCTGGACATAACACTTTTAAGTGCTGGAACACTCACCACCAAGGTGTGCAGCTTCATTCTTGAAGTGAGCAAGACCATGAACCTGCTAGAAGAAAGAAACTCTGGACAAAACTGAAGGAACAAACTCTGAACATAACACTTTTAAGTGCTGTAAAACTCACCGTAAAGGTCTGGAGATTCAATCTTGAATTGAACAAGGCCATGAACCTGAGAGAAGAAGGAAACTCTGGACACATCTGAAGGAACAAACTCTGAATATAACAACTTTAAGTGCTGTAACACTCACCGTAAAGGTCTGCAGCTTCATTCTTGGAGTGAACAAGTCCATGAACCTGCCAGAAGGAAGAAACTCTATACACATCTGATGGAACAAACTCTGAACATAACACCTTTAAGTGCTCTAACACTCACCACCAAGGTCTGCAGCTTTATTCTTGAAGTGAGCAATACCATGAACCTGCCCGAAGGAAGAAACTCTGGACACATCTGAAGGACTAAACTCCGTACATAACAACTTTATATGCTGTAACACTCACCGTAAAGGTCTGCACCTTCATTCCTTCTTGAAGTGAGCAAGACCATGACCCTGCAAGAAGGAAGAATATCTGGACACATCTGAAGGAACAAACTCTGGACATAACACATTTAAGTGCTGTAACACTCACCACTAAATTCTGCAGCTTCACTCTTGAAGTGAGCAAGACCTTGAACCTGCCAGATGGAAGAAACTCCGGACACATCTGAAAGAAAAAACTCTGGACATAACACCTTTAATTGCTGTAACATTCACCACTAAGGTCTGCAGCTTCATTCTTGAAGTGAGCAAGACCATGAACCTCCCAGAAGGAAGAAACTCAGAACACATCTGAAGGAACAAACTCTGGACATAACACCTTTAAGTGCTGTAACGCTCACCACCTAGGTCTGCAGCTTCATTCTTGAAGTGAGCAAGACCATGAACCTGCCAGAAGGAAGAAACTCTGGACACATCTGAAGGAACAAACTCTGGACATAAAACTTTTAAGTGCTGTAACACTCACCTAAAGGTCTGCAGCTTCATTCTTGAAGTAAGCAAGACCATGAACCTGCCAGAAGGAAGAAATTCTGGACACATCTGAAGGAACAAATTCTGGATATAACAAATTTAAGTGCTCTAACACTCACCGTAAATGTCTGCAGCTTCATTCTTGAAGTGAGCAAGACCATGAACCTGCCAGAAGGAAGAAACTCTGGACACATCTGAAGGAAAAAACTCTGGATAAAACAACTTTAAGTGCTTTAACCCTCAACAGTAAGGTCTGCAGCTTCATTCTTGAAGTGAGAAAGACCATGAATCTGCCAGAAAGAAGAAACTCTGGACACATCTGAAGGAACAAACTCTGGACATAACACCTTTAAATGCTGTAAAACTCACCGTAAAGGACTGCAGCTTCATTCTTAAAGTCAGCAAGACCATGAACCTGCCCGAAGGAAGAAACTCTGAATATAACTGAAGGACCAAACTCTGGACATAACAGCTTTATATGCTGTAACACTCACCATAAAGGTGTGCAGCTTCATTCTTGAAGTGAGCAAGACCATGAACCTGCCAGAAGGAAGAAACTCTGGACATATCTGAAGGAACAAACTCTGGACATGACATGTTTCAGTGCTGTAACACTCACCGTAAGGGTCTGCAGTTTCATTCTTGAAGTGAGCAAGACCATGAACCTGCCAGAAGGAAGAAACTCTGGACACATCTGAAGGAACAATCTCTGGACATAACACTTTTAAGTGCTGTAACACTCAAAACTAAGGTCTGCAGCTTCATTCTTGAATTGAGCAAGACCATGAACCTGCCAGAAGGAAGAAACTCTGGACACATCTGTAGGAAAAAACTCTGGACATAACACCTTTATATGCTGTAGCACTCACCGTAAAGGTCTGCAGCTTCATTCTTTCTTGAAGTGAGCAAGACCATGAACCTGCCAGAAGGAAGAATATCTGGACACATCTGAAGTAACAAACTATGGACATAACACTTTTAAGTGCTGTAACACTCACCACTAAATTCTGCAGCTACACTCTTGAAGTGAGCAAGACTATGAACCTGCCAAATTGAAGAAACTTTGGACACATCTGAAGGAACAAACTCTTTACATAACATCTTTAGGTGCTGGAACACTCACCACTAAGGAATGCAGCTTCATTCTTGAAGTGAGCAAGACCATGAACCTGCCAGAAGGGAGAAACTCTGGACACATCTGAAGTAACAAACTCTGGGCATAATACCTTTAAGTGCTGTAACACTCATAACTAAGGTCTGTAGCTTCATTCTTGAAGTGAGCAAGACCATGAACCTGCCAGAAGGAAGAAACTCTGGACACATCTGTAGGAAAAAACTCTGGACATAACACCTTTAAGTGCAGTAACACTCACCACTAAGGTCTGCAGTTTCATTCTTGAAGTGACCAAGACCATGAACCTGCCAGATGGAAGAAACTCTGGAAATATCTGAAGGAAAAAACTCTGGACATAACATCTTTCAGTGCTGTAACACTCACCGTAAAGGTCTACAGTTTCATTCTTGAAGTGAGCAAGACCATGAACCTGCCAGGAGGAAGAAACTGGACACATCTGAAGGAACAAACTCTGGACATAACACCTTTAAGTGCTGTAACACTCACCGTAATGGTCTGCAGTTTCATTTTTGAAGTGAGCAAGACCATGAACCTGCCAGAAGGAAGAAACTCTGGACACATCTGAAGGAACAAACTCTGCACATAACACCTTTAAGTGTTGTAACACTCACCGTAAAGGACTGGAGCTTCATTCTTGAAGTGAGCAAGACCATGAACCTGCCAGAAGAAAGGAACACTGGACACATCTGAAGGAACAAACTCTGGACATCACACCTTTAAGTGCTGTAACACTCACCACCTAGGTCTACAGCCTCATTCTTAAAGTGAGCAAGACCATGAACCTGCCAGAAGGAAGAAACTCTGGACATATCTGAAGGAACAAACTTTGGACATAACACTTTATATGCTGTAACAATCACCGTAAAGGTCTGCAGCTTCATTCTTTCTTGAAGTGAGCAAGACCATGAACATGCCAGAAGGAAGAAACTCTAGACACATCTTACGGAAGAAACTCTGGACATCACACCTTTAAGTGCTGTAACACTCACCACCTAGGTCTGCAGCCTCATTCTTAAAGTGAGCAAGACCATGAACCTGCCAGAAAGAAGAAACTCTGGACACATCTGAAGGAATAAACTCTGGACATAACACTTTATATGCTGTAACACTCACCGTAAATGTCTGCAGCTTCATTCTATCCTGAAGTGAGCAAGACCATGAACATGCCAGAAGGAAGAAACTCTAGACACATCTTATGGAACAAACTCTGGATATAACAACTTTAAGTGCTGTAACACTCACCGTAAATGTCTGCAGCTTCATTCTTGAAGTGAGCAATACCATGAACCTGCCAAAAGGAAGAAAGTCTATACACATCTGATGGAACAAACTCTGGACGTAACACCTTTAAGTGCTGTAACACCCACCACCAAGGTGTGCAGCTTCATTATTGAATTGAACAAGACCATGAACCTGCCAGAAGGAAGAAACTCTGGACAAAACTGAAGGAACAAACTCTGGACACAACACTTTTAAGTGCTGTAAACCTCACCGTAAAAGTCTGGAGATTCATTCTTGAAGTGAGCAAGGCCAGGAACCTGAGAGAAGAAGGAAACTGTGGACACATCTGATGGAACAAACTCTGGACATAACACCTTTAAGTGCTGTAACACTCACCACCAAGGTCTGCAGCTTTATTCTTGAATTGAGCAAGACCATGAACCTGCTCGAAGAAGAAACTCTGGATACATCTGAAGGACCAAACTCCGTCCACAACACCTTTATATGCTGTAACACTCACCGTAACGGTCTGCATCTTCATTCTTTCTTGAAGTGAGCAAGACCATGACCCTGCAAGAAGGAAGAATATCTGGACACATATGAAGGAACAAACTCTGGACATAACACCTTTAAGTGCTGTAACACTCACCACTAAATTCTGCAGCTTCACTCTTGAAGTGAGCAAGACCATGAACCTGCCAGAAGGAAGAAACTCTGGACAAATCTGAAGGAAGAAACTCTGGACATAACACCTTTAAGTGCTGTAACACTCACCACTAAATTCTGCAGCTTCACTCTTGAAGTGAGCAAGACCATGAACCTGCCAGAAGGAAGAAACTCTGAACACATCTGAAGGAACAAACTCTGGACATAACACATTTAAGTGCTTTAACACTCACCGTAAAGGCCTGCAGCTTCATTCTTGAAGTGAGCAAGACCATGAACCTGCCAGAAGAAACAAACTCTGGACACATCACAAGGAGCAACCTCTGGAAATAACACCTTTAAGTGCTGTAACACTCACCACTAAGGTCTGCAGCTTCATTCTTGAAGTGAGCAAGACCATGAACCTGCCAAAAGGAATAAAGTCTGGACACATCTGATGGAAAAAACTCGGGACATAACACCTGTAAGTACTGTAACACTCATCGTAAAGGTCTGTAGTTTCATTCTTGAAGTGAGCAAGACCATAAACCTGCCAGAAGGAAGAAACTCTGGACACATCTGAAGGAAAAAACTCTGGACATAACACCTTTAAATGCTGTAACCCTCACCACTAAGGTCTGCAGCTTCATTCTTGAAGTGAGCAAGACCATGAACCTGCCAGAAGGAAGAAACTCTGGACACATCTGGAGGAACAAACTCCGGACATAACACCTTTAAGTGCTGTAACACTCACCGTAAAGGAATGGAGGTTCATTCTTGAAGCTAGCAAGACCATGAACCTGCCAGAAGGAAGAAACTCTGTACACATCTGAAGGAAAAAACTCTGGACATAATACCTTTAAGTGCTGTAACACTCACCTAAAAGGTCTGGAGCTTCATTCTTGAAGTAAGCAAGAACATGAAACTGCCAGAAGAAGGAAACTCTGGACACAACTGAGAGGAAAAATCTCTGGACATAACACCTTTAAGTGCTGTAAAACTCACCGTAAAGGTGTTATATCCAGAGTTTCTTCCTTCAGATGTGTCCAGAGTTTCTTTCTTCTGGCAGGTTCATGGTCTTGCTCACTTCAAGAATGAATGAAGCTGCAGACATTTACGTTGAGTGTTACAACATATAAAGGTGTGATGTCCAGAGTTTGGTCCTTGAGATGTGTCCAGAGTTTCTTCCTTCGTGCAGGTTCATGGTCTTGCTCACTTCAAGAATGAAGCTGCAGAAATTATTGGTGACGGTTACAGCACTTAAAGTTGTTATGTCCAGAGTTTTTTCCTTCAGATGTGTCCAGAGTTTCTTCCTTCTGGCAGGTTCATGGTCTTGCTCAATTCAGGAATGAAGCTGCAGACCTTAGTGGTGAGTGTTACAGCACTTAAAGTGTTATGTACAGAGTTTGTTCCTTCAGATATGTCCAGAGTTTCTTCCTTCTGGCAGGTTCATCGTCTTGCTCACTTCAAGAATGAAGCTGCAGACCTTAGTGCTGAGTGTTACAGCACTTAAACGTGTTATGTAAAGAGTTTGTTCCTTCAGATGTGTCCAAAGTTTCTTCAATCTGGCAGGTTCATGGTCTTGCTCACTTCAAGAATGAAGCTACAGACATTTACGGTGAGTGTTACAGCACTTAAAGTTGTTATATCCAGAGTTTGTCCCTTCAGATGTGTCCAGATTTTTTTCCTTCTGGCATGTTCATGGTCTTGCTTACTTCAAGAAATAAGGAAGATGCAGAACTCTACGGTGAGTGTTACAACACTCTAAAGCGTGTTATGTCCAGAGTTTGTTCCTTCAGATGTGTCCAGAGTTTCTTCCTTCTGGCAGGTTCATGGTCTTGCTCACTTCAAGAATGAAGCTGCATACATTTACGGTGAGTGTTACAGCACTTAAAGGTGTTATGTCCAGAGTTTGTTCCTTCAGATGTGCCCAGAGTTTCTTGCTTCTGGCAGATACATGGTCTTGCTCACTTCAAGAATGAAGCTGCAAACCTTTACGGTGAGTGTTACAACACTTAAAGTTGTTATGTCCAGAGTTTTTTCCTTCAGATGTGTACAGAGTTTCTTCCTTCCGGCACGTTCATGATCTTGCTCACTTCAAGAATGAAGCTGCAGAAGTTAGTTGTGAGTGTTACAGCGCTGAAAGGTGTTATGTCCAGAGGTTGTTCATTCAGATGTGTCCGGAGTTTCTTCCGTCTGGCAGATTCATCGTCTTGCTCACTTCAAGAATGGAGCTGCAGACCGTAGTGGTGAGTGCTACAGCACTTAAAGGTGTTATGTCCAGAGTTTGTTCATTTAGATGTGTCCAGAGTTTCTTCCTTCTGGCAGGTTCATGGTCTTGCTGACTTCAAGAATAAAGCTGCAGACCTGTACGTTGAGTGTTACAGCACTTAAAGGTGTTATGTCCATAGTTTGTTCCTTCTGATGTGTCCAGAGTTAATTCCTTCTGGCAGGCTCATGGTCCTGCTCACTTGAAGAATGAAGCTGCAGACCTTACTGGTGAGTGTTACAGCACTTAAAGTGTTATGTCCTGAGTTTGTTCATGCAGATGTGACCGGAGTTTCTTTCTTCTGGCAGCTTCATGGTCTTGCTCACCTCAAGAATGAAGCTGCAGACCTTAGTGGTGAGTGTTACAGCACTTAAAGGTGTTATGTACAGAGTTCGTTACTTAATATGTGTCCAGAGTTTCTTCATTCTGGCAAATTCATGGTCTTGCTCACTTCAAGAATGAAGCTGCATACCTTTATGGTGAGTGTTACAGCACTTAAAGGTGTTATGTCTAGAGTTTGTTCCTTCAGATGTGTGCAGAGTTTCTTCCTTCTGGCAGGTTCATGGTCGTGCTCACTTCAAGAATGAAGCTGCAGACCTTTACGGTGAGTGTTACAGCACTTAACGGTGTTAGGTCCAGAGTTTGTTTCTTCAGATGTGTCCAGAGTTTCTTCCTTCTGGCAGGTTCATGGTCTTGCTCACTTCAAGAATGAAGCTGCAGACCTTTACGGTGAGTGTTACAACACTTAAAGGTGTTAGTTCCAGAGTTTGTTCCTTCAGATAAGTCCAGAGATTCTTCCTTCTGGCACGTCCATGGTCTTGCTCACTTCAAGAATGAAACTGCAGACCCTTACGGTGAATGTTACAGCACTAAAAATTGTTATGTCTAGAGTTTCTTCCTTCATATGTGTCCAGTTTCTTCCTTCTGGAAGGTTCATGGTCTTGCTCACTTCAAGAATGAAACTGTAGACCTTTACGGTGAGTGTTACA
Organism: Homo sapiens; assembly: GCF_000001405.40. Lineage (NCBI taxonomy): Eukaryota > Metazoa > Chordata > Mammalia > Primates > Hominidae > Homo > Homo sapiens. The sequence goes on from NC_000024.10 coordinate 20,085,340, forward strand.
GCACTGAAAGATGTTATTTCCTGAGTTTGTTCCTTCAGATGTGTGCAGTGTTTCTTCCTTCTGGCAGGTTCATGGTCTTGCTCACTTCAAGAAAGAAGCTGCAGAACTTAGTGGTGAGTTTTACAGCACTTAAAGGTGTTATATCCAGAGTTTGTTCCTTCAGATGTGTCCAGAGTTTCTTCCTTCTGGCAGGTTCATGGTCTTGCTCACTTCAAGAATGAAGCTGCAGACCTTAGTGGTGAGTGTTACAACACTTAAAGGTGTTATTTACAGAGTTTGTTCCTTCAGATGTGTCCAGAGTTTCTTCCTTCTGGCAGGTTCATGGTCTTGCTCACTTCAAGAATGAAGATGGAGACCTTTACGGTGAGTGTTACAGCACATAAAGGTGTTATGTCCAGAGATTGTTCCTTCAGATGTGTCCAGAGTTTCTTCCTTCTGGCAGGTTCATGGTCTTGCTCACTTCAAGAATGAAGCTGCAGTCCTTTACGGTGAGTGTTACATCATTTAAAGGTGTTATATCCAGAGTTTTTTACATCAGATGTGTCTAGATTTCCTTCCTTCTGGGAGGTTCACGGACTTGCTCATTTCAAGAATGAAGCTGCAGACCTTAGTGGTGAGTTTTACAACACTTAAAGCTGTTATGTCCAGAGTTTGTTCCTTCAGGTGTGTCCAGAGTTTCTTCCTTCTCCAGGTTCATGGTCTTGCTCACTTCAAGAATGAAGCTGCAGACCTTAGTGGTGAGCGTTACAGCACTTAAGTTTTTATGTCCAGAGTTTGTTCCTTCAGATAAGTCCAGAGTTTCTTCCTTCTGGCAGGTTCATGGTCTTGCTCACTTCAAGAATGAAGCTGCGGACCTTAGTGGTGAGCGTTACAGCACTTAAGTTTTTATGTCCAGAGTTTGTTCCTTCAGATAAGTCCAGACTTTCTTCCTTCTGGCAGGTTCATGGTCTTGCTCACTTCAAGAATGAAGCTGCAGACCTTTACGGTGAGTGTTATAGCACTTAAAGGTGTTATGTCCAGAGTTTGTTCCTTCAGAAGTGTCCAGAGTTTCTTCCTTCTGACAAGTTCATGGTCTTGCTCACTTCAAGAATGAAGCTGCAGACCTTTACGGTGAGTGTTACAGCATTAATGGTGTTATGTACAGAGTTTGTTCCTTCAGATGTTTCCAGAGTTTCTTCCTTCTGGCAGGTTCATTGTCTTGCTCACTTCAAGAATGAAGCTGCAGACCTTAGTGGTGAGTGTTACAGCACTTAAAGTTGTTATGTCCAGGGTTTGTTCCTTCAGATGTGTACAGAGTTTCTTCCCTCTGGCTGGTTCTTGGTCTTGCTCACTTCAAGAATGAAGCTGCAGACCTTTACGGTGAGTGTTACAGCATTTAATGGAGTTATGTCCAGAGTTTCTTACATCAGATGTGTCTAGAACTCCTTCCTTCTGGGAGGTTCATGGACTTGCTCATTTCAAGAATGAAGCTGAAGACCTTAGTGGTGAGTTTTACAGCACTTAAAGGTGTTAGGTCCAGAGTTTGTTCCTTCAGATGTGTCCAGAGTTTCTTCCTTCTGGCAGGTTCATCGTGTTGCTCACTTCAAGAATGAAGCTGCAGACCTTAGTGGTGAGCGTTACAGCACTTAAGTTTTTATGTCCAGGGTTTGTTCCTTCAGATAAGTCCAGAGTTTCTTCCTTCTTGCAGGTTCATGGTCTTGCTCACTTCAAGAATGAAGCTGCAGAACTTAGTGGTGAGTTTTACAGCACATAAAGGTGTTATGTCCAGAGTTTGTTCCTTCAGATGTGTCCAGAGTTTCTTCCTTCTGGCAGGTTCATGGTCTTGCTCACTTCAAGAATGACGCGGCAGACCTTTACGGTGAGTGTTACAGCATTTAATAGTGTTATGTCCAGAGGTTGTTCCTTCAGATGTGTCCACTTTCTTCCTTCTGGCAGGTTCATGGTCTTGCTCACTTCAAGAATGAAACTGTAGACCTTTACGGTGAGTGTTACAGCAATGAATGATGCTATGTCCAGAGTTTGTTCCTTCAGATGTGTCCAGAGTTTCTTCCTTCTGGCAGGTTCATGGTCTTGCTCACTTCAAGAATGAAGCTGCAGTCCTTTACGGTGAGTGTTACAGCATTTAAAGGTGTTATGTCCAGAGTTTGTTCCTTCAGATGTGTCCAGAGTTTCCTCCTTCTGGCAGGTTCATGGTCTTGCTCACTTCAAGAATGAAGCTGCAGACCTTAGTGGTGAGTGTTACAGCACTTAAATTTGTTATGTCCAGAGTTTGTTCCTTCAGATGTGTCCAGAGTTTCTTCCCTCTGGCTGGTTGTTGGTCTTCCTCACTTCAAGAATGAAGCTGCATACCTTTACGGTGAGTGTTACAGCATTTAATGGAGTTATGTCCAGAGTTTCTTACATCAGATGTGTCTAGAGCTCCTTCCTTCTGGGAGGTTCATGGACTTGCTCATTTCAAGAATGAAGCTGAAGTCCTTAGTGGTGAGTATTACAACACTTAAAGGTGTTAGGTCCAGAGTTTGTTCCTTCAGATGTGTCCAGAGTTTCTTCCTTCTGGCAGGTTCATGGTCTTGCTCACTTCAAGAATGAAGCTGCAGACCTTAGTGCTGAGCGTTACAGCACTTAAGTTTTTATGTCCAGAGTTTGTTCCTTCAGATAAGTCCAGAGATTCTTCCTTCTGGCAGGTCCATGGTCTTGCTCACTTCAAGAATGAAACTGCAGACCCTTACGGTGAGTGTTACAGCACTTAAAATTGTTATGTCTAGAGTTTGTTCTTTCATATGTGTCCAGTTTCTTCCTTCTGGAAGGTTCATGGTCTTGCTCACTTCAAGAATGAAACTGTAGACCTTTACGGTGAGTGTTACAGCACTGAAAGATGTTATTTCCAGAGTTTGTTCCTTCAGATGTGTCCAGAGTTTCTTCCTTCTGTCAGGTTCATGGTCTTGCTCACTTCAAGAATGAAGCTGCAGAACTTAGTGGTGAGTTTTACAGCACTTAAGGTGTTATATCCAGAGTTTGTTCCTTCAGATGTGTCCAGAGTTTCTTCCTTCTGGCAGGTTCATGGTCTTGCTCACTTCAAGAATGAAGCTGCAGACCTTAGTGGTGAGTGTTACAACAATTAAAGATGTTATTTACAGAGTTTGTTCCTTCAGATGTGTCCAGAGTTTCTTCCTTCTGGCAGGTTCATGGTCTTGCTCACTTCAAGAATGAAGATGCAGACCTTTACGGTGAGTGTTACAGCACATAAAGGTGTTATGTCCAGAGTTTGTTCCTTCAGATGTGTCCAGAGTTTCTTCCTTCTGGCAGGTTCATGGTCTTGCTCACTTCAAGAATGAAGCTGCAGTCCTTTACGGTGAGTGTTACATCATTTAAAGGTGTTATGTCCAGAGTTATTTACATCAGATGTGTCTAATTTTCCTTCCTTCTGGGAGGTTCATGGACTTGCTCATTTCAAGAATGAAGCTGCAGACCTTAGTGGTGAGTTTTACAGCACTTAAAGCTGTTATGTCCAGAGTTTGTTCCTTCAGATGTGTCCAGAGTTTCTTCCTTCTCCAGGTTCATGGTCTTGCTCACTTCAAGAATGAAGCTGCAGACCTTAGTGGTGAGCGTTACAGCACTTAAGTTTTTATGTCCAGAGTTTGTTCCTTCAGATAAGTCCAGAGTTTCTTCCTTCTGGCAGGTTCATGGTCTTGCTCACTTCAAGAATGAAGCTGCGGACCTTAGTGGTGAGCGTTACAGCACTTAAGTTTTTATGTCCAGAGTTTGTTCCTTCAGATAAGTCCAGAGTTTCTTCCTTGTGGCAGGTTCATGGTCTTGCTCACTTCAAGAATGAAGCTGCAGACCTTAGTGGTGAGCGTTACAGCACTTAAGTTTTTATGTCCAGAGTTTGTTCCTTCAGATAAGTCCAGAGATTCTTCCTTCCGGCAGGTCCATGGTCTTGCTCACTTCAAGAATGAAACTGCAGACCCTTACGGTGAGTGTTACAGCACTTAAAGGTATTATGTCCAGAGTTTGTTCCTTCAGATGTGTCCAGAGTTTCTTTCTTCTGGCAGGTTCATGGTTTTGCTCACTTCAATAATGAATCTCCAGTCCTTTACGGTGAGTGTTACAGCACTTAATGGTGTTATGTCCAGAGTTTATTCCTTCAGATGTGTCCAGAGTTTCTTCCTTCTGGCAGGTTCATGGTCTTGCTCACTTCAAGAATGAAGCTGCAGACCTTAGTGGAGAGTGTTACAGCACTTAAAGGTGTTATGTAAAGAGTTTGTTCCTTCAGATGTGTCCAAAGTTTCTTCAATCTGGCAGGTTCATGGTCTTGCTCACTTCAAGAGTGAAGCTGCAGAATTTAGTGGTGAGTGTTACAGCACTAAAAGGTGTTATGTCCAGAGTTTGTTACATCAGATGTGTCCAGATATTCTTCCTTCTGTCATGTTCATGGTCTTGCTCACTTCAAGAAAGAATGAAGCTGCAGACATTTACAGTGAGTGTTACAGCATATAAAGGTGTTATGTCCAGAGTTTGGTCACTCAGATGTGTCCAGAATTTTTTCCTTCGGGCTGGTTCATGGTCTTGCTCACTTCAAGAATGAAGCTGCAGACCTTGGTGGTGAGTGTTACAGCACTTAAATTTGTTATGTCCAGAGTTTGTTCCATCTGATGTGTATAGTGTTACTTCCTTCTGGCAGGTTCATGGTCTTGCTCACTTCAAGAATGAAGCTGCAGGCCTTAGTGGTGAGTGTTACAGCACTTAAAGGTGTTATGTCCAGAGTTTGTTCCTTGTGATGTGTCCAGAGTTTCTTCCTTCTGGCAGGTTCATGGTCTTGTTCTCTTCAGGAATGAAGCTGCAGACCTTAGCGGTGAGCGTTACAGCACTTAAAGGTTTTATGTCCAGAGTTGTTCCATCAGATGTGTCTAGAGTTTCTTCCTTCTGGCAGGTTCATGGTCTTGCTCTCTTCAAGGATGAAGCTGCAGACTTCAGTGGTGAGTGTTACAGCTCTTAAAGGTGTTATGTAAAGAGTTTGTTACTTCAGATGTGTCCAAAGTTTCTTCAATCTGGCAGGTTCATCGTCATGCTCACTTCAAGAGTGAAGCTGCAGAATTTAGTGGTGAGTGTTACAGCACTTAAAGTTGTTATGTCTAGAGTTTGTTACTTCAGATGTGTCCAGATATTCTTCCTTCTAGCAAGTTCATGGTCTTGCTCAGTTCAAGAAAGAATGAAGCTGCAGACCTTAGTGGTGAGTGTTACAGCACTTAAAGGTCTTATGTCCAGAGTTTGTTCCTTCAGTTGTGTCCAGAGTTTCTTCCTTCTTTCAGGTTCATGGTCTTGCTCACTTCAAGAATGAACCTGCAGACCTTGGTCGTGAGTGTTACAGCACTTACAGGTGTTATGTTCCGAGTTTGTTCCATCAGATGTGTCCAGAGTTTCTTCCTTTTGGCAGGTACATGGTCTTGCTCATTTCAAGAATGACGCTGCAGATCTTAGTGGTGAGTGGTAGAGCACTTAAAGGTGTTATGTAAAGAGTTTTTTCCTTCAGATGTTTCCAAAGTTTCTTCAATCTGGCAGATTCATGGTCTTGCTCACTTCAAGAATGATGTTGCAGAGCTTTACGGTGAGTGTTACAGCACTTAAAGGTGTTATATCCAGAGTTTCTTCCTTCAGATATGACCAGAGTTCCTTACTTCTGGCAGGTTCATGGTCTTGCTCACTTCAAGAATGAATGAAGCTGCAGACCTTTACGTTGAGGGTTACAGCATATAAAGGTGTTATGTCCAGAGTTTGGTCCTTGAGATGTGTCCAGAGTTTCTTCCTTCTGGCAGGTTCATGGTCTTGCTCACTTCAAGAATGAAGCTGCAGACATTTACGGTGAGGGTTACAGCATTTAAAGCTGTTATGTCCAGAGTTTTTTCCTTCAGATGTGTGCAGAGTTTCTTCCTTCTGGCAGGTTCATGGTATTGCTCACTTCAAGAATGAAGCTGCAGACCTTAGTGGTGAGGGTTACAGCACTTAAAGGTGTTATGTCCAGAGTTTATTCCTTCAGATGTGTCCAGAGTTTCTTCCTTCTGGCAGGTTCATGGTCTTGCTCACTTCAAAATGAAGCTGCAGACCTTAGTAGTGAGTGTTACAGCACCTAAATGTGTTATGTCCAGAGTTTTTTCCTTCAGATATGTCCAGAGTTTCTTCTATCTGGCAGGTTCATGGTCTTGCTCACTTCAAGAGTGAAGCTGCAAAATTTAGTGGTTATTGTTACAGCACATAAAGGTGTTATGTCCAGAGTTTGTTCCTTCAGATGTGTCCAGATATTCTTCCTTCTGGCATGTTCATGTTCTTGCTCACTTCAAGAAAGAATGAAGCTGCAGACCTTTACGGTGAGTGTTACAGCATATAAAGGTGTTATGTCCAGAGTGTGGTTCTTCAGATGTGTCCAGAATTTCTTCTTTCGGGCAGGTTCATGGTCTTGCTCACTTGAAGAATGAAGCTGCAGACCTTGGTTGTGAGTGTTACAAAACTTAAAGGTGTTATGTGCAGAGTTTGTTCCATCAGATGTGTATAGAGTTTCTTCCTTCTGGCAGGTTCATGGTCTTGCTCACTTCAACAATGAAGCTCCAGAACGTTACGGTGAGTGTTACGGTACTTAATGTTGTCATGTCCAGGGTTTGTTCCTTCAGATGTGTCCAGAGTTTCTTCATTCTGTCAGGTTCATTTTCTTGTTCTCCTCAATAATTAAGCTGCAGACCTTAGTGGTGAGCGTTACCGTACTTAAAGGTTTTATGTTCAGAGTTTGTTCCATAAGATGTGTCCAGAGTTTCTTTCTTATGGCAGGTTCATGGTCTTGCTCACTTCAAGGATGAAGCTCCAGACCTTTACGGTGAGTTTTACAGCACTTAAAAGCGTTATGTCCAGAGTTTGTTCCTTCAGTTGTGTCCAGAGTTTCTTCCTTCTTTCAGGTTCATGGTCTTGCTCACTTCAAGAATGAACCTGCAGACCTTGGTCGTGAGTGTTACAGCACTTACAGGTGTTATGTTCCGAGTTTGTTCCATCAGATGTGTCCAGAGTTTCTTCCTTTTGGCAGGTACATGGTCTTGCTCATTTCAAGAATGACGCTGCAGATCTTAGTGGTGAGTGGTAGAGCACTTAAAGGTGTTATGTAAAGAGTTTTTTCCTTCAGATGTTTCCAAAGTTTCTTCAATCTGGCAGATTCATGGTCTTGCTCACTTCAAGAATGATGTTGCAGAGCTTTACGGTGAGTGTTACAGCACTTAAAGGTGTTATATCCAGAGTTTCTTCCTTCAGATATGACCAGAGTTTCTTTCTTCTGGCAGGTTCATGGTCTTGCTCACTTCAAGAATGAATGAAGCTGCAGACCTTTACGTTGAGTGTTACAGCATATAAAGGTGTTATGTCCAGAGTTTGGTCCTTGAGATGTGTCCAGAGTTTCTTCCTTCGGGCTGGTTCATGGTCTTGCTCACTTCAAGAATGAAGCTGCAGACATTATTGGTGAGGGTTACAGCACTTAAAGTTGTTATGTCCAGAGTTTTTTCCTTCAGATGTGTCTAGAGTTTCTTCCTTCTGGCAGGTTCATGGTCTTGCTCAATTCAGGAATGAAGCTGCAGACCTTAGTGGTGAGTGTTACAGCACTTAAAGGTGTTATGTACAGAGTTTGTTCCTTCAGATGTGTCCAGAGTTTCTTCCTTCTGGCAGGTTCATGGTCTTGCTCAGTTCAAGAATGAAGCTGCAGACCTTAGTGGTGAATGTTACAGCACTTAAATGTGTTATATAAAGAGTTTGTTCCTTCAGATGTGTCCAAAGTTTCTTCAATCTGGCAGGTTCATGGTCTTGCTCACTTCAAGAATGAAGCTGCAGACCTTTAGGGTGAGTGTTACAGCACTTAAAAGTGTTATGTCCAGAGTTTGTTCCTTCATATGTGGCCAGAGTTTCTTCCTTCTGGCAGGTTCATGGTCTTGCTCACTTCAAGAATGAAGCTGCAGACCTTTACGGTGAGTGTTACAGCATTTAAACGTGTAATCTCCAGAGTTTGTTCCTTTAGATGTGTCCAGAGTTTCTTCCTTCAGGCAAGTTCATGGTCTTGCTCACTTCAAGAATGAAGCTGCGGACCTTAGTGGTGAGGGTTACAGCACTTAAAGGTGTTATGTCCAGAATTTTTTCCTTCAGATGTGTCCAGAGTTTCTTCCTTCTGGCAGGTTCATGGTCTTGCTCACTTCAAGAATGAAGCTGCAGACCTTAGTGGTGAGGGTTACAGCACTTAAAGGTGTTATGTCCAGAGTTTTTTCCTTCAGATGTGTCCAGAGGTTCTTCCTTCTGGCAGGTTCATGGTCTTGCTCAATTCAAGAATGAAGCTGCAGACCTTAGTGGAGAGTGTTACAGCACTTAATGGTGTTATGTCCAGAGTTTTTTCCTTCAGATGTGTCCAGAGTTTCTTCCTTCTGGCAGGTTCATGGTCTTGCTCAATTCAAGATTGAAGCTGCAGACCTTAGTGGTGAGTGTTACAGCAGTTAAAGGTGTTTTGTCCAGAGTTTTTTCCTTCAGATGTGTCCAGATTTTCTTCCATCTGGCAGGTTCATGGTCTTGCTCACTTCAAGAGTGAAGCTGCATAATTTAGTGGTGATTGTTACAGCACTTAAAGGTGTTATGTCCAGAGTTTGTTCCTTCAGATGTGTCCAGATATTCTTCCTTCTGGCATGTTCATGGTCTTGCTCAGTTCAAGAAAGAATGAAGCTGCAGACATTTACGGTGAGTGTTACAGCACTTAAAGTTGTTATATCCAGAGTTTGTTCCTTCAGATGTGTCCACAGTTTTTTTCTTCTGGCAGTTTCATGGTCTAGCTCACTTCAAGAAAGAATGAAGCTGCAGACCTTTACGGTGAGTTTTACAGCATATAAAGGTGTTATGTCCAGAGTTTGGTCATTCAGATGTGTCCAGAGTTTCTTCCTTCGGGCAGGTTCATTGTCTTGCTCACTTCAAGAATGAAGCTGTAAACCTTGGTGGTGAGTGTTACAGCACATAAAGGTGGTATGTCCAGAGTTTATTCCATCAGATTTGCATAGTGTTTCTTCCTTATGGCAGGTTAATGGCCTTGCTCACTTCAAGAATGAAGCTGCAGACCATTACGGTGAGTGTTACAGCAGTTAAAGGTGTTATATCCAGAGTTTGTTCCTTCATATGTGTCCAGAGTTTCTTTCTTCTGGCAGGTTCATGGACTAGCTCACTTTAAGAAGGAAGCTCCAGACTTTTACGGTGATTTTTAAGTCACTTAAATGTGTTATGTCCAGAGTTTGTTCCTTCAGTTCTGTCCAGAGTTTCTTCCTTCTGGCAGGTTCATGGTCTTGCTCACTTCAAGAATGAAACTGCAGACCTTTACGGTGAGTGTTACAGCACTTAAAGGTATTATGTCCAGAGTTTGTTCCTGCAGATGTGTCCAGAGTTTCTTCCTTCTGGCAGATTCATGGTCCTGGTCACTTCAAGAATGAAACTGCAGACCATTACCGTGAGTGTTACAGCACTTAAAGGTGTTATGTGCAGAGTTTGCTCCTTCAGATGTGTCCAGTTTCTTCCTTCTAGCAGGTTCATGGTCTTGCTCACTTGAAGAATGAAACTGTAGACCTTTACGGGTAAGTGTTACAGCACTGAAAGAATGAAGCTGCAGAGATTTACGGTGAGTGTTACAGCATATAAAGGTGTTATTTCCAGAGTGTGGTCCTTCAGGTATGTCCAGAGTTTCTTTCTTCTGGCAGGTTCATGGACTTACTCACTTCAAGAATGAAGCTCCAGACATTTAGGGTGAGTGTTACACCACGTAAAAGTGTTATGTCCAGAGTTTGTTCCTTCAGATGTGGCCAGAGTTTCTTCCTTCTGGCAGGTTCATTTGTCTTGCTCACTTCAAGAATGAAACTGTAGACATTTACGGTGAGTTTTACAGCACTGAAAAATGTTATGTCCAGAGTTTGTTCCTTCAGATGTGTCCAGAGTTTCGTCCTTCTGGCAAGTTCAAGGTCTTGCTAACTTCAAGAATGAAGCTGCAGACATTTACGCTGAGTGTTACAGTACGTAAATGTGTCATGTCCAGAGTTTGTTAATTCAGATTTGGCCAGAGTTTCTTCCTTCTGCAGGTTCATGGTCCTGCTCACTTCAACAATGAAGCTGCAGACCTTTACGGTGAGTGTTACAGCACTTAAAAGTGTTATGTCCAGAGTTTGTTCCTTCAGATGTGTCCAGAGTTTCTTTCTTCTGGCAGGTTCATGGTCTTCCTCACTTCAATAATGAAGCTCCAGTCCTTTACGGTGAGTGGTACAGCACTTAAAGGTGTTATGTCCAGCGTTTGTTCCTTCAGATGTGTCCAGAATTTCTTCCTTCTGGCAGTTTCATGGTCTTGCTCCCTTCAAGAATGAAGCTGCAGACATTAGTGGTGAGTGTTACAGCACTTAAAGGTGTTATGTCCAGAGATTTTGCCTTCAGATGTGTCCAGAATTTCTTTCATCTGGCAGGTTCATGGTCTTGCTCACTTCAAGAGTGAAGCTGCAGAATTTAGTGGTGAGTGTTACAGCACTTAAAGGTGTTATGTCCAGAGTTTGTTCCTTCAGATGTGTCCATAGTTTCTTTCTTCTGGCAGTTTCATGGTCTTGCTCACTTCAAGAAAGAATGAAGCTGCAGACTTTTACGGTGAGTTTTACAGCATATAAAGTTGTTATGTCCAGAGTTTGTTCCTTCAGATGTGTATAGAGTTTCTTCCTTCTGGCAGGTTCATGGTCTTGCTCACTTCAAGAATGAAGCTGCAGACCTTTAGGGTGAGTGTTACACCACTTAAAAGTGTTATGTCCAGAGATTGTTCCTTCAGATGTGGCCAGAGTTTCTTCCTTCTGGCAGGTTCATGGTCTTGCTCACTTCAAGAATGAAGCTGCCGACCTTTGCGGTGAGTGTTACAGCATATAAAGGTGTTATGTCCAGAGTTTGTTTCCTTCAGATGTGTCCAGAGTTTCTTCCTTCTGGCAGGTTCATGTTCTTGCTCACTTCAAGAATGAGGCTGCAGACCTAGGTGGTGAGTGTTACAGCACTTAAAGGTGTGATGTCCAGAGTTTGTTCCTTCAGATGTGTCCAGAGTTCCTTTCTTCTGACAGGTTCATGTTCTTGCTGACTTCAAGAATGAAGTTGCAGTCCTTTACGGTGAGTGTTACAGCACTTAAAAGTGTTATGTCCAGAGTTTTTTCCTTCAGATGTGTCCAGAGTTTCTTCCTTCTGGCAGGTTCATGGTCTTGCTCACTTCAAAAATGAAACTGGAGACCATTACGGTGAGTGTTACAGCACTTAAAGGTGTTATGTCCAGAGTTTGTTCCTTCAGATGTGTCCAGTTTCTTCCTCCTGGCAAGTTCATGGTCTTGCTCACTTCAAGAATGAAACTGTAGACCTTTACGGTGAGTGTTACAGCACTGAAAGATGTTATGTCCAGAGTTTTTTCCTTCAGATATTTCCAGAGTTTCTTCCATCTGGCAGGATCATGGTCTTGGTCACTTCAAGAATGAAGCTGCAGACCTTAGTGGTGAGGGTTACAGCACTTAAAAGTGTTATGTCCAGAGTTTTTTCCTACAGATGTGTCCAGAGTTTCTTCCTTCTGGCAGGTTCATGGTCTTGCTCACTTCAAGAATGAAGCTACAGACCTTAGTGGTGAGTGTTACAGCACTTAAAGGTATTATGCCCAGAGTTTGTTACTTCAGATGTGTATAGAGTTTCTTCCTTCTGGCAGGTTGATGGTCTTGCTCACTTTAAGAATGAAGCTGCAGACATTTACGGTGAGTGTCACAGCACTTAAAGGTGTTATGTCCAGAGTTTGTTCATTCAGATGTGTCCAGAATTTCTTCCTTCTGGCAGGTTCATGGTCTTGCTCACTTCAAGAATGAAGATGTAGACATTTAGGGTGAGTGTTACGGCACTTAAAAGTTTTATGTCCAGAGTTTGTTCCTTCAGATGTGGCCAGAGTTTCTTCCTTCTGGGAGGTTCACGGTCTTGCTCACTTCAAGAATGAAGCTGCAGACCTAGGTGGTGAGCGTTACAGCACTTAAAGGTGTTATGTCCAGAGTTTCTACCGTCAGATACGTCTAGAGTTTCTTCCCTCTGGCAGGTTCATGGTCTTGCTCACTTCAAGAATGAAGCTGCAGACCTTGGTGGTGATTGTTACAGCAGTTAAAGGTGTTTGTCCTGAGTTTGTTCCATCGGATGTGTATAGAGTTTCTTCCTTCTGGCAGGTTGATGGTCTTGCTCACTTCAAGAATGAAGCTGCAGACCTTTACGGTGAGTGTCACAGCACTTAAAGGTGTTATGTCCAGAGTTTGTTCATTCAGATGTGTCCAGAATTTCTTCCTTCTGGCAGGTTCATGGTCTTGCTCACTTCAAGAATGAAGATGCAGACATTTAGGGTGAGTGTTACGACACTTAAAAGTTTTATGTCCAGAGTTTGTTCCTTCAGATGTGGCCAGAGTTTCTTCCTTCTGGCAGGTTCATGGTCTTGCTCACTTCAAGAATGAAGCTGCAGACCTAGGTGGTGAGCGTTACAGCACTTAAAGGTGTTATGTCCAGAGTTTGTACCGTCAGATACGTCTAGAGTTTCTTCCCTCTGGCAGGTTCATGGTCTTGCTCACTTCAAGAATGAAGCTGCAGACCTTAGTGGTGAGTGTTACAGTACTTAAAGTTGTTATGTCCAGAGTTTGTTCGTTCAGATGTGTCCAGAGTTTCTTCCATCTGGCAGGTTCATGGTCTTGCGCACTTCAAGAATGAAGCTGCAGACCTTTGAGGTGAGTGTTGCAACAATTAAAGGTGTTATGTCCAGGGTTTGTTCCTTCAGAGGTGTCCAGAGTTTCTTCCTTCTGGCAGGTTCATGGTCTTGCTCACTTCAAGAATGAAACTGTAGACCTTTACGGTGAGTGTTACAGCACTGAAAGATGTTATGTCCAGAGTTTGTTCCTTCAGATGTTTCCAGAGTTTCTTCCATCTGGCAGGTTCATGGTCTTGCTCACTTCAAGAATGAAGCTGCAGACCTTAGTGGTGAGGGTTACAGCACTTAAAGTTGTTTTATCCAGAGTTTTTTCCGTCAGATGTGTCCAGAGTTTCTTCCTTCTGGCAGGTTCATGGTCTTGCTCACTTCAAGAATGAAGCTGCAGACCTTAGTGGTGGGTGTTACAGCACTTAAAGGTATTATGCCCAGAGGTTGTTACTTCAGATGTGTCCAGAGTTTCTTCCTTCTGGCAGGTTCATGGTCTTGCTCACTTCAAGAATGAAGCTGCAGACATTTACGGTGAGTGTTACAGCACTTAAATTTGTTATATCCAGAATTTGTTCCTTCAGATGTGTCCAGAATTTCTTCCTTTTGGCAGGTTCATGGTCTTGCTTACTTCAAGAATGAAGCTGCAGACCTTTAGGGTGAGTGTTACAGCACTTGAAAGTTTTATGTCCAGAGTTTGTTCCTTTAGATGTGTCTAGAGTTTCTTCCTTCTGGCAGGTTCATGGTCTTGCTCACTTCAAGTAAGAATGAAGCTGCAGACCTTTACGGTGATTGTTACAGCATATAAAGTGTTATGTCCAAAGTTTGTTCCTTCAGATGTGTCCAGAGTTTCTTCCTTCTGGCAGGTTCATGTTCTTGCTCACTTTAAGAATGAGGCTGCAGACCTAGGTGGTGAGTGTTACAGCACTTAAAGGTGTGATGTCCAGAGTTTGTTCCTTCAGATGTGTCCAGAGTTTCTTTCTTCTGGCAGGTTCATGGTCTTGCTCACTTCAAGAATGAAGCTCCAGTCCTTTACGGTGAGTGTTACAGCACTTAAAAGTGTTATGTCCAGAGCTTTTTTCCTTCAGATGTGTCCAGAGTTTCTTCCTTCTGGCAGGTTCATGGTCTTGCTCACTTCAAAAATGAAACTGCAGACGATTACGGTGAGTGTTACAGCACTTAAAGGTGTTATGTCCAGAGTTTGTTCCTTCAGATGTGTCCAGTTTCTTCCTCCTGGCAAGTTCATGGTCTTGCTCACTTCAAGAATGAAACTGTAGACCTTTACGGTGAGTGTTACAGCACTGAAAGATGTTATGTCCAGAGTTTTTTCCTTCAGATATTTCCAGAGTTTCTTCCATCTGGCAGGATCATGGTCTTGGTCACTTCAAGAATGAAGCTGCAGACCTTAGTGGTGAGGGTTACAGCACTTAAAGGTGTTATGTCCAGAGTTTTTTTCTACAAATGTGTCCAGAGTTTCTTCCTTCTGGCTGGTTCATGGTTCTTGCTCACTTCAAGAATGAAGCTACAGACCTTAGTGGTGAGTGTTACAGCACTTAAAGGTATTATGCCCAGGGTTTGTTACTTCAGATGTGTCCAGAGTTTCTCCCTTCTGGCAGGTTCATGGTCTTGCTCACTTTAAGAATGAAGCTGCAGACATTTACGGTGAGTGTTACAGCACTTATATTTGTTGTATCCAGAGTTTGTTCCTTCAGATGTGTCCAGAATTTCTTCCTTCTGGCGGGTTCATGGTCTTGCTCACTTCAAGAATGAAGCTGCAGACCTTTAGGGTGAGTGTTACAGCACTTGAAAGTTTTATGTCCAGAGTTTGTTCCTTTAGATGTGTCCAGAGTTTCTTCCTTCAGGCAGGTTCATGGTCTTGCTCACTTTAAGAATGAAGCTGCAGACCTAGGTGGTGATCGTTACAGCATTTAAAGGTGTTATGTCCAGAGTTTTTCCTTCAGATGTGTCCAGAGTTTCTTCCTTCTGGCAGGTTCATGGTCTTGCACACTTCAAGAATGAAGCTGCAGAACTTTACGGTGAGTGTTATAGCACTTAAAGGTGTTATGTCCAGCGTTTGTTCCTTCAGATGTGTTCAGAGTTTCTTCCTTCTGGCAGGTTCATGGTCTTGCTCACTTCAAGAATGAAGCTGCAGACCTTAGTGGTGAATGTTACAGCAATTAAAGGTGTTATGTCCAGAGTTTTTTCTTTCAGATGTCTCCGGAGTTTCTTCCATCTGGCAGGTTCATGGTCTTGCTCACTTCAAGAGTGAAGCTGCAGAATTTAGTGGTGAGTGTTACAGCACTTAAATGTGTTATGTCCAGAGTTTGTTCCTTCAGATGTGTCCAGATATTCTTCCTTCTTGCAGGGTCAAGGTCTTGCTCACTTCAAGAAAGAATGAAGATGCAGACCTTTACGGTGAGTGTTACAGCATATAAAGTTGTTATGTACGGATTTAGTCCTTCAGATTTGTCCAGAGTTTCTTCCTTCGGGCATGTTCATGGTATTGCTCACTTCAAAAATAAAGCTGCAGACATTGGTGTTGAGTGTTACAGCACTTAATGGTGTTATGTCCAGCGTTTGTTCCATCAGATATGTATAGATTTTCTTCCTTCTGACAGGTTCATGGACTTGTTCACTTCAAGAACGAAGCTGCAGACCTTAGTGGTGAGTGTTACAGCACTTAAAGGTGTTGTGTCCAGAGTTTTTTCCTTCAGAAGTGTCCAGAGTTTCTTCCACCTGGCAGGTTCATGGTCTTGCTCACTTCAAGAGTGAGGCTGCAGAATTCAGTGGTGAGTGTTACGGCACTTAAAGGTGTTATGTCCAGAGATTGTTCCTTCAGATGTGTCCAGATATTCTTCCTTCTGGCAGGTTCATGGTGTAGCTCATTTCAAAAAAGAATTAAGATGCAAACCTTTACGGTGAGTGTTGCAGCATATAAAGGTGTTATATCCAGAGTTTGTTCCTTCAGATGTGTCCAGAATTTCTTCCCTCTGGCAGGTTCATGGTCTTGCTCACTTCACGAATGAAGCTGCAGACCTTTAGGGTTAGTGTTACAGCACTTAAAAATCTTATGTCCAGAGTTTCTTCCTTCAGATGTGGACAGAATTTTTTCCTTCTGGCAGGTTCATGGTCTTGCTCACTTCAAGAATGAAGCTGCAGACCTTTACGGTGAGTGCTACAGCATTTAAATGTGTTAAGTCCAGAGTTTATTCCTTCAGATGTGTACAGAGTTTCTTCCTTCTGGCATGTTCATGGTCTTGCTCACTTCAAGAATGAAGCTGCAGACCTAGGTGGTGAGTGTTACAGCACTTATAGGTGTTATCTCCAGAGTTTCTTCGGTCAGATGTGTCTAGAGTTTCTTTCTTCTTGCAGGTTCATGGTCTTGCTCACTTCAATAATGAAGCTGCAGACCTTAGTGGTGAGTGTTACAGCACTTAAGGTTGTTATGTCCAGAGTCTGTTCTTTCAGATGTGTCCAGAGTTTCTTCAATCTGGAAGGTTCACGGTCTTGCACACTTCAAGAATGATGCTGCAGACCTTTACGGTGAGTGTTACAACACTTAAAGGTGTTATATCCAGAGTTTGTTCCTTCAGATGTGTCCAGAGTTTCTTTCTTCTGACAGGTTCATGGTCTTGCTCACTTCAAGAAAGAATGAAGCTGCACACCTTTACTGTGAGTGTTACAGCATAGAAAGGTGTTATATCGAGAGTTTGGTCCTTCAGATGTGTCCAGAGTTTCTATCTTCGGGCAGGTTCATGGTCTTGCTCAATACAAGAATGAAGCTGCAGACCTTGGTGTTGAGTGTTACAACACTTAAAGGTGTTATGTCCCAGAGTTTGTTCCATGCAGATTTGCATAGAGTTTCTTCCTTATGGCAGGTTCATGGTCTTGCTCACTTCAAGAATGAAGCTGCAGACCTTAGTGGTGAGTGTTACAGTACTTAAAGGTGTTATGTCCAGAGTTTGTTCCTTCTGATGTGCGCAGAGTTTCTCCCTTTTGGCAAGTTCGTGGTCTTGCTCACCTCAAGAATGAAGCTGCAGGCCTTGGTCGGTGAGTGTTACAGCACTTACAGGTGTAATGTCCCGAGTTTGTTCCATCAGATGTGTCCAGAGTTTCTTCCTTTTGGCAGGTTCATCGTCTTGCTCACTTCAAGAATGAAGCTGCAGACCTTAGTGGTGAGTGTTACAGCACTTAAAGATGTTATGTCCAGGGTTTGTTCCTTGTGATGTGTCCAGAGTTTCTTCCTTCTGGCAGGTTCATGGTATTGCTAGCTTCAAGAATGAACCTCCAGTCCTTTACGGTGAGTGTTACAGCATTTAAAGGTGTTATGTCCAGAGTTTGTTCTTTCAGATTTGTCCACAGTTTCTTCCTTCTGGCAGGTTCATGGTCTTGCTCTCTTCAAGAATGAAGCTGCAGACCTTGGTGATGAGTGTTGCAGCACTTACAGGCGTTATGTCGCGAGTTTGTTCCATCAGATGTGTCCAGAGTTTCTTCCTTTTGGCAGGTTCATGGTCTTGCTCACTTCAAGAATGAAGCTGCAGACCTCAGTGGTGAGTGTTACAGCACTTAATGGTGTTATGTAAAGAGTTTGTTCCTTCAGGTGTGTCCAAAGTTTCTTCAGTCTGGCAGGTTCATGGTCTTCCTCACTTCAAGAGTGAAGCTGCAGAATTTAGTGGTGAGTGTTAACAGCACTAAAAGTTGTTATGTCCAGAGTTTGTTACTTCAGATATGTCCAGATATTCTTCCTTCTGGCAGGTTCATGGTCTTGCTCACTTCAAGAAAGAATGAAGCTGCAGACCTTTACGGTGAGTGTTACAGCATATAAAGGTGTTAAGTCCA
The DNA here is from genome assembly GCF_000001405.40 of Homo sapiens. Classification (NCBI taxonomy): domain Eukaryota; kingdom Metazoa; phylum Chordata; class Mammalia; order Primates; family Hominidae; genus Homo; species Homo sapiens. Next base: position 20,102,939 of record NC_000024.10, read on the forward strand.
GAGTTTGGTCCTTCAGATGTGTCCAGAATTTCTTCCTTCGGGCCGGTTCATGGTCTTGCTCACTTCAAGAATGAAGCTGCAGACCTTGGTGGTGAGTGTTACAGCACTTTAATGTGTTATGTCCAGAGTTTGTTCCATCAAATGTGTATAGAGTTTCTTCCTTCTGGCAGGTTCATGGTCTTCCTCACTTCAAGAATGAAGCTGCAGACCTTAGTGGTGAGTGTTACAGCACTTAAAGGTGTTATGTCCAGTGTTTGTTCCTTGTGATGTGTCCAGAGTTTCTTCCTTCTGGCAGGTTCATGGTCTTGCTCACTTCAGGAATTAAGCTGCAGACCTTTACGGTGAGTGTTACAGCACTTAATTTTGTCATGTCCAGAGTTTGTTCCTTCAGATGTGTCCAGAGTTTCTTCATTCTGGCAGGTTCATGGTCTTGTTCTCTTCAAGAATGAAGCTGCAGACCTTAGTGGTGAGTGTTACAGCACTTAAAGGTTTTATGTAAAGAGTTTGTTCCTACAGATGTGTCCAAAGTTTCTTCAATCTTTCAGTTTCATGGTCTTACTCACTTCAAGAGTGAAGCTGCAGAATTTAGTGGTGAGTGTTACAGCACTTAAAGGTGTTATGTCTAGAGATTGTTACTTCAGATGTGTCCAGATATTCTTCCTTCTGGCAGGTTCATGGTCTTGCTCACTTCAAGAAAGAATGAAGCTGCAGACCTTTACGGTGAGTGTTACAGCATATAACGGTGTTAAGTCCAGAGTTTGGTCCTTCAGATGTGTCCAGAATTTTTTCCTACGGGCTGGTTCAAGGTCTTGCTCACTTCAAGAATGAAGCTGCAGACCTTGGTGGTGAGTGTTACAGCACTTAAATGTGTTATGTCCAGAGTTTGTTCCATCTGATGTGTATAGAGTTTCTTCCTTCTGGCAGGTTCATGGTCTTGCTCACTTCAAGAATGAAGCTGCAGACCTTAGTGGTGAGTGTTACAGCACTTAAAGATGTTATGTCCAGAGTTTGTTCCTTGTGATGTGTCCAGAGTTTCTTCCTTCTGGCAGCTTCATGGTCTTGCTCACTTCAAGAATGAAGCTGCAGTCCTTTACGGTGAGTGTTACAGCACTTAATGTTGTCATGTCCAGAGTTTGTTCCTTCAGATGTGTCCAGAGTTTCTTCCTTCTGGCAGGTTCATGGTCTTGCTAGCTTCAAGAATGAACCTCCAGTCCTTTACGGTGAGTGTTGCAGCACTTAAAGGTGTTATGTCCAGAGTTTGTTCCTTCAGATGTGTCCAGATATTCTTCCTTCTGGCATGTTCATGGTCTTGCTCACTTCAAGAAAGAATGAAGCTGCAGACCTTTACGGTGAGTGTTGCAGCATATAAAGGTGTTATATCCAGAGTTTGGTTCTTCAGATGTGTCCAGAATTTCTTCTTTCGGGCAGTTCATGGTCTTGCTCACTTGAAGAATGAAGCTGCAGACCTTGGTGTTGAGTGTTACAGCACTTAAAGGTGTTATGTCCAGAGTTTGTTCCATCAGATATGTATAGAGTTTCTTCCTTCTGGCAGGTTCATGGTCTTGCTCACTTCAACAATGAAGCTCCAGACCGTTACGTTGAGTGTTACAGCACTTAAAGGTGTTATGTCCAGAGTTTGTTCCTTCAGATGTGTCCAGAGTTTCTTCCTTCTGGCAAGTTCATTGTCTTGCTCACTTCAAGAATGAAGCTGCAGATCTTGGTGGTGAGTGTTACAGCACTTACAGGTGTTATGTCCGAGTTTGTTCCATCTGATGTGTCTAGAGTTTCTTCCTTTTGGCAGGTTCATGGTCTTGCTCACTTCAAGAATGAAGCTGCAGACCTTGGTGGTGAGTGTTACAGCACTTAATTGTGTTATGTCCAGACTTTGTTCCATCTATTGTGTATAGAGTTTCTTCCTTCTGGCAGTTTCATGGCATTGCTCACTTCAAGAATGAAGCTGCAGACCTTAGTGGTGAGTGTTACAGCACATAAAGGTGTTATGTCCAGAGTTTGTTCCATCACATGTGTATAGAGTTTCTTCCTTCTGGCAGGTTGATGGACTTGCTCAATACAAGAATGAAGCTGCAGACCTTTACGGTGAGTGTTACAGCACTTAAAGGTGTTATATCCAGAGTTTGTTCCTTCAGATGTGTCCAGAGTTTCCTTCTTCTCTCAGGTTCATGGCCTTGCTCAATTCAAGAGTGAATCTCCGGACGTTTACGGCGAGTTTTACAGCAATTAAAAGTGTTATGTCCAGAGTTTGTTCCTTCAGTTTTGTGCAGAGTTTCTTCCTTCGGGCAGGTTCATGGTCTTGCTCACTTCAAGAATGAACCTGCAGACCTTGGTGGTGAGTGTTACAGCACTTAAAGGTGTTATGTCCAGAGTTTGTTCCATCAGATGTGTATAGACTTTCTTCCTTCTTGCAGGTTCATGGTCTTGCTCACTTCAAGAGTGAAGCTCCAGACCTTTACGGTGAGTTTTACAGCACTTAAAGCTGTTATGTCCAGAGTTTGTTCCTTCAGATGTGTCTAGAATTTCTTCCTTCTGGAAGTTTCATGGTCTTGCTCACTTCAAGAATGATGCTGCAGACATTTACGGTGAAAGTTACAGTACTTAAAGTTGTTATATCCAGTGTTTGTTCCTTCACATGTGTCCAGAGTTTCTTCCTTCTGGCAGGTTCATTGACTTGCTCACTTCAAGAATGAAATTGCAGACCTTTACGGTGAGTGTTACAGCACTTAAAGGTATTATGTCCAGAGTTTTTTCCTTCAGATGTGTACAGAGTTTCTTCCTTCTGGCAGGTTCATGGTCTTGCTAGCTTCAAGAATGAACCTCCAGTCCTTTATGGTGAGTGTTACAGCACTTAAAGGTGTTATGTCCAGAGTTTGTTCTTTCAGACGTGTCCAGAGTTTCTTCCTTCTGGCAGGTTCATGGTCTTTCTCACTTCAAGTATGAAGCTGCAGACCTTGGTGGTGAGTGTTACAGCACTTACAGGTGTTATGTCCCGAGTTTGTTCCATCAGATGTGTCCAGAGTTTATTCCTTTTGGCAGGTTCATGGTCTTGCTCACTTCAAGGATGAATCTGCAGACCTTAGTGGTGAGAGTTACATCACTTAAAGGTGTTATGTCCAGAGTATGTTCCTTCAGATGTGTCCAAAGTTTCTTCAATCTGGCAGGTTCATGGTCTTGCTCACTTCAAGAGTGAAGCTGCAGAATTTAGTGGTGAGTGTTACAGCACTAAAAGGTGTTATGTCCAGAGTTTCTTACTTCAGATGTGTCCAGATATTCTTCCTTCTGTCATGTTCATGGTCTTGCTCACTTCAAGAATGGAGCTGCAGACCTTAGTGGTGAGTTTTGCAGCATTTAAAGGTGTTAGGTCCAGAGTTTGTTCCTTCAGATGTGTCCAGAGTTTCTTCCTTCTGGCAGCTTCATGGTCTTGCTCACTTCAAGAATGAAGCTGCAGACCTTAGTGGTGACCGTTACAGCACTTAAGTTTTTATGTCCAGAGTTTTTTCCTTTAGATATATCTAGAGTTTCTTCCTTCTGGCAGGTTCATGGTCTTGCTCAATTCAAGAATGAAACTGCAGACCTTCCGGTGAGTGTTACAGCATATAAAGTTGTTATGTACGGAGATTAGTCCTTCAGATGTGTCCAGTTTCTTCTTTCGGGCAGGTTCATGGTATTGCTCACTTCAAGAATAAAGCTGCAGACCTTTACGGTGAGTGTTACAGCACTTAAAGGTGTTATGTCCAGCGTTTGTTCCATCAGATGTGCATAGATTTTCTTCCTTCTGGCAGGTTCATGGACTTCTTCACTTCAAGAATGAAGCTGCAGTCCTTTACGGTGAGTGTTACAGCACTTAAAGGTGTTATATACAGAGTTTGTTCCATAAGATGTGTCTAGAGTTTCTTCCTTCTGGCATGTTCATGGTCTTGCTCACTTCAAGAAAGAATGAAGCTGCAGACCATTACGGTGAGTGTTATAGCATATAAAGTGTTATGTCCAAAGTTTGTTCCTTCAGATGTGTCCAGAGTTTCTTCCTTCTGGCAGGTTCATGGTCTTGCTCACTTCAAGAATGAAGCTGCACACCTTAGCGGTGAGTGTTACAGTACTTAAAGGTGTTTTGTCCAGAGTTTTTTCCTTCAGATGTGTCCAGAGTTTCTTTCAACTTGCATTTTCATGGTCTTGCTCACTTCAATAGTGAAGCTGCAAAATTTAGTGGTGATTGTTACAGCACTTAAAGGTGTTATGTCCAGAGTTTGTTCCTTCAGATGTGTCCAGATATTCTTTCTTCTGGCATGTTCATGGTCTTGCTCACTTCAAGAAAGAATGAAGCTGTAGACCTTTACGGTGAGTGTTACAGCATATAAAGGTGTTATGTCCAGAGTTTTGTCCCTCAGATGTGTCCAGAATTTCTTCTTTCGGGCAGGTTCATGGTCTTGCTCACTTCAAGAATGAAGCTGCAGACCTTGGTGGTGAGTGTTACAGAACTTAAAGGTGTTATGTCCAGAGTTTCTTCCATTAGATATGTATAGAGTTTCTTCCTTCTGGCAGGTTCACGGTCTTGCTCACTTCAAGAATGAAGCTGCAGACCTTTACGGTGAGTGTCACAGCACTTAAAGGTGTTATGTCCAGAGTTTATTCATTCAGATGTGTCCAGAATTTCTTCCTTCTGGCAGATTCATGGTCTTGCTCACTTCAAGAATGAAGCTGCAGACCGTTAGGGTGAGTGTTACAGCACTTAAAAGTGTTATGTCCAGAGTTTCTTCCTTCGGATGTGTATAGAGTTTCTTCTTCTGGCAGGTTCATGGTCTTCCTCACTTTAGGAATGAAGCTGCACACCTTTACGGTGAGTGTTACAGCACTTAAAGGTGTTATATCCAGAGTTTGTTCCTTCAGATGTGTCCAGAGATTCTTTCTTCTGGCTGGTTCATGGACTTGCTCACTTCCAGAATGAAGTTCCAGACCTTATTGGTGAGTTTTACATCACTTAAAAGTGTTATGTCCAGAGTTTGTTCCTTCAGTTGTGTCCACAGTTTCTTCCTTCTGGCAGGTTCATGGTCTTGCTCACTTCAAGAACGAAACTGCAGACCATTACGGTGAGTGTTACAGCACTTAAAGGTGTTATGTCCAGAGTTTGTTCCTTCAGATGTGTCCAGTTTCTTCCTTCTGGCAGGTTCATGGTCTTGCTAGCTTCAAGAATGAAGCTGCAGACATTTTCGGTGAGTGTTACAGCATTTAATGTTGTTATTTCGAGAGTTTTTTCCTTCAGATGTGTCCAGAGTTTCTTCCTTCTGGCAGGCTCATGGTCTTGCTCACTTCAAGAATGAAGCTGCAGACCTTAGTGGTGAGCGTTACAGCACTTACGTTGTTATGTCCAGAGTTTGTAACTTTAGATGTGTCCAGAGTTTCTTCCTTCTGGCAGGTTCATGGTCTTGCTGACCTCATGAATGAAGCTGCAGACCTTTACGGTGAGTGTTAGAGCACTGAAAGATGTCATGTCCAGAGTTTGTTCCTTCAGATGTGTCCAGAGTTTCTTCCATCTGGCAGGTTCATGGTCTTGCTCATTTCAAGAATGAAGCTGCAGACCTTAGTGGTGAGTGTTACAGCACTTAAAGGTGTTATGTCCAGAGTTTGTTCCTTCAGATGTGTCCAGAGTTTCCTCCTTCTGGCAGGTTCATGGTCTTGCTCACTTCAAGAATGAAGCTGCAGACCTTAGTGGTGAGTGTTACAGCACTTAAAGTTGTTATATCCAGCGTTTGTTCGTACAGATGTGTCCAGAGTTTCTTCAATCTGGCAATTTCATGGTCTTGCTCACTTCAAGAATAATGCTGCAGACCTTTACGGTGAGTGTTACAGCACTTAAAGCTGTTGTATCCAGAGTTTGTTCCTGCAGATGTGTCCAGAGTCTCTTTCTTCTGGCAGGTTCATGGTCTTGCTCACTTCCAGAAAGAATGAAGCTGCAGACATTTACGGTGAGTGTTACAGCATGTAAAGGTGTTATGTCCAGAGTTTGGTCCTTCAGATGTGTCCAGAGTTTCTTCCATCTGACAGGTTCATGGTCTTGCTCACTTCAAGAGTGAGGCTTCAGAATTTAGTGGTGAGTGTTACAGCACTTTACGGTGTTATGTCCAAAGTTTTTTCTTTCAGATGTGTCCAGATATTCTTCCTTCTGGCAGGTTCATGGTGTTGCTCACTTCAACAATGAATGAAGCTGCAGACCTTTACGGTGAGTGTTACAGCATATAAATGTGTTATGTCCAGAGTTTGGTCCTTCAGATATGTCCAGAGTTTCTTCCTTCGGGCAGGTTCATGGTCTTGCTCACTTCAAGAATGAAGCTGCCGACCATGGTCGTGAGTGTTACAGCAGTTAAATGTGTTATATCCAGGGTTTGTTCCATCAGATGTGTATAGAGTTTCTTCCTTCTGGCCGGTTCATGGTCTTGCTCACTTCAAGAATGAAGCTGCCGACCTTTACGGTGAGTGTCACAGTACTTAAAGGTGTTATGTCCAGAGTTTGTTCCTTCAGATTTGTCCAGAATTTCTTCCTTCTGGCAGGTTCATGGTCTTGCTCACTTCAAGAATGAAGCTGCAGACCTTTAGGGTGAGCGTTACAGCACTTAAAAGTGTTATGTCCAGAGTTTGTTCCTTCAAATGTGGCCCGAATTTCTTCCTTCTGGTAGGTTCATCGTCTTCCTCACTTCAAGAATGAAGCTGTAGACCTTTACGGTGAGTGTTACAGCATTTAAAGGTGTTAAGTCCAGAGTTTGTTCCTTCAGATGTGTCCAGAGTTTCTTCCTTCTGGCAGGTTCATGGTCTTGCTCACTTCAAGAATTAAGCTGCAGACCTAGGTGGTGAGTGTTACAGCAATTATAGGTATTATGTCCAGAGTTTGTTCCGTCAGATGTGTCTAGAGTTTCTTTCTTCTGGCAGGTTCATGGTGTTGCTCTCTTCAAGAATGAAGCTGCAGACCTTAGTGGTGAGTGTTACAGCACTTAAAGTTGTTATGTCCAGAGGTTGTTCGTTCAGATGTGTCCAGAGTTTCTTCAATCTGGCAGGTTCACGGTCTTGCTCACTTCAAGAATGATGCTGCAGACCTTTGCGGTGAGTGCTACAGCACTTAAAGGTGTTATATCCAGAGTTTGTTCCTTCAGATGTGTCCAGAGTTTCTTTCTTCTGGCAGGTTCATGGTCTTGCTCACTTCCAGAAAGAATGAAGCTGCAGACATTTACGGTGAGTGTTACAGCATATAAAGGTGTTATGTCCATTGTTTGGTCCTACAGATGTGTCCAGAGTTTCTTCCTTCGGGTAGGTTCAAGGTCTTGCTCAATTCAAAAATGAAGCTGCAGACCTTGGTGTTGAGAGTTACAGCACTTAAAGGTGTTATGTCCAGAGTTTGTTCCTTCAGATGTGCCCAGAGTTTCTTTCTTCTGGCAGGTTCTTGGTCTTGCTCACATCAATAATGAAGCTCCAGTCCTTTACGGTGAGTGTTACAGCACTTAAAGGTGTTATGTCCAGAGTTTGTTCCTTCAGATGTGTCCAGAGTTTCTTCCTTCTGGCAGGTTCATGGTCTTGCTCCCTTCAAGAATGAAGCTGCAGACCTTAGTGGTGAGTGTTACAGCACTTAAAGGTGTTATGTCCAGAGTTTCTTCCTTCAGATGTGTCCAGATTTTCTTCTATCTGGCAGGTTCATGGTCTTGCTCACTTCAAGAGTGAAGCTGCAGAATTCAGCGGTGAGTGTTACAGCACTTAAAGGTGTTATGTCCAGAGTTTGTTCCTTCAGATTTGTCCAGATATTCCTAATTCTAGCATGCTCATGGTCTTGCTCACTTCAAGAAAGAATGAAGCTGCAGACCTTTAAGGTGAGTGTTACAGCACTTAAAGGTATGATATCCAGAGTTTGTTCCTTCAGATGTGTCCAGAGTTTCTTTCTTCTGGCAGTTTCATGGTCTTGCTCACTTCAAGAAAGAATGAAGCTGCAGACATTTACGGTGAGTTTTACAGCATATAAAGGTGTTATGTCCAGAGTTTGGTCATTCAGATGTGTCCAGAGTTTCTTCCTTCGGGCAGGTTCATTGTCTTGCTCACTTCAAGAATGAAGCTGTAATCCTTTAGTTGGTGAGTGTTACAGCACTCAAAGGTGTTATGTCCAGAGTATGTTCCATCACATGTGTAGAGTGTTTCTTCCTTCTGGCCGGTTCATGGTCTTGCTCACTTCAAGAATGAAGCTGTAAACCTTGGTGGTGAGTGTTACAGCACTCAAAGGTGTTATGTCCAGAGTTTGTTCCATCACATGTGTAGAGTGTTTCTTCCTTCTGGCAGGTTCATGGTCTTGCTCACTTCAAGAATGAAGCTGTAAACCTTGGTGGTGAGTGTTACAGGACTCAAAGGTGTTATGTCCAGAGTTTGTTCCATCACATGTGTAGAGTGTTTCTTCCTTCTGGCAGGTTCATGGTCTTGCTCACTTCAAGAATGAAACTGCAGACCATTACTGTGAGTGTTACAGCACTTAAAGGTATTATGTCCACAGTTTATTCCTTCAGATGTGTCCAGAGTTTCTTCCTTCTGGGAGGTTCATGGTCTTGCTAGCTTCAAGAATGAAGCTGCAGACCTTTAAGCTGAGTGTTACAGCATTTAAAGGTGTTATGTCCAGAGTTTCTTCCTTCAGATGTGTCCAAAATTTCTACCTTCTGGCAGGTTCATGGCCTTGCTGACTTCAAAGAATGATGCTGCAGACCTTAGTGGTGAGGTTACAATCCTTAAAGATGTTATGTCCAGAGTTTGTTCATTAACAGGTGTCCAGACTGTCTTCCTTCTGGCAGGTTCATGCTCTTGGTCACTTCAAGAATGAAGCTGCAGACCTTTACGGTCAGTGTTACAGCACTTAAAGGTGTTAGGTCTAGAGTTTGTTCCTTCAGATGAGACCAAAAATTCTTCCTTCTGGCACGATCATGGTGTTGCTCACTTCAAGAATGTAGGAGCAGCCTTAAGTGGTGAGTCCCGCAGCGCTTGATGGGTGTTATGTCCAAAGTTTGTTCATATATATGTGTCCGAAGTTTCTTCCTTGTGGCAGGTTCATGGTCTTGTTCTCTTCAAGAATGAAGCTGCAGAAATTAGTGGTGAGTGTTACAGCACTTATAGGTGTTATGTCCAGAGTTTATTCCTTCACATGTGTCCAGAGTTTCCTCCTTCTGGCAGGTTCATGGCATTGCTGACTTCAAGAATCTCGCTGCAGACCTGTCCGGTGAGTGTTACAGCACTTAAAGGTGTTATGTCCAGAGTTTATTCATTCAGATGTGTCCAGAATTTCTTCCTTCTGGCAGATTCATGGTCTTGCTCACTTCAAGAATGAAGCTGCAGACCGTTAGGGTGAGTGTTACAGCACTTAAAAGTGTTATGTCCAGAGTTTCTTCCTTCGGATGTGGCCACAGTTTCTTCTTCTGGCAGGTTCATGGTCTTCCTCACTTCAAGAATGAAGCTGTAGACCCTTACGGTGAGTGTTACAGCACTTAATGTTGTCATGTCCAGGTATTTTTCCTTCAGATGTGTCCAGAATTTCTTCATTCTGGCTGGTTCATGGTCTTGTTCTCTTCAAGAATGAAGCTGCAGACCTTATTGGTGAGCGTTACAGCACTTAAAGGTTTTATATCCAGAGTTTGTTCCATAAGATATGTCTAGAGTTTCTTCCTTCTGGCTGGTGCATGATCTTGCTCACTTCAAGAATGAAGCTGCAGACCTTAGTGGTGAGAGTTACAGCACTTAAAGGTGTTATGTACAGAGTTTGCTCCTTGTGATGTGTGCAGAGTTTCTTCCTTCTGGCAGGTTCATGGTCTTGCTCACTTCAAGAATGATGCTGCAGACCTTTACGGTGAGTGTTACAGCTCTGAAAGGTGTTATATCCAGAGTTTGTTCCTTCAGATGTGTCCAGAGTTTCTTTCTCCTGGCAGGTTCATGGTCTTGCTCACTTCAAGAATGAAGCTCCAGACCTTTACGGTGAGTTTTACAGCACTTTGAGGTGTTATGTCCAGAGTTTGTTCCTTCAGTTGTGTCCAGAGTTTCTTCCTTCTGGCAGGTTCATGGTCTTGCTCGCTTCAAGAATGAAGCTGCAGACCTTGGTCGTGAGTGTTACAGCACTTACAGGTGTTATGTCCCGAGTTTGTTCCATCAGATGTGTCCAGAGTTTCTTCCTTTTGGCAGGTACATGGTCTTGCTCATTTCTAGAATGAAGCTGCAGACCTTAGTGCTGAGTATTACAGAACTTAAAGGTGTTATGTAAAGGGTTTGTTCCTTCAGATGTGTCAAAAGTTTCTTCCATCTGGCAGGTTCATGGTCTTGCTCACTTCAAGAATGATGTTGCAGAGCTTTACGGTGAATGTTACAGCACTTATAGCTGTTATATCCAGATTTTGTTCCTTCAGATGTGTCCAGAGTTTCTTTCTTCTGGCAGGTTCATGGTCTTGCTCACTTCAAGAATGAATGAAGCTGTAGACATTTACGTTGAGTGTTACAGCATATAAAGGTGTTATGTCTAGAGTTTGGTCCTTCAGATATGTCCAGAGTTTCTTCCTTCGGGCAGGTTCATGGTCTTGCTCACTTCAAGAATGAAGCTGCAGACATTATTGTTGAGGGTTACAGCACTTAAATGTGTTATGTCCAGAGTTTTTCCTTCAGATATGTCCAGAGTTTCTTCCTTCTGGCAGGTTCATGGTCTTGCTCAATTCAAGAATGAAGCTGCCGACCTTAGTGGTGAGTGTTACAGCACTTTAAGGTGTTATGTCCAGAGTTTGTTCCTTCAGATGTGTCCAGAGTTTCTTCCTACTGGCACGTTCATGGTCTTGCTCACTTCAAGAAAGAAGCTGCAGACCTTAGTGGTGAGTGTTACAGTACTTAAAGGTGTTATGTCCAGAGTTTTTTCCTTCAGATGTGTCCAGAGTTTCTTTCATCTGGCAGGTTCATGGTCTTGCTCACTTCAAGAGTGAAGCTGCAAAATTTATTGGTGATTGTTACAGCACCTAAATGTGTTATGTCCAGAGTTTGTACCTTCAGATGTGTCCAGATATTCTTCCTTCTGGCATGTTAATGGTCTTGCTCACTTCAAGAAAGAATGAAGCTGCAGACCTTTACGGTGAGTGTTACAGCATATAAAGGTGTTATGTCCAGAGTTTGGTCCTTCAGATGTGTCCAGAATTTCTTCTATCGGGCAGGTTCATGGTCTCGCTCACTTCAAGAATGAAGCTGCAGACCTTATTGGTGAGGGTTACAGCACGTAAAGGTGTTATGTCCAGAGTTTTTTCCTTCAGATGTGTGAAGAGTTTCTTCCTTCTGGAAGGTTCATGGTCTTGCTCACTTCAAGAATGAAGCTGCAGACCTTAGTGGTGAGGGTTACAGCAGTTAAAGGTGTTATGTCCAGAGTTTATTCCTTCAGATGTGTCCAGAGTTTCTTCCTTCTGGCAGGTTCATGGTCTTGCTCACTTCAAGAATGAAGCTGCAGACCTTAGTAGTGAGTGTTACAGCACTTAAAGGTGTTATGTCCAGAGTTTTTTCCTTCAGATGTGTCCAGAGTTTCTTTCATCTGGCAGGTTCATGGTCTTGCTCACTTCAAGAGTGAAGCTGCAAAATTTAGTGGTTATTGTTACAGCACATAAAGGTGTTATGTCCAGAGTTTGTTCTTTCAGATGTGTCCAGATATTCTTCCTTCTGGCATGTTCATGGTCTTGCTCACTTCAAGAAAGAATGAAGCTGCAGACCTTTACGGTGAGTGTTACAGCATATAAAGGTGTTATGTCCAGAGTTTGGTTCTTCAGATGTGTCCAGAATTTCTTCTTTCGGGCAGGTTCATGGTCTTGCTCACTTGAAGAATGAAGCTGCAGACCTTGGTGTTGAGTGTTACAGCATTTTAAGGTGTTATGTGCAGAGTTTGTTCCATCAGATGTGTATAGAGTTTCTTCCTTCTGGCAGGTTCATGGTCTTGCTCACTTCAAGAGTGAAGCTGCAGAATTTAGTGGTGAGTGTTACAGCACTTAAAGGTGTTATGTCCAGAGTTTGTTCCTTCAGATGTGTCCAAAGTTTCTTCAATCTGGCAGGTTCATGGTCTTGCACACTTCAAGAGTGAAGGTGCAGAATTTAGTGGTGAGTGTTACAGCACTTAAAATTGTTATGTCCAGAGTTTGTTATTTCAGATGTGTCCAGATATTCTTCCTTCTGGCAGGTTCATGGTCTTGCTCACTTCAAGAAAGAATGAAGCTGCTGACCTTTACGGTGAGTGTTACAGCATATAAAGGTGTTTTGTCCAGAGTTTGGTCCTTCAGATGTGTCCAGAAGTTCTTCCTTCGGGCAGGGTCATGGTCTTACTCACTTCAAGAATGAACCTGCAGACCTTGATGGTGAGTGTTACAGCACTTAATTGTGTTATATCCAGACTTTGTTCCATCTGTTGTGTATAGAGTTTCTTCTTTCTGGCAGTTTTATGGCCTTGCTCACTTCAAGAATGAAGCTGCAGAACTTAGTGGTGAGTGTTACAGCACATAAAGCTGTTATGTCCAGAGTTTGGTCCATCACATATGTATAGAGTTTCTTCCTTCTGGCAGGTTGATGGACTTGCTCAATACAAGAACGAAGCTGTAGACCTTTACGGTGAGTGTTACAGCACTTAAAGGTGTTATATCCAGAGTTTGTTCCTTCAGATGTGTCCAGAGTTTCCTTCTTCTCTCAGGTTCATGGCCTTGCTCACGTCAAGAATGAATCTCCGGACGTTTACGGCGAGTTTTACAGCATTTAAAAGTGGTATGTCCAGAGTTGTTCCTTCAGTTTTGTTCAGAGTTTCTTCCTTCTGGCAGGTTCATGGTCTTGCTCACTTCAAGAATGAAGCTGCAGACCTTGGTGGTGAGTGTTACCGCACTTAAAGGTGTTATGTCCAGAGTTGGTTCCATCAGATGTGTCCAGAGTTTTTTCCTTCTGGCATGTTCATGGTCTTGCTCACTTCAAGAAAGAATGAAGCTGCAGAACTTTACGGTGAGTGTTACAGCATATAAAGTGTTGTGTCCAGAGTTTGTTCCTTCAGATGTGTCCAGAGTTTCTTCCTTCTGGCAGGTTCATTGTCTTGCTCACTTCAAGGATGAGGCTGCAGACCTAGGTGGTGAGTGTTACAGCACTTAAAGGTGTTATGTCCAGAGTTTATTCCTTCAGACGTGTCCAGAGTTTCTTTCTTCTAGCAGGTTCATGGTCTTGTTCACTTCAAGAATGAAGCTCCAGTCCTTTACGGTGAGTGTTACAGCACTTAAAGGTGTTATGTCCAGAGTTTGTTCCTTCAGATGTGTCCAGAGTTTCTTCCTTCTGGCAGGTTCAGGGTCTTGCTCACTTCAAGAATGAAACTGCAGACCATTACGGTGAGTGTTACAGCACTTAAAGGTGTTATGTCCAGAGTTTTTTCCTTCAGATGTGTCCAGTTTCTTCCTTCTGGCAGGTTCATGGTCTTACTCACTTCAAGAAGGAATCTGTAGACCTTTACGGTGAGTGTTCCAGAACTGAAAGATGTTATGTCCAGAGTTTGTTCCTTCAGATATTTGCAGAGTTTCTTCCATCTGGCAGGTTCATGGTCTTGCTCACTTCAAGAATGAAGCTGCAGACTTTGGTCGTGAGTGTTACAGCACTTACAGGTGTTATGTCCCGAGTTTGTTCCATCAGATGTGTCCAGAGTTTCTTCCTTTTGGCAGGTACATGGTCTTGCTCATTTCAAGAATGAAGCTGCAGACCTTAGTGTTGAGTGTTACAGCACTTAAAGGTGTTATGTAAAGTGTTTTTTCCTTCAGATGTGTCCAAAGTTTCTTCAATCTGGCAGGTTCATGGTTTGCTCACTTCAAGAATGATGTTGCAGAGCTTTACGGTGAGTGTTACAGCACTTAAAGTTGTTATATCCAGAGTTTGTTCCTTCAGATGTGTCCAGAGTTTCTTCCTTCGGGCAGGTTCATGGTCTTGCTCACTTCAAGAATGAATGAAGCTGCAGACCTTTACGTTGAGTGTTACAGCATATAAAAGTGTTATGTCCAGAGTTTGGTCCTTCAGATGTGTCCAGAGTTTCTTCCTTCGGGCAGGTTCATGATCTTGCTCACTTCAAGAATGAAGCTGCAGACATTATTGGTGAGGGTTACAGCACTTAAATGTGTTATGTCCAGAGTTTTTCCTTCACATATGTCCAGAGTTTCTTCCTTCTGGCAGGTTCATTGTCTTGCTCAATTCAAGAATGAAGCTGCCGACCTTAGTGGTGAGTGTTACAGCACTTTAAGGTGTTATGTCCAGACTTTGTTCCTTCAGATGTGTCCAGAGTTTCTTCCTACTGGCAGGTTCATGGACTTGCTCACTTCAAGAATGAAGCTGCAGACCTTAGTGGTGAGTGTTACAGTACTTAAAGTTGTTATTTCCAGAGTTTTTTCCTTCAGATGTGTCCAGAGTTTCTTCCATCTGGAAGGTTCATAGTCTTGCTCACTTCAAGAGTGAAGCTGCAAAATTTAGTGGTGATTGTTACAGCACTTAAATGTGTTATGTCCAGAGTTTATACCTTCAGATGTGTCCAGATATACTTCCTTCTGGCATGTTCATGATCTTGCTCACTTCAAGAAAGAATGAAGCTTCAGACTTTTGCGGTGAGTGTTACAGCATATAAAGGTGTTATGTCCAGAGTTTGGTCCTTCAGATGTGTCCAGAATTTCTTCTTTCGGGCAGGTTCATGGTCTTGCTCACTTCAAGAATGAAGCTGCAGAACTTGGTGGTGAGTTTTACAGCAGTTAAAGGTGTTATGTCCGGAATTTTTTCCATCAGATGTGTATAGAGTTTCTTCCTTCTCTCATGTTCATGGTCTTGCTCACTTCAAGAATGAAGCTGCAGACATTTACGGTGAGTGTCACAGCACTTAAAGGTGTTATGTCCAGAGTTTGTTCATTCAGATGTGTCCAGAATTTCTTCCTTCTGGCAGGTTCATGGTCTTGCTCACTTCAAGAATGAAGCTGCAGACCTTTAGGGTGAGTGTTACAGCAATTAAAAGTGTTATGTCCAGAGTTTGTTCCTTCATATGTGGCCAGAGTTTCTTCTTTCTGGCAGGTTCATGATCTTGCTCCCTTCAAGAATGAAGCTGCAGACTTTTACGGTGAGTGTTACAGCACTTAAAGGTGTTATGTCCAGAGTTTGTTCCTTTAGATGTGTCCAGAGTTTCTTCCTTCAGGCAGGTTCATGGTCTTGCTCACTTCAAGAATGAACCTGCAGACCTTAGTGGTGACGGTTACAACACTTAAATGTGTTATGTCCAGAGTTTTTTCCTTCAGATGTGTCCAGAGTTTCTTCCTTCTGGCAGTTTCATGGTCTTGCTCAATTCAAGAATGAAGCTGCAGACTTTAGTGGTGAGTGTTACAGCACTTAAAAGTGTTATGTCCGGAGTTTATTCCTTCAGATGTGTCCAGAGTTTCTTCCTTCTGGCAGGTTCCTGGTCTTGCTCACTTCAAGAATGAAGCTGCAGACCTTAGTAGTGAGTGTCACAGCAATTAAAGGTGTTATGTCCAGAGTTTCTTCCTTCAGATGTGTCCAGAGTTTCTTCTATCTGGCAGGTTCATGGTCTTGCTCACTTCAAGAGTGAAGCTGCAAAATTTAGTGGTTATTGTTACAGCACATAAAGGTGTTATGTCCAGAGTTTGTTCCTTCAGATGTGTCCAGATATTCTTCCTTCTGGCATGTTCATGGTCTTGCTCACTTCTAGAAAGAATGAAGCTGCAGACCTTTACGGTGAGTGTTACAGCATTTAAAGGTGTTATGTCCAGAGTTTGGTTCTTCAGATGTGTCCAGAATTTCTTCTTTCGGGCAGATTCACGGTGTTGGTCACTTGAAGAATGAAGCTACAGACCTTGGTGGTGAGTGTTACAGCACTTAAAGTTGTTATGTGCAGAGATTGTTCCATCAGATGTGTATAGAGTTTCTTCCTTCTGGCAGGTTCATGGTCTTGCTCACTTCAACAATGAAGCTCCAGAACGTTACGGTGAGTGTTACAGCACTTAATGTTGTCATGTCTAGGGTTTGTTCCTTCAGATGTGTCCAGAGATTCTTCATTCTGGCAGGTTCATTGTCTTGTTCTGCTCAAGAATGGAGCTGCAGACCGTTAGGGTGAGTGTTACAGCACTTAAAAGTGTTATGTCCAGAGTTTGTTCCTTCAGATGTGGCCAGAGTTTCTTCTTCTGGCAGGTTCATGGTCTTCCTCACTTCAAGAATGAAGCTGGAAACCCTTACGGTGCGTGTTACAGCACTTAATGTTTTCATGTCCAGGTTTTTTTCCTTCAGATGTGTCCAGAATTTCTTCATTCTGGCAGGTTCATGGTCTTGTTCTCTTCAAGAATGAAGCTGCAGACATTAGTGGTGAGCGTTACAGCACTTAAAGGTTTTATGTCCAGAGTTTATTCCATAAGATGTGTCTATAGTTTCTTCCTTCTGGCAGGTGAATGGTCTTGCTCACTTCAAGAATGAAGCTGCAGACCTTAGTGGTGAGTGTTACAGCGCTTAAAGGTGTTATGTAAAGAGTTTGTTCCTTGTGATGTGTGCAGAGTTTCTTCCTTCTGGCAGGTTCATGGTCTTGCTCACTTCAAAAATGATGCTGCAGACTTTTACGGTGAGTGTTACAGCACTTAAAGGTGTTATATCCAGAGTTTGTTCCTTCAGATGAGTCCAGAGTTTCTTTCTCCTGGCAGGTTCATGGTCTTGCTCCCTTCAAGAATGAAGCTCCAGACCTTTACGGTGAGTTTTACAGCATTTAAAGGTGTTATGTCCAGAGTTTGTTCCTTCAGTTGAGTCCAGAGTTTCTTCCTTCTGGCAGGGTCATGGTCTTGCTCACTTCAAGAATGAAGCTGCAGACCTTGGTCGTGAGTGTTACAGCACTTACAGGTGTTATGTCCGGAGTTTGATCCATCAGATATGTCCAGAGTTTCTTCCTTCGGGCAGGTTCATGGTCTTCCTAACTTCAAGAATGAAGCTGCAGACCTAGGTGCTGAGTGTTACAGCACTTAAAGGTGTGATGTCCAGAGTTTGTTCCTTCAGATGTTCTCAAATTTCCTTTCTTCTGGCAGGTTCATGGTCTTGCTCACTTCAAGAATGAAGCTCCAGTCCTTTACGGTGAGTGTTACAGCACTTAAAGGTGTTATGTCCGGAGTTTGTTCCTCCAGATGTGTACAGAGTTTCTTCCTTCTGGCAGGTTCATGGTCTTGCTCACTTCAAGAATGAAGCTGCAGACCTTAGTGGTGAGGGTTACAGCACTTAAAGGTGTTATGTCCAGAGTTTTTTCCTTCAGATGTGTCCAGAGTTTCTTCCTTCTGGCCGGTTCATGGTCTTGCTCACTTCAAGAATGAAGCTGCAGACCTTAGTGTTGAGTGTTACAGCACTTAAAGTTGTTATGTCCAGAGTTTGTTCCTTCATATGTGGCCAGCATTTCTTCCTTCTGGCAGGTTCATGGTCTTGCTCACTTCAAGAATGAAGCTGCAGACCTTGGTGGTGAGTGTTACAGCACTTAAAGGTGTTATGTCCAGAGTTTTTTCCATCAGATGTGTATAGAGTTTCTTCCTTCTGGCAGGTTCATGGTCTTGCTCATTTCAAGAATGAAGCTGCAGACCTTTAAGGTAAGTGTTACAGCACATAAAGGTGTTATGTCCAGAGTTTTTTCCTTCAGATGTGTCCAGAGTTTCTTTCTTCTGGCAGGTTCAAGGTCTTTCTCACTTCAATAATGAAGCTCCAGTCCTTTACGGTGAGTGTTACAACACTTAAAGGTGTTATGTCCAGAGTTTTTTCCTTCATATGTGTCCAGAGTTTCTTCCTTCTGGCAGTTTCATGCTCTTGCTCACTTCAAGAATGAAACTGCAGACCATTACGGTGAGTGTTACAGCACTGAAAGATGTTATGTCCAGAGTTTGTTCCTTCAGATGTGTCCAGAGTTTCTTCCTTCTGGCAGGTTCATGGTCTTGCTCAATTCAAGAATGAAGCTGCATACCTTTACGGTGAGTGTTATAGCACTTAAAGGTGTTATGTCCAGAGTTTGTTCCTTCAGATGTGTCCAGAGTTTCTTCCTTCTGGCAGGTTCATGGTCTTCCTCACTTCAAGAATGAAGCTGCAGAACTTAGTGGTGAGTTTTACACACTTAAAGGTGTTATGTCCAGAGTTTTTTCCTTCAGATGTGTCCAGAGTTTCTTCCTTCTGGCAGGTTCATGGTCTTGCTCACTTTAAGAATGAAGCTGCAGACCTTAGTGGTGAGTGTTACAACACTTAAAGATGTTATTTACAGAGTTTTTTCCTTCAGATGTGTCCAGAGTTTCTTCCCTCTGGCAGGTTCATGGTCTTGCTCACTTCAAGAATGAAGATGCAGACCTTTACGGTGAGTGTTACAGCACATAAAGGTGTTATATCCAGAGTTTGTTCCTTCAGATGTGTCCAGAGTTTCTTCCTTCTGGCAGGTTCATGGTCTTGCTCACTTCAAGAATGAAGCTGCAGTCCTTTACGGTGAGTGTTACATCATTTAAAGGTGTTATGCCCAGAGTTTTTTACATCAGATTTGTCTAGATTTCCTTCCTTCTGGGAGTTTCATGGACTTGCTCATTTCAAGAATGAAGCTGCAGACCTTAGTGGTGAGTTTTACAGCACTTAAAGCTGTTATGTCCAGAGTTTGTTCCTTCAGATGTGTCCAGAGTTTCTTCCTTCTCCAGGTTCATGGTTTGCTCACTTCAAGAATGAAGCTGCAGACCTTAGTGGTGAGCGTTACAGCAGTTAAGTTTTTATGTCCAGAGTTTGTTCCTTCAGATAAGTCCAGAGTTTCTTCCTTCTGGCAGGTTCATGGTCTTGCTCACTTCAAGAATGAAGCTGCGGACCTTAGTGGTGAGCGTTACATCACTTAAGTTTTTATGTCCAGAGTTTGTTCCTTCAGATAAGTCCAGAGTTTCTTCCTTCTGGCAGGTTCATGGTCTTGCTCACTTCAAGAATGAAGCTGCAGACCTTTACGGTGAGTGTTACAGCATTTAAAGGTGTTATGTCCATTGTTTGTTCCTTCAGATGTGTCCACTTTCTTCCTTCTGGCAGGTTCATGGTCTTGCTCAATTCAAGAATGAAACTGTAGACCTTTACGGTGAGTGTTACAGCAATGAAAGATGCTATGTCCAGAGTTTGTTCCTTCAGATGTGTCCAGAGTTTCTTCCTTCTGGCAGGTTCATGGTCTAGCTCACTTCAAGAATGAAACTGCAGACCTTTACGGTGAGTGTTACGGCATTTAAAGGTGTTATGTCCAGAGTTTGTTCCTTCAGATGTGTCCAGAGTTTCCTCCTTCTGGCAGGTTCATGGTCTTGCTCACTTCAAGAATGAAGCTGCAGACCTTAGTGGTGAGCGTTACAGCACTTAAGTTTTTATGTCCAGAGTTTGTTCCTTCAGATAAGTCCAGAGATTCTTCCTTCTGGCACGTCCATGGTCTTGCTCACTTCAAGAATGAAACTGCAGACCCTTACGGTGAATGTTACAGCACTAAAAATTGTTATGTCTAGAGTTTCTTCCTTCATATGTGTCCAGTTTCTTCCTTCTGGAAGGTTCATGGTCTTGCTCACTTCAAGAATGAAACTGTAGACCTTTACGGTGAGTGTTACAGCACTGAAAGATGTTATTTCCAGAGTTTGTTCCTTCAGTTGTGTGCAGTGTTTCTTCCTTCTGGCAGGTTCATGGTCTTGATCACTTCAAGAAAGAAGCTGCAGAACTTAGTGGTGAGTTTTACAGCACTTAAAGGTGTTATATCCAGAGTTTGTTCCTTCAGATGTGTCCAGAGTTTCTTCCTTCTGGCAGGTTCATGGTCTTGCTCACTTCAAGAATGAAGCTGCAGACCTTAGTGGTGAGTGTTACAACACTTAAAGATGTTATTTACAGAGTTTGTTCCTTCAGATGTGTCCAGAGTTTCTTCCTTCTGGCAGGTTCATGGTCTTGCTCACTTCAAGAATGAAGATGCAGACCTTTACGGTGAGTGTTACAGCACATAAAGGTGTTATGTCCAGAGTTTGTTCCTTCAGATGTGTCCAGAGTTTCTTCCTTCTGGCAGGTTCATGGTCTTGCTCACTTCAAGAATGAAGCTGCAGTCCTTTACGGTGAGTGTTACATCATTTAAAGGTGTTATGTCCAGAGTTTTTTACATCAGATGTGTCTAGATTTCCTTCCTTCTGGGAGGTTCATGGACTTGCTCATTTCAAGAATGAAGCTGCAGACCTTAGTGGTGAGATTTACAGCACTTAAAGCTGTTATGTCCAGAGTTTGTTCCTTCAGATGTGTCCAGAGTTTCTTCCTTCTCCAGGTTCATGGTCTTGCTCACTTCACGAATGAAGCTGCAGACCTTAGTGGTGAGCGTTACAGCAGTTAAGTTTTTATGTCCAGAGTTTGTTCCTTCAGATAAGTCCAGAGTTTCTTCCTTCTGGCGGGTTCATGGTCTTGCTCACTTCAAGAATGAAGCTGCGGACCTTAGTGGTGAGCGTTACAGCACTTAAGTTTTTATGTCCAGAGTTTGTCCCTTCAGATAAGTCCAGAGATTCTTCCTTCTGGCAGGTTCATGGTCTTGCTCACTTCAAGAATGAAGCTGCAGACCTTTACGGTGAGTGTTACAGCACTTAAAGGTGTTATGTCCAGAGTTTGTTCCTTCAGATGTGTCCAGAGTTTCTTCCTTCTGACAAGTTCATGGTCTTGCTCACTTCAAGAATGAAGCTGCAGACCTTTACGGTGAGAGTTACAACATTAATGGTGTTATGTACAGAGTTTGTTCCTTCAGATGTGTGCAGAGTTTCTTCCTTCTGGCAGGTTCATGGTATTGCTCACTTCAAGAATGAAGCTGCAGACCTTAGTGGTGAGTGTTACAGCACTTAAAGTTGTTATGTCCAGAGTTTGTTCCTTCAGATGTGTCCAGAGTTTCTTCCCTCTGGCTGGTTCTTGGTCTTGCTCACTTCAAGAATGAAGCTGCAGACCTTTACGGTGAGTGTTACAGCATTTAATGGAGATATGTCCAGAGTTTCTTACATCAGATGTGTCTAGAGCTCCTTCCTTCTGGGAGGTTCATGGACTTGCTCATTTCAAGAATGAAGCTGAAGACCGTAGTGGTGAGTTTTACAACATTTAAAGGTGTTAGGTCCAGAGTTTGTTCCTTCAGATGTGTCCAGAGTTTCTTCCTTCTGGCAGGTTCATGGTCTTGCTCACTTCAAGAATGAAGCTGCAGACCTTAGTGGTGAGCGTTACAGCACTTATGTTTTTATGTCCAGGATTTGTTCCTTCAGATAAGTCCAGAGTTTCTTCCTTCTTGCAGGTTCATAGTCTTGCTCACTTCAAGAATGAAGCTGCAGAACTTAGTGGTGAGTTTTACAGCACTTAAAGGTGTTATGTCCAGAGTTTGTTCCTTCAGATGTGTCCAGAGTTTCTTCCTTCTGGCAGGTTCATGGTCTTGCTCACTTCAAGAATGACGGGGCAGACCTTTACGGTGAGTGTTACAGCATTTAAATGTGTTATGTCCATTGTTTGTTCCTTCAGATGTGTCCACTTTCTTCCTTCTGGCAGGTTCATGGTCTTGCTCACTTCAAGAATGAAACTGTAGACCTTTACGGTGAGTGTTACAGCAATGAAAGATGCTATGTCCAGAGTTTTTTCCTTCAGATGTGTCCAGAGTTTCTTCCTTCTGGCAGGTTCATGGTCTAGCTCAATTCAAGAATGAAACTGCAGACCTTTACGGTGAGTGTTACAGCATTTAAAGGTGTTATGTCCAGAGTTTGTTCCTTCAGATGTGTCCAGAGTTTCCTCCTTCTGGCAGGTTCATGGTCTTGCTCACTTCAAGAATGAAGCTGCAGTCCTTTACGGTGAGTGTTACATCATTTAAAGGTGTTATGTCCAGAGTTTTTTACATCAGATGTGTCTAATTTTCCTTCCTTCTGGGAGGTTCATGGACTTGCTCATTTCAAGAATGAAGCTGCAGACCTTAGTGGTGAGTTTTACAGCACTTAAAGCTGTTATGTCCAGAGTTTGTTCCTTCAGATGTGTCCAGAGTTTCTTCCTTCTCCAGGTTCATGGTCTTGCTCACTTCAAGAATGAAGCTGCAGACCTTAGTGGTGAGCGTTACAGCACTTAAGTTTTTATGTCCAGAGTGTGTTCCTTCAGATAAGTCCAGAGTTTCTTCCTTCTGGCAGGCTCATGGTCTTGCTCACTTCAAGAATGAAGCTGCGGACCTTAGTGGTGAGTGTTACAGCACTTAAAGGTGTTATGTCCAGAGTTTTTTCCTTCAGATAAGTCCAGAGTTTCTTCCTTGTGGCAGGTTCATGGTCTTGCTCACTTCAAGAATGAAGCTGCAGACCTTAGTGGTGAGTGTTACAGCACTTAAAGGTGTTATGTGCAGAGTTTGCTCCTTCAGATGTGTCCAGACTTCCTTCCTTCTGGCAGGTTCATGGTCTTGCTCACTTCAATAATGAAGCTGCAGACATTTACGTTGAGTGTTACAGCACTTAAAGTTGCTATATCCAGAGTTTGTTCCTTCAGATGTGTCCAGAGTTTCTTCCTTCTGGCATGTTCATGGTCTTGGTCACTTCAAGAAAGAATGAAGCTGCAGAACATTACGGTGAGTGTTATAGCATATAAAGTGTTATGTCCAAAGTTTGTTCCTTCAGATATGTCCAGAGTTTCTTCCTTCTGGCAGGTTCATGGTCTTGCGCACTTCAAGAATGAAGCTGCAGACCTAGGTGGTGAGTGTTATAGCACTTAAAGGTGTTATGTCCATAGTTTGTTCCTTCAGATGTGTCCAGAGTTTCTTTCTTCTGGCAGGTTCATGGTTTTGCTCACTTCAATAATGAAGCTCCAGTCCTTTACGGTGAGTGATACAGCACTTAAAGGTGTTCTGTCCAGAGTTTGTTCATTCAGATGTTTCCAGAATTTCTTCCTTCTGGCAGGTTCATTGTCTTGCTCACTTCAAGAATGAAGCTGCAGACCTTTAGGGTGAGTGTTACAGCACTTAAAAGTGTTACGTCCAGGGTTTGTTCCTTCACATGTGGCCAGAGTTTCTTCCTTTTGGAAGGTTCATGGTCTTCCTCACTTCAAGAATTAAGCTGCAGACCTTTACGCTGAGTGTCACAGCAATTTAAGGTGTTATGTCCAGAGTTTGTTCATTCAGATGTGTCCAGAATTTCTTCCTTCTGGCAGGTTCATGGTCTTGCTCACTTCAAGAATGAAGCTGCAGACCTTGGTGTTGAGTGTTACAGCAGTTAAAGGTGTTTGTCCTGAGTTTGTTCCATCAGATGTGTCCAAAGTTTCTTCCTTCTGGCAGGTTGATGGTCTTGCTTACTTCAAGAATGAAGCTGCAGACCTTTACGGTGAGTGTCACAGCACTTAAAGGTGTTATGTCCAGGGTTTGTTCCTTCAGATGTGGCCAGAGTTTCTTCCTTCTGGAAGGTTCATGGTCTTCCTCACTTCAAGAATGAAGCTGCAGACCTTTACGTTGAGTGTTACAGCATTTAAACGTGTTATGTCCAGAGTTTGTTCCTTTAGATGTGTCCAGAGTTTCTTCCTTCAGGCAGGTTCATGGTCTTGCTCATTTCAAGAATGAAGCTGCAGACCTAGGTGGTGAGTGTTACAGCACTTAAAGGTGTTATGTCCAGAGTTTGTACCGTCAGATATGTCTAGAGTTTCTTCCTTCTGGCAGGTTTATGGTCTTGCTCACTTCCAGAATGAAGCTGCAGACCTTAGTGGTGAGTGTTATAGTACTTAAAGTTGTTAAGTCCAGAGTTTTATCGTTCAGATATGTCCAGAGTTTCTTCCATCTGGCAGGTTCATGGTCTTGCACACTTCAAGAATGATGTTGCAGAGCTTTACGGTGCGTGTTACAGCACTTAAAGGTGTTATATCCAGAGTTTGTTCCTTCAGATGTGTCCAGAGTTTCTTTCTTCTTGCAGGTTCATGGTCTTGCACACTTCAAGAATGAATGAAGCTGCAGACTTTTACGGTGAGTGTTACAGCTTATAAAGGTGTTATGTCCAGGGTTTGGTCCTTCAGATGTGTCCAAAGTTTCTTTCTTCGGGCAGGTTCATGGTCTTGCTCACTTCAAGAATGAAGCTGCAGACCTTAGTGGTGAGGGTTACAGCACTTAAAGGTGTTATGTAAGGAGTTTTTTCCTTCAGATGTGTCCAGAGTTTCTTCCTTCTGGCAGGTTCATGGACTTGCTCACTTCAAGAATGAATCTGCAGACCTAGGTGTTGAGTGTTACAGCACTTAAAGGTGTTATGTCGAGAGTTTGTACCGTCAGATATGTCTACAGTTTCTTCATTCTGGCAGGTTCATGGTCTTGCTCTCTTCAAGAATGAAGCTGCAGACCTTAGTGGTGAGTGTTACAGTACTTAAAGTTGTTATATCCAGAGTTTGTTCGTTCAGATGTGTCCAGAGTTTCTTCCAACTGGCAGGTTCATGGTCTTGCTCACTTCAAGAATGATGTTGCAGACCTTTACGGTGAGTGTTACAGCACTTAAAGTTGTTATGTCCAGAGTTTGTTCCTTCAGATGTGTGCAGAGTTTCTTCCTTCTGGCAGGTTCTTGGTCTTGCTCACTTCAAGAATGAAGCTACAGACCTTTACGGTGAGTGTTACAGCATTTAAAACTGTTATGTCCAGAGTTTCTAACATCAGATGTGTCTAGAGTTCCTTCCTTCTGGGAGATTCATGGACTTGCTCATTTCAAGAATGAAGCTGCAGACCTTAGTGGTGAGTTTTACAGCACTTAAAGGTGTTATGTCCAGAGTTTGTTCCTTCAGATGTGTCCAGAGTTTCTTCCTTCTTGCAGGTCGTGGTCTTGCTCACTTCCTTAATGAAGCTGCAGACCTTTACGTTGAGCGTTACAGCACTTAAAGGTGTTATGTCCAGAGTTTGTTCCTTCAGATGTGTCCAGAGTTTCTTTCTTCTGGCAGGTTCATGGTCTTGCTCACTTCAAGAATGTAGCTCCAGTCCTTTACGGTGAGTGTTATAGCACTTAAAGGTGTTATATCCAGAGTTTGTTCCTTCAGATGTGTCCAGCATTTCTTCCTTCTGGCAGGTTCATGGTCTTGCTCACCTCCAGAATGAAAATGCAGAACTTTACGGTGAGGTTTACAGCATTTAAAAGTGTTATGTCCAGAGTTTTTTCCTTCAGATGTGTCCAGAGTTTCTTCCTTCTGACAGGTTTGTCGTCTTGCTCACTTCAAGAATGAAGCTGCACACCTTAGTGGTGAGCGTTACAGCACTTAAGTTTTTAAGTCCAGAGTTTGTTCCTTCAGATGTGTCCAGGGTTTCTTCCTTCTGGCAGGTTCATGGTCTTGCTGACCTCAAGAATGAAGCTGCAGACCTTTACGGTGAGTGTTACAGCATTTAAATGTGTTATGTCCAGAGTTCGTTCATTCAGATGTGTCCAGTATTTCTTCCTCGTGGCAGGTTCATGGTCTTGCTCACTTCACGAATGAAGCTGCAGACCTTTACGCTGAGTTTTACAGCACTTAAAACTGTTAAGTCCAGAGTTTCTTCCTTCAGATGTGTCCAGAGTTTCTTCCTTCTGGCAGGTTCATCGTCTTGTTCACTTCAAGAATGAAGCTGCAGACATTTACGGTGACTGTTACAGCATTCAAATGTGTTATGCCCAGAGATTTTTCCTTCAGATGTGTCCAGAGTTTCTACCTTCTGGCAGGTTGATGGTCTTGCTCACTTGAAGAATGAAGCTGCAGACCTTTACGTTGAATGTTACAGCACTTAAAGGTGTTATGTCCAGAGTTTTTTCCTTCAGATGTGTCCAGAGTTTCTTTCTTCTGGTAGGTTCATGGTCTTGCTCACTTCAAGAATGAAACTGCAGACCTTACGTTGAGTGTTACAGCACTTAAAGGTGTTATGTCCAGAGTTTGTTCCTTCAGATGTGTCCACTTTCCTCCTTCTGGCAGGTTCATGGTCTTGCTCACTTCAAGAATGAATCTGTAGACTGTTACGGTGAGTGTTACAGCACTGAATCATGTTATGTCCAGAGTTTGTTCCTTCAGATGTGTCTAGAGTTTGTTCCATCTGTCAGGATCTTGTCCTTGCTCACTTCAAGAATGAAGCTGTAGAACTTAGTGGTGTGTTTTACACCACTTAAAGGTGTTATGTCCACAGTTTCTTCCTTCAGATATGTCCAGAGTTTCTTCCTTCTGACAGGTTCATGGTCTTGCTGACCTCAAGAATGAAGTTGCAGACCTTTACGGTGAGTGTTACAGCACTTAAAGGTGTTATGTCCAGTGTTTTTTCCTTCAGATGTGTCCAGAGTTTCTTCATTCTGGCAGTTTCATGGTCTTGCTCACTTCAAGAATGAAGCTGCAGAACGTAGTGGTGAGTTTTACAGCACTTAAAGGTGTTATGTCCAGAATTTGTTCCTTCAGATGTGTCCAGAGTTTCTTCCTTCTCGCCGGTTCATGCTCTTGCTCACTTCAAGAATGAAGCTGCAGACCTTAGTGGTGAGTGTTACAGCACTTAAAGATGTTATGTCCAGAGTTTGTTCCTTCAGATGTGTCCAGAGTTTCTTCCTTCTGGCAGGTTCATGGTCTTGCTCACTTCCAGAATGAAGCTGCAGACCTTTACGGTCAGTGTTAAAGCACTTAAAGGTGTTATGTCCAGAGTTTGTTCCTTCAGATGTGTCCAGAGTTTCTTCCTTCTGGCAGGTTCATGGTCTTGCTCACTTCAAGAATGAAGCTGCAGACGATTACGGTGAGTGTTACAGCATTTAAAGGTGTTATGTCCATAGTTTGTTCCTTCAGATGTGTGCAGAGTTTCTTCCTTCTGGCAGGTTCATGGTATTGCTCATTTCAAGAATGAACCTGCAGACCTTAGTGGTGAGTGTTACAGCACTTAAAGTTTTTATGTCCAGAGTTTGTTCCTTCAGATGTGTGCAGAGTTTCTTCCTTCTGGCAGGTTCATGGTCTTGCTCACTTCAAGAATGAAGCTGCAGACCTTAGTGGTGAGCGTTACAGCACTTAAGTTTTTATGTCCAGGGTTTGTTCCTTCAGATAATTCCAGAGTTTCTTCCTTCTGGCAGGTTCATGGTCTTGCTCACTTCAAGAATGAAGCTGCAGACCTCAGTGGTGAGTTTTGCAGCACTTAAAGTTGTTATGTCCAGAGTTTGTTCCTTCAGATGTGTCCAGAGTTTCTTCCTTCTGGCAGGTTCATGGTCTTGCTCAATTCAAGAATGACGCGGCAGAGCTTTACGGTGAGTGTTACAGCATTTAAAGGTGTTATGTCCAGAGTTTGTTCCTTCAGATGTGTCTAGAGTTTCTTCCTTCTGGCAGGTTCATGGTCTTGCTCACTTCAAGAATGATGCTGCAGACATTTACGGTGAAAGTTACAGTACTTAAAGTTGTTATATCCAGTGTTTGTTCCTTCAGATGTGTCCAGAGTTTCTTCCTTCTGGCAGGTTCATTGTCTTGCTCACTTCAAGAATGAAATTGCAGACCTTAGTGGTGAGAGTTACAGCACTTAAAGGTGTTATGTCCAGAGTATGTTCCTTCAGATGTGTCCAAAGTTTCTTCAATCTGACAGGTTCATGGTCTTGCTCACTTCAAGAGTGAAGCCGCAGAATTTAGTGGTGAGTGTTACAGCACTAAAAGGTGTTATGTCCAGAGTTTGTTCCTTGTGATGTGTCCAGAGTTTCTTCCTTCTGGCAGGTTCGTGGTCTTGTTCACTTCAAGAATTAAGATGCAAACCTTTACGGTGAGTGTTACAGCACTTAATGTTGTCATGTCCAGAGTTTGTTCCTTCAGATGTGTCCAGGGTTTCTGTCTTCTGGCAGGTTCATGGTCTTGCTCACTTCAAGAATGAAGCTGCAGACCTTAGTGGTGAGTGTTACAGCACTTAAAGTTGTTATGTCCAGAGTTTGTTCCTTGTGATAAGTCTAGAGATTCTTCCTTCTGGCAGGTCCATGGTCTTCCTCACTTCAAGAATGAAACTGCAGACCCTTACGGTGAATGTTACAGCACTTAAAATTGTTATGTCTAGAGTTTCTTCCTTCATATGTGTCCAGTTTCTTCCTTCTGGAAGGTTCATGGTCTTGCTCACTTCAAGAATGAAACTGTAGACCTTTACGGTGAGTGTTACAGCACTGAAAGATGTTATTTCCAGAGTTTGTTCCTTGAGATGTGTCCAGAGTTTCTTCCTTCTGGCAGGCTCATGGTCTTGCTCACTTCAAGAAAGAAGCTGCAGAACTTAGTGGTGAGTTTTGCAGCACTTAAAGGTTTTATGTCCAGAGTTTGTTCCTTCAGATGTGTCCAGAGTTTCTTCCTTCTGGCAGGTTCATGGTCTTGCTCACTTCAAGAATGAAGCTGCAGACCTTAGTGGTGAGTGTTACAACACTTAAAGGTGTTATTTACAGAGTTTGTTCCTTCAGATGTGTCCAGAGTTTCTTCCTTCTGGCAGGTTCATGGTCTTGCTCACTTCAAGAATGAAGCTGCAGACATTTACGGTGAGTGTTACAGCACTTAAATTTGTTATGTCCAGAGATTGTTCCTTCAGATGTGTCCAGAGTTTCTTCCTTCTGGCAGGTTCATGGTCTTCCTTACTTCAAGAATGAAGCTGCAGTCCTTAGTGGTGAGTGTTACAGCACTTAAAGGTGTTATGTCCAGATTTTTTTCCTTCAGATGTGTCCAGAGTTTCTTCCATCTGGCAGGTTCATGGTCTTGCTCACTTCAAGAGTGAAGCTGCAGAATTCCGTGGTGACTGTTACAGCACTTAAAGGTGTTATGTCCAGAGTTTGTTCCTTCAGATGTGTCCAGATATTCTTCCTTCTGGCAGGTTCATGGTGTTCCTCACTTCAACAATGAATGAAACTGCAGACCTTTACGGTGAGTGTTACAGCATATAAAGATGTTATGTCTAGAGTTTCGTCCTTCAGACGTGTCCAGAGTTTCTTCCTTCGGGCAGGTTCATGGTCTTGCTCACTTCAAGAATGAAGCTGCAGACCTTTACGGTGAGTGTTACAGCATTTAAAGGTGTTATGTCGTGTTTGTTCCTTCAGATGTGTCCAGAGTTTCTTGCTTCTGGCAGGTTCATGGTCTTGCTCACTTCAAGAATGAAGCTGCAGACCTAGGTGTCAGTGTTACAGCACTTAAAGGTGTTTTGTCCACAGTTTTTTCCGTCAGATATGTCTAGTGTTTCTTTCTTCTGGCAGGTTCATGGTCTTGCTCACTTCAAGAATGAAGCTGCAGACCTTAGTTCTGAGTGTTACAGCACTTAAAGTTGTTATGTCCAGAGTTTGTTCGTTCAGATGTGTCCAGAGTTAATTCAATCTGGCAGGTTCATGGTCTTGCTCACTTCAAGAATGATGCTGCAGACCTTTACGTTGAGTGTTACAACACTTAAAGGTGTTATATCCAGAGTTTGTTCCTTCAGATGTGTCCAGAGTTTCTTTCTTCTGACAGGTTCATGGTCTTGCTCACTTCAAGAAAGAATGAAGCTGCACACCTTTACTGTGAGTGTTACAGCATAGAAAGGTGTTATATCGAGAGTTTGGTCCTTCAGATGTGTCCAGAGTTTCTTCCTTCGGGCAGGTTCATGGTCTTGCTCAATACAAGAATGAAGCTGCAGACCTTGGTGTTGAGTGTTACAACACTTAAAGGTGTTATGTCCAGAGTTTGTTCCATCAGATTTGCATAGAGTTTCTTCCCCATGGCAGGTTCACGGTCTCGCTCACTTCAAGAATGAAGCTGCAGATCATTACGGTGAGTGTTACAGCACTTAAAGGTGTTATATCCAGAGTTTGTTCCTTCAGATGTGTCCAGAGTTTCTTTCTTCTGGCAGGTTCATGGATTTGCTCACTTCAAGAATGAAGCTCCAGAGCTTTATGGTGAGTTTTTCATCACTTAAAAGTGTTATGTCCAGGGTCTGTTCCTTCAGTTGTGTCCAGAGTTTCTTCCTTCTGGCAGGTTCATGGTCGTGCTCACTTGAAGAATGAAACTGCAGACCTTTACGGTGAGTGTTACAACACTTAAAGGTATTATGTCCAGAGTTTGTTACTTCAGATGTGTCCAGAGTTTCTTCCTTCTGGCAGGTTCATGGTCTTGCTAGCTTCAAGAATGAAGCTGCAGACGTTTACGGTGAGTGTTACAGCACTTAATGTTGTTATTTCGAGAGTTTGTTCCTTCAGTTGTGTCCAGAGTTTCTTCCTTCTAGCAGGTTCATGGTCTTGCTCACTTCAAGAATGAAGCTGCAGACCTTGGTCGTGAGTGTTACAGCACTTACAGGTGTTATGTCCCGAGTTTGTTCCATCAGATGTGTCCAGAGTTTCTTCCTTTTGGCAGGTACATGGTCTTGCTCATTTCAAGAATGAAGCTGCAGACCTTAGTGCTGAGTGTTACAGCACTTAATGGTGTTATCTAAAGAGTTTGTTCCTTCAGATGTGTCCAAATTTCTTCAATCTGGCAGGTTCATGGTTTGCTCACTTCAAGAATGATGTTGCAGAGCTTTACGGTGAGTGTTACAGCACTTAAAGGTGTTATATCCAGAGTTTCTTCCTTCAGATGTGTCCAGAGTTTCTTTCTTCTGGCAGGTTCATGGTCTTGCTCACTTCAAGAATGAATGAAGCTGCAGACATTTACGTTGAGTGTTACAACATATAAAGGTGTGATGTCCAGAGTTTGGTCCTTGAGATGTGTCCAGAGTTTCTTCCTTCGTGCAGGTTCATGGTCTTGCTCACTTCAAGAATGAAGCTGCAGAAATTATTGGTGAGGGTTACAGCACTTAAAGTTGTTATGTCCAGAGTTTTTTCCTTCAGATGTGTCCAGAGTTTCTTCCTTCTGGCAGGTTCATGGTCTTGCTCAATTCAGGAATGAAGCTGCAGACCTTAGTGGTGAGTGTTACAGCACTTAAAGTGTTATGTACAGAGTTTGTTCCTTCAGATATGTCCAGAGTTTCTTCCTTCTGGCAGGTTCATCGTCTTGCTCACTTCAAGAATGAAGCTGCAGACCTTAGTGCTGAGTGTTACAGCACTTAAACGTGTTATGTAAAGAGTTTGTTCCTTCAGATGTGTCCAAAGTTTCTTCAATCTGGCAGGTTCATGGTCTTGCTCACTTCAAGAATGAAACTGCAGACCTTAGTGGTGAGTGTTACAGCACTTAAAAGTGTTAGGTCCAGAGTTTGTTCCTTCAGATGTGTCCAGAGTTTCTTCCTTCTGGCAGGTTCATGGTCTTGCTCACTTCAAGAATGAAGCTGCAGACCTTTACGGTGAGTGTTACAACACGTAAACATGTTAGTTCCAGAATTTGTTCCTTCAGATGTGTTCAGAGTTTCTTCCTTCTGTCAGGTTCATGGTCTTGCTCACCTCAGGAATGAAGCTGCAGACCTCAGTGGTGAGTGTTACAGCACGTAAAGGTGTTATGTCCAGAGATTGTTAATTCAGATATGTACAGAGTTTCTTCCTTCTGGCAGGTTCATTGTCTTTCTCACTTCAAGAATGAAGCTGCAGACCTTTACGGTGAGTGTTACAGCCCTGAAAGGTGTTATGTCCAGAGTTTGTTCCTTCAGATGTGTCCAGAGTTTATTCGGTCTGGCAGGTTCATTGTCTTGCTCACTTCAAGAATGAAGCTGCAGAACTTAACGGTGAGTGTTACAGCATATAAATGTGTTATGTCCACAGTTTGTTCCTTCATATGTGTCCAGAGTTTCTTCCTTCTGGCAGGTTCATGGTGTTGCTCACTTAAAGAATGAAGCTGCAGACGTTAGTGGTTAGTGTTGCAGCACTTAAAGGTGTTATGTTCAGAGATTGTTCATTCAGATGTGTCCGTAGTTTCTTCCTTCTGGCAGGTTCATGGTCTTGCTCACTTCAAGAATGAAGGTTCAGACCTTAGTGGTGAGTGTTACAGCACTTAAAAGTGTTATGTCCAGTGATTGTTCATTCAGATGTGTCCGTAGTTTCTTCCTTCTGGCAGGTACAAGGCCTTGCTCACTTAAAGAATGAAGCTGCAGACCTTAGTGGAGAGTGTTTCAGCACTTAAAGGTGTTATCTCCAGAGTTTGTTCCTTCAGATGTGTCCAGAGTTTCTTCCTTCTGGCAGGTTCATGGTCTTGCTCACTTCAAGAATGAAGCTGCAGACCTTTACCGTGAGTGTTACAGCACTTAAAGGTGTTATGTCTAGAGTTTGTTCCTTCAGATGTGTCCAGAGTTTCTTCCTTCGGGCTGGTTCATGGTCTTGCTCACTTCAAGAATGAAGCTGCAGACCTTGGTGGTGAGTATTAGAGCCCTTAAATGTGTAATGTCGAGAGTTTGTTCCATCTGATGTGTCCAGAATTTCTTCCTTCTTTCAGGTTCATGGTCTTGCTCACTTCAAGAATGAAGCTGCAGACCTTAGTGGTGAGTGTTACAGCACTTAAAGGTGTTATGTCCAGAGTTTGTTCCTTGTTATGTGTCCAGAGTTTCTTCCTTCTGGCAGGTTCATGGTCTTGCTCACTTCAACA
The DNA here is from genome assembly GCF_000001405.40 of Homo sapiens. Classification (NCBI taxonomy): domain Eukaryota; kingdom Metazoa; phylum Chordata; class Mammalia; order Primates; family Hominidae; genus Homo; species Homo sapiens. Next base: position 20,135,420 of record NC_000024.10, read on the forward strand.
ATGAAGCTGCACACCTTTACGGTGAGTGTTACAGCACTTAACGTTGTCATGTCCAGAGTTTGTTCCTTCAGATATGTCCAGAGTTTCTTCATTCTGGCAGGTTCATGGTCTTGTTCTCTTCAAGAATGAAGCTGCAGACCTTAGCGGTGAGCGTTACAACACTTAAAGGTTTTATGTCCAGAGTTTGTTCCATCAGATGTGTCTAGAGTTTCTTCCTTCTGGCAGGTTCATGGTCTTGCTCACTTCAAGGATGAAGCTGCAGACCTTAGTGGTGAGTGTTACAGCACTTAAAGGTGTTATGTCCAGAGTTTCTTCCTTTTGATGTGTGCAGAGTTTCTTCCTTCTGGCAGGTTCATTTCTTGCTCACTTCAAAAATGATGCTGCAGACCTTTACGGTGAATGTTACAGTACATAAAGGTGTTATATCCAGTGATTGTTCCTTCTGATGTGTCCAGATTTTCCGTCTTCTTGCAGTTTCATGGTCTTGCTCACTTCAAGAAAGAATGAAGCTCCAGACCTTTACGGTGAGTTTTACAGCATATAAAGGTGTTATGTCCAGAGTTTGTTCCTTCAGATGTGTCCAGAGTTTCTTCCTTCTGGCAGGTTCATGGTCTTGCTCACTTCAAGAATGAAGCTGCAGACCTTAGTGGTGAGCGTTACAGCACTTACGTTTTTATGTCCAGAGTTTGTTCCTTCAGATGTGTCCAGAGTTTCTTCCTTCTGGCAGGTTCATGGTCTTGCTGACCACAAGAATGAATCTGCAGACCTTTACGGTGAGTGTTACAGGATTTAAAGGTGTTATGTCCAGAGTTTGCTCCTTCAGGTGTGTCCAGAATTTCTACCTTCTGGCAGGTTTATGGTCTTGCTCACTTCAAGAATGAAGCTGCAGACCATCACGGTGAGTGTTACAGCACTTAAAGGTGTTATATCCAGAGTTTGTTCCTTCAGATGTATCCAGAGTTTCTTTCTTCTGGCAGGTTCATGGACTAGCTCACTTCAAGAATGAAGCTCCAGACCTTTACGGTGAGTTTTACGTCACTTAAAGGTGTTATGTCCAGAGATTGTTCCTTCAGTTGTGTCCAGAGTTACTTCCTTCTGGCAGGTTCATGGTCTTGCTCACTTCAAGAATGAAACTGCAGACCTTTACGGTGAGTGTTACAGCACTTAAAGGTATTATGTCCAGAGTTTGTTCCTTCAGATGTGTCCAGAGTTTCTTCCTTCTGGCAGGTTCATGGTCTTGCTAGCTTCAAGAATGAAGCTGCAGACCTTTAAGGTTAGTGTTACAGCACTTAAAGGTGTTATGTCCAGAGTTTTTTCCTTCAGATGTGTCCAGAGTTTCTTTCTTCTGGCAGGTTCATGGTCTTTCTCACTTCAATAATGAAGCTCCAGTCCTTTACGGTGAGTGTTACAACTCTTAAAGGTGTTATGTCCAGAGATTGTTCCTTCATATGTGTCCAGACTTTCTTCCTTCTGGCAGTTTCACGGTCTTGCTTACTTCAAGAATGAAACTGCAGACCATTACGGTGAGCGTTACAGCACTGAAAGATGTTATGTCCAGAGTTTGTTCCTTCAGATGTGTCCAGAGTTTCTTCCTACTGGCAGGTTCATGGTCTTGCTCACTTCAAGAATGAAGCTGCAGATATTAGTGGTGAGTATTACAGCCCTTAAAGGTGTTATGTCCAGAGTTTTCTCCTTCAGATGTGTCCAGAGTTTCTTCCATCTGGCAGGTTCATGGTCTTGCTCACTTCAAGGGTGAAGCTGCAGAATTTAGTGGTGAGTGTTACAGCACTAAATGTGTTATGTCCAGAGTTTGTTTCTTCAGATGTTTCCAGATATTCTTCCTTCTGTCATGTACATGGTCTTGCTCACTTCAAGAAAGAATGAAGCTGCAGACCTTTACGGTGAGTGTTACAGCATATAAAGGTGTTATGTCCAGAGTTTGGTCCTTCAGATGTGTCCAGAGTTTCTTCTTCGGGCAGGTTCATGGTCTAGCTCACTTAAAGAATGAAGCTGCAGACCTTGCTGGTGAGTGTTAGAGCAGTTAAAGGTGTTATGTCCAGAGTTTCTTCCATCAGATGTGTATAGAGTTTCTTCCTTCTGGCAGGTTCATGGTCTTGCTCACTTCAAGAATGAAACTGCAGACCATTACGGTGAGTGTTACAGCACTTAAAGGTATTATGTCCAGAGTTTGTTCCTTCAGATGTGTCCAGAATTTCTTCCTTCTGGCAGGTTCATGGTCTTGCTCACTTCAAGAATGAAACTGCAGACCTTTACGCTGAGTGTTACAGCACTTAAAGGTATTATGTCCAGAGTTTGTTCCTTCAGATGGGTCCAGAGTTTCTTCCTTCTAGCAGGTTCATGGTCTTTCTACCTTCAAGAGTGAAGCTGCAGACCTTTAAGGTAAGTGTTACAGCACTTAAAGTTGTTATGTCCAGAGTTTGTTCTTTCAGATGTGTCCAGAGTTTCTTTCTACTGGCAGGTTCATGGTCTTGCTCACTTCAATAATGAAGCTCCAGTCCGTTACGGTGAGTGTTACAGTACTTAAAGGTGTTATGTCCGGAGTTTGTTCCTCCAGATGTGTCCAGAGTTTCTTCCTTCTGGCAGGTTCATGGTCTTGCTCACTTCAAGAATGAAACTGCAGACCATTACGCTGAGTGTTACAGCATTTAAAGGTGTTATGTCCAGAGATTTTTCCTTCAGATGTGTCCAGTTTTTTCCTTCTGGCAGGTTCATTTGTCTTGCTCACTTCAAGAATGAAACTGTAGACATTTACGGTGAGTTTTACAGCACTGAAAAATGTTATGTCCAGAGTTTGTTCCTTCAGATGTGTCCAGAGTTTCTTCCTTCTGGCAAGTTCAAGGTCTTGCTAACTTCAAGAATGAAGCTGCAGACCTTTACGGTGAGTGTTACAGTACGTAAAAGTGTTATGTCCAGAGTTTGTTTATTCAGATTTGTCCAGGGTTTCTTCCTTCTGCAGGTTCATGGTCCTGCTCACTTCAACAATGTAGCTGCAGACCTTTACGGTGAGTGTTACAGCACTTAAAGGGGTTATGTCCAGAGTTTGTTCCTTCAGATGTTTCCAGAGTATCTTTCTTCTGGCAGGTTCATGGTCTACCTCACTTCAATAATGAAGCTCCAGTCCTTTACGGTGAGTGTTACAGTACTTAAAGGTGTTATGTCCGGAGTTTGTTCCTCCAGATGTGTCCAGAGTTTCTTCCTTCTGGCAGGTTCATGGTCTTGCTCACTTCAAGAATGAAGCTGCAGACCTTAGTGGTGAGGGTTACAGCATTTAAAGGTGTTATGTCCAGAGTTTTTTCCTTCAGATGTGTCCAGAGTTTCTTCCTTCTGGCCGGTTCATGGTCTTGCTCACTTCAAGAATGAAGCTGCAGACCTTAGTGTTGAGTGTTACAGCACTTAAAGTTGTTATGTCCAGAGTTTGTTCCTTCATATGTGGCCAGAATTTCTTCCTTCTGGCAGGTTCATGGTCTTGCTCACTTCAAGAATGAAGCTGCAGACCTTAGTGGTGAGGGTTACAGCACTTAAAGTTGTTATGTCCAGAGTTTTTTCCGTCAGATGTGTCCAGAGTTTCTTCCTTCTGGCAGGTTCATGGTCTTGCTCACTTCAAGAATTAAGCTGCAAACCTTAGTGGTGGGTGTTACAGCACTTAAAGGTATTATGCCCAGAGTTGTTACTTCAGATGTGTCCAGAGTTTCTTCCTTCTGGCAGGTTCATGGTCTTGCTCACTTCAAGAATGAAGCTGCAGACATTTACGGTGAGTGTTACAGCACTTAAATTTGTTATATCCAGAATTTGTTCCTTCAGATGTGTCCAGAATTTCTTCCTTTTGGCAGGTTCATGGTCTTGCTTACTTCAAGAATGAAGCTGCAGACCTTTAGGGTGAGTGTTACAGCACTAAAAAGTTTTATGTCCAGAGTTTGTTCCTTCAGATGTGTCTAGAGTTTCTTCCTTCAGGCAGGTTCATGGTCTTGCTCACTTCAAGAATGAAGCTGCAGACCTAGGTGGTGAGCGTTACAGCACTTAAAGGTGTTATGTCCAGAGTTTGTTCCTTCAGATGTGTTCTGAGTTTCTTCCTTCTGGCAGGTTCATGGTCTTGCTCACTTCAAGAATGAAGCTGCAGACCTTAGTGGTGAATGTTACAGCAGTTAAAGGTGTTATGTCCAGAGTTTTTCTTTCAGATGTGTCCGGAGTTTCTTCCATCTGGCAGGTTCATGGTCTTGCTCACTTCAAGAGTGAAGCTGCAGAATTTAGTGGTGAGTGTTACAACACTTAAAGGTGTTATGTCCAGAGTTTTTTCCTTCATATGTGTCCAGAGTTTCTTCCTTCTGGCAGTTTCATGCTCTTGCTCACTTCAAGAATGAAACTGCAGACCATTACGGTGAGTGTTACAGCACTGAAAGATGTTATGTCCAGAGTTTGTTCCTTCAGATGTGTCCAGAGTTTCTTCCTTCTGGCAGGTTCATGGTCTTGCTCAATTCAAGAATGAAGCTGCAGACCTTAGTGTTGAGTGTTACAGCACTTAAAGGTGTTACGTCCAGAGTTTATTCCTTCAGATGTGTCCAGAGTTTCTTCCATCTGGCAGTTTCATGTTCTTGCTAACTTCAAGCGTGAAGCTGCAGAATTTAGTGGTGAGTGTTACAGCACATAAAGGTGTTATGTCCAGAGATTCTTTCTTCAGATGTGTCCAGATATTCTTCCTTCTGTCCTGTACATGGTCTTGCTCACTTCAAGAAAGAATGAAACTGCAGACCTTTACAGTGAGTGTTACAGCATATAAAGGTGTTATGTGCAGAGTTTGGTCCTTCAGATGTGTCCAGAGTTTCTTCCTTCGGGCAGGTTCATGGTCTAGCTCACTTCAAGAATGAAGCTGCAGAGCTTGTTGGTGAGTGTTACAGCAGTTAAAGGTGTTATGTCCAGAGTTTCTTCCATCAGATGTGTATAGAGTTTCTTGCGACTGGCAGGTTCATGGTCTTGCTCACTTCAAGAATGAAGCTGCAGACCTAGGTGGTGAGTGTTACAGCACTTAAAGGTGTTATGTCCAGAGTTTGTTCCGTCAGATGTGTCTAGAGTTTCTTGCTTCTGGCAGGTTCATGGTCTTGCTCACTTCAAGAATCATGCTGCAGACCTTTACGGTGAGTTTTACAGCACTTAATGGTGTTATATCCTGTGTTCGTTCCTTCACATGTGTCCAGAGTTTCTTCCCTTCGGGCAGGCTCATTGTCTTGCTCACTTCAAGAATGAAGCTGCAGTCCTTACTGTTGAGTGTTACAGCACATAAAGTTGTTATGTCCAGAGTTTCTTCCTCCAGATGTGGCCAGAGTTTCTTCCTTCTGTCAGGTTCATGGTCTTACTCCCTTCAAGAATGAAGCTGCAGACCTAGGTGGTGAGTGTTACAGCACTTAAAGGAGTTATGTCCAGAGTTTGTTCCGTGAGATGTGTCCAGCGTTTCTTCCATCTGGCAGGTTCATGGTATTGCTCACTTCAAGAATGATGCTGCAGACCTTTACGGTGAGTGTTACAGCACTTAAAGGTGTTATATCCAGAGTTGTTCCTTCAGATGTGTCCAGCGTTTCTTTCTTCTGGCAGGTTCATCGTCTTGCTCACTTCAAGAAAGAATGAAGCTGCAGACATTTACGGTGAGTTTTACAGCATATAAAGTTGTTATGTCCAGAGTTTTTTCCTTCAGATGTGTCCAGAGTTTCTTCCTTCTGGCAGGTTCATGGTCTTGCTCACTTCAAGAATGAAGCTGCAGACCTTAGTGTTGAGTGTTACAGCACTGAAAGTTGTTATGTCTAGAGTTTGTTCCTTCTTATGTGGCCAGAATTTCTTCCTTCTGGCAGGTTCATGGTCTTGCTCACTTCAAGAATGAAGCTGCAGACCTTGGTGGGGAGTGTCACAGCACTTAAAGGTGTTATGTCCAGAGTTTGTTCCATCAGATGTGTATAGAGTTTCTTCCTTCTGGCAGGTTCATGGTCTTGCTCATTTCAAGAATGAAGCTGCAGACCTTTACGGTGAGTGTTACAGCACTTAAAGGTGTTATATCCAGAGTTTGTTCCTTCAGATGTGTCCAGAGTTTCTTTCTTCTGGCAGGTTCATGGACTTGCTCACTTCAAGAATGAAGCTCCAGACCTTTACGGTGAATCTTACGTCACTTAAAGGTGTTATGTCCAGAGTTTGTTCCTTCAGTTCTGTCCAGAGTTTCTTCCTTCTGGCAGGTTCATGGTCTTGCTCACTTCAAGAATGAAACTGCAGACCTTTACGGTGAGTGTTACAGCACTTAAAGGTATTATGTCCAGAGTTTGTTCCTTCAGATGTGTCCAGAGTTTCTTTCTTCTGGCAGGTTCATGGTTTTGCTCACTTCAATAATGAATCTCCAGTCCTTTACGGTGAGTGTTACAGCACTTAATGGTGTTATGTCCAGAGTTTATTCCTTCAGATGTGTCCAGAGTTTCTTCCTTCTGGCAGGTTCATGGTCTTGCTCACTTCAAGAATGAAGCTGCAGACCTTAGTGGAGAGTGTTACAGCACTTAAAGGTGTTATGTAAAGAGTTTGTTCCTTCAGATGTGTCCAAAGTTTCTTCAATCTGGCAGGTTCATGGTCTTTCTCACTTCAAGAGTGAAGCTGCAGAATTTAGTGGTGAGTGTTACAGCACTTAAAGGTGTTATGTCCAGAGTTTGTTACTTCAGATTTGTCCAGATATTCTTCCTTCTGGCAGGTTCATGGTCTTGCTCACTTCAAGAAAGAATGAAGCTGCAGACCTTTACGGTGAGTGTTACAGCATATAAAGGCGTTATGTCCAGAGTTTGGTCCTTCAGATTTGTCCAGAATTTCTTCCTTCGGGCAGGTTCATGGTCTTGCTCACTTCAAGAATGAAGCTGCAGACCTTGGTGGTGAGTGTTACAGCACTTAAATATGTTATGTCCAGATTTTGATCCATGTGATGTGCATAGAGTTTCTTCCTTCTGGCAGGTTCATGGTCTTGCTCACTTGAAGAATGAAGCTGCAGACCTTAGTGGTGAGTGTTACAGCACTTAAAGGTGTTATGTCCAGAGTTTGTTCCGTGTGATGTGTGCAGAGTTTCTTCCTTCTGGCAGGTTCATGGTCTTGCTCACTTCAAGAATGATGCTGCAGACCTTTACGGTGAGTGTTACAGCACTTAAAGGTGTTATATCCAGAGTTTGTTCCTTGATATGTGTCCAGAGTTTCCTTCTTTTGGCAGTTTCATGGTCTTGCTCACTTCAAGAATGAAGCTCCAGACCTTTACGGTGAGTTTTACAGCACTTAAAGGTGTTATGTCCAGAGATTGTTCCTTCAGTTGTGTCCAGAGTTTCTTTCTTCTGGCAGTATCATGGTCTTGCTCACTTCAAGAATGAAACTGCAGACCTTTACGGTGAGTGTTACAACACTTAAAGGAATTATGTCCAGAGTTTTTTCCGTCAGATGTGTACAGAGTTACTTCCTTCTGGCACGTTCATGGTCTTGCTAGCTTCAAGAATGAACCTCCAGTCTTTACGGTGAGTGTTACAGCACTTAAAGGTGTTATGTCCAGAGTTTGTTCCTTCAGATGTGTCCAGAGTTTCTTCCTTCTGGCAGGTTCATGATTTGCTCAATTCAAGAATGAAACTGCAGACCCTTACGGTGAGTGTTACACCACTTAAAGGTGTTATGTCCAGAGTTTGTTCTTACAGATGTATCCACAGTTTCTTCCTTCTGGCAGGTTCATGGTCTTGCTCACTTCAAGTAAGAAGCTGCAGACCTTAGTGGTGAGTGTTACAACACTTAAAGGTGTTATGTCCAGAGTTTGTTCCTTGTGATGTGTGCAGAGTTTCTTCCTTCTGGCAAGTTCATTGTCTTGCTCACTTCAAGAATGAAGCTGTAGACCTTGGTGGTGAGTGTTACAGCACTTACAGGTGTTATGTCCCGAGTTTGTTCCATCAGATGTGTCCAGAGTTTCTTCCTTTTGGCAGGTTCATGGTCTTGCTCACTTCAAGAATGAAGCTGCAGACCTTAGTGGTGAGTGTTACAGCACTTAAAGGTGTTATGTAGAGAGTTTGTTCCTCGTGATGTGTGGAGAGTTTCTTCCTTCTGGCAGGTTCATGGTCTTGCTCACATCAAGAATGATGCTGCAGACCTTTACGGTGAAAGTTACAGTACTTAAAGGTGTTATATCCACAGTTTGTTCCTTCAGATGTGTCCAGAGTTTCTTTCTTCTGGCAGTTTCATGGTCTTGCTCACTTCAAGAATGAAGCTCCAGACCTTTACGGTGAGTTTTACAGCACTTAAAGGTGTTATGTCCAGAGTTTGTTCCTTCAGTTGTGTCCAGAGTTTCTTCCTTCTGGCAGGTTCATTGTCTTGCTCAGTTCAAGAATGAAACTGCAGACCTTTACGGTGAGTGTTACAGCACTTAAAGGCATTATGTCCAGAGTTTTTTCCTTCAGATGTGTACAGAGTTTCTTCCTTCTGGCAGGTTCATGGTCTTGCTCACTTGAAGAATGAAACTGCAGACCCTTACGGTGAGTGTTACATCACTTAAAGTTGTTATGTCCAGAGTTTGTTCTTTCAGATGTGTCCACAGTTTATTCCTTCTGGCAGGTTCATGGTCTTGCTCACTTCAAGAATGAAACTGCAGACCTTTACGGTGAGTGTTACAGCACTAAAAGGTATTATGTCCAGAGATTTTTCCTTCAGATGTGTACAGAGTTTCTTCCTTCTGGCAGGTTCATGGTCTTGCTAGCTTCAAGAATGAACCTCCAGTCCTTTATGGTGAGTGTTACATCACTTAAAGGTGTTATGTCCAGAGTTTGTTCTTTCAGAAGTGTCCACAGTTTCTTCCTTCTGGCAGATTCATGGTCTTTCTCACTTCAAGTATGAAGCTGCAGACCTTTGTGGTGAGTGTTACAGCACTTACAGGTGTTATGTCCCGAGGTTGTTCCATCAGATGTGTCCAGAGTTTATTCCTTTTGGCAGGTTCATGGTCTTGCTCTCTTCAAGGATGAATCTGCAGACCTTAGTGGTGAGAGTTACAGCAATTAAAGGTGTTATGTCCAGAGTATGTTCCTTCAGATGTGTCCAAAGTTTCTTCAATCTGGCAGGTTCATGGTCTTGCTCACTTCAAGAGTGAAGCTGCAGAATTTAGTGGTGAGTGTTACAGCACTAAAAGGTGTTATGTCCAGAGTTTGTTACATCAGATGTGTCCAGATATTCTTCCTTCTGTCATGTTCATGGTCTTGCTCACTTCAAGAAAGAATGAAGCTGCAGACATTTACAGTGAGTGTTACAGCATATAAAGGTGTTATGTCCAGAGTTTGGTCACTCAGATGTGTCCAGAATTTTTTCCTTCGGGCTGGTTCATGGTCTTGCTCACTTCAAGAATGAAGCTGCAGACCTTGGTGGTGAGTGTTACAGCACTTAAATTTGTTATGTCCAGAGTTTGTTCCATCTGATGTGTATAGTGTTACTTCCTTCTGGCAGGTTCATGGTCTTGCTCACTTCAAGAATGAAGCTGCCGGCCTTAGTGGTGAGTGTTACAGCACTTAAAGGTGTTATGTCCAGAGTTTGTTCCTTGTGATGTGTCCAGAGTTTCTTCCTTCTGGCAGGTTCATGGTCTTGTTCTCTTCAGGAATGAAGCTGCAGACCTTAGCGGTGAGCGTTACAGCACTTAAAGGTTTTATGTCCAGAGTTGTTCCATCAGATGTGTCTAGAGTTTCTTCCTTCTGGCAGGTTCATGGTCTTGCTCTCTTCAAGGATGAAGCTGCAGACTTCAGTAGTGAGTGTTACAGCTCTTAAAGGTGTTATGTAAAGAGTTTGTTACTTCAGATGTGTCCAAAGTTTCTTCAATCTGGCAGGTTCATCGTCATGCTCACTTCAAGATGTGAAGCTGCAGAATTTAGTGGTGAGTGTTACAGCACTTAAAGTTGTTATGTCTAGAGTTTGTTACTTCAGATGTGTCCAGATATTCTTCCTTCTAGCAAGTTCATGGTCTTGCTCAGTTCAAGAAAGAATGAAGCTGCAGACCTTAGTGGTGAGTGTTACAGCACTTAAAGGTCTTATGTCCAGAGTTTGTTCCTTGTGATGTGTCCAGAGTTTCTTCCTTCTGGCAGGTTCATGGTCTTGCTCACTTCAAGAATGAAGCTGCAGACCTTTACGGTGAGTGTTACAGCACTTAATGTTGTCATGTCCAGAGTTTGTTCCTTCAGATGTGTCCAGAGTTTCTTCATTCTAGCACGTTCATTGTCTTGTTCTCTTTAAGAATGAAGCTGCAGACCTTAGCGGTGAGCGTTACAGCACTTAAAGGTTTTATATCCAGAGTTTGTTCCATCAGATGTGTCTAGAGTTTCTTCCTTCTGGCAGGTTCATGGTCTTGCTCACTTCAAGGATGCTGCTGCAGACCTTAGTGGTGAGTGTTACAGCACTTAAAGGTGTTATGTCCAGAGTTTGTTCCTTGTGAAGTGTGCAGAGTTTCTTCCATCTGGCAGGTTCATGGTCTTGCTCACTTCAAGAATGATGCTGCAGAAATTTACGGTGAATGTTACAGTACTTAAAGGTGTTATATCCAGAGTTTGTTCCTTCAGATGTGTCCAGATTTTCTTTCTTCTTGCAGGTTCATGGTCTTGCTCACTTCAAGAATGAAGCTCCAGACCTTTACGGTGAGTTTTACAGCACTTAAAGGTGTTATGTCCAGAGTTTGTTCCTTCAGTTGTGTCCAGAGTTTCTTCCTTCTGGCAGGTTCATGGTCTTGCTCACTTCAAGAATGAAACTGCAGACCTTTACGGTGAGGGTTACAGCACTTAAAGGTATTATGTCCAGAGTTTTTTCCTTCAGATGTGTACAGAGTTTCTTCCTTCTGGCAGGTTCATGGTCTTGCTAGCTTCAAGAATGAACCTCCAGTCCTTTACGGTGAGTGTTACAGCACTTAAAGGTGTTATGTCCAGAGTTTTTTCCTTCAGATGTGTCCAGAGTTTCTTCCTTCTGGCCGGTTCATGGTCTTGCTCACTTCCAGAATGAAACTGCAGACCCTTACGGTGAGTGTTACAGGACCTAAAGGTGTTATGTCCATAGTTTGTTCTTTCAGATGTGTTCTGAGTTTCTTCCTTCTGGCAGGTTCATGGTCTTGCTCACTTCAAGAATGAAGCTGCAGACCTTGGTGATGAGTGTTACAGCACTTAAAGTTGTTATGTCCCGAGTTTGTTCCATCAGATGTGTCCAGAGTTTCTTCCTTTTGGCAGGTTCATGGTCTTGTTCACTTCAAGAATGAAGCTGCAGACCTCAGTGGTGAGTGTTACAGCACTTAAAGGTGTTATGTAAAGAGTTTGTTCCTTCAGATGTGTCCAAAATTTCTTCAATCTGGCGGGTTCATGGTCTTGCTCACTTCAAGAGTGAAGCTGCAGAATTTACTGGTGAGTGTTACAGCACTAAAAGGTGTCATGTCCAGAGTTTTTTACTTCAGTTGTGTCCAGATATTCTTCCTTCTGGCAGGTTCATGGTCTTGCTCACTTCAAGAAAGAATGAAGCTGCAGACCTTTACGGTGAGTGTTACAGCACTTAAAGGTGTTATGTAAAGAGTTTGTTCCTTCAGATGTGTCCAAAGTTTCTTCAATCTGGCAGGTTCATGGTCTTGCTCACTTCAAGAATGAAGCTGCAGACCTCAGTGGTGAGAGTTACAGCACTTAAAGGTGTTATGTAAAGAGTTTGTTCCTTCAGATGTGTCCAAATTTTCTTCAATCTGGCAGGTTCATGGTCTTGCTCACTTCAAGAGTGAAGCTGCAGAATTTAGTGGTGAGTGTTACAGCACTTAAAGTTGTTATGTCTAGAGTTTGTTACTTCAAAAATGATGCTGCAGACCTTTACGGTGAATGTTACAGTACTTAAAGGTCTTATATACAGAGTTTGTTCCTTCTGATGTGTCCAGGTTTTCTCTCTTCTTGCAGTTTCATGGTCTTGCTCACTTCAAGAATGAAGCTCCAGACCTTTACGGTGAGTTTTACAGCACTTAAAGCTGTTATGTCCAGAGTTTGTTCCTTCAGATGTGTCTAGAATTTCTTCCTTCTGGAAGGTTCATGGTCTTGCTCACTTCAAGAATGAAACTGTAGACATTTACGGTGAGTGTTACAGTACTTAAAGATGTTATATCCAGAGTTTGTTCCTTCAGATGTGTCCAGAGTTTCTTCCTTCTGGCAGGATCATTGTCTTGCTCACTTCAAGAATGAAGCTGCAGAACTTAGTGGTGAGTTTTACAGCACTTAAAGGTGTTACGTCCAGGGTTTGTTCCTTCAGATGTGTCCAGAGTTTCTTCCTTCTGGCAGGTTCATGGTATTGCTCATTTCAAGAATGAAGCTGCAGACCTTAGTGGTGAGTGTTACAACACTTAAAGTTGTTATGTCCAGAGTTTGTTCCTTCAGATGTGTCCAGAGTTTCTTCCTTCTGGCAGGTTCATGGTCTTGCTCACTTTAAGAATGAAGCTGCAGACCTTTACGGTCAGTGTTACAGCACTTAAAGGTGTTAAGTCCAGAGTTTGTTCCTTCAGATGTGTCCAGAGTTTCTTCCTTCTGGCAGGTTCTTGGTCTTGCTCACTTCAAGAATGAAGCTGCAGACCTTTACGGTGAGTGTTACAGCACTTAAAGGTGTTATGTCCTTAGTTTGTTCCTTCAGTTGTTTGCAGAATTTCTTCCTTCTGGCAGGTTCATGGTATTGCTCACTTCAAGAATGAAGCTGCAGACCTCAGTGGTGAGTGTTACAGCACTTAAAGTTTTTATGTCCAGAGTTTGTTCCTTCAGGTGTGTCCAGAGTTTCTTCCTTCTGGCAGGTTCATGGTCTTGCTCACTTCAAGAATGAAGCTGCAGACCTTTACGGTGTGTGTTACATCATTTAAAGGTGTTATGTCCAGAGTTTGTTACATCAGATATGTCTAGAGTTCCTTCCTTCTGGGAGGTTCATGTACTTGCTCATTTCAAGGATGAAGCTGCAGACTTTAGTGGTGAGTTTTACAGCACTTAAAGGTGTTATGTCCAGAGTTTGTCCCTTCAGATGTGTCCAGAGTGTCTTCTTTCTGGCAGGTTCATGGTCTTGCTCACTTCAAGAATGAAGCTGCAGACCGTAGTGGTGAGCGTTACAGCAGTTAAGTTTTTATGTCCAGAGTTTGTTCCTTCAGATAAGTCCAGAGTTTCTTCCTTCTGACAGGTTCATGGTCTTGCTCACTTCAAGAATGAAGCTGCAGAACTTAGTGGTGAGTTTTACAGCACTTAAAGGTGTTATGTCCAGAGTTTGTTAATTCAGATGTGTCCAGAGTTTCTTCCTTCTGGCAGGTTCATGGTCTTGCTCACTTCAAGAATGAAACTGCAGACCCTTACGGTGAGTGTTACAGCACTTAAAGGTGTTATGTCCAGAGTTTGTTCCTTCAGATGTGTCCAGAGTTTCTTCCTTCTGGCAGGTTCATGGTCTTGCTCACCTCAAGAATGACGCGGCAGACCTTTACGGTGAGTGTTACAGCATTTAAAGGTGTTATGTCCAGAGTTTGTTCCTTCAGATGTGTCCAGTTTCTTCCTTCTGGCAGGTTCATGGTCTTGCCCCCTTCAAGAATGAATCTGTAGACCTTTACGGTGAGTGTTACAGCAATGAAAGATGTTATGTCCAGAGTTTGTTCCTTCAGATGTGTCCAGTGTTTCTTCCTTCTGGCAGGTTCATGGTCTTGCTCACTTCAAGAATGAAGCTGCAGACCTTTACGTTACGGCACTTAAAGGTGTTATGTCCAGAGTTTGTTCCTACAGATGTATCCAGAGTTTCTTCCTTCTGGCAGGTTCTTGGTCTTGCTCACCTCAAGAATGAAGCTGCAGACCTTTACGGTGAGTGTTACAGCATTTAAAGGTGTTATGTCCAGAGTTTGTTCCTTCAGATGTGTGCAGAGTTTCTTCCTTCTGGCAGGTTCATGGTCTTGCTCAATTCAAGAATGAAGCTGCAGACCTTAGTGGTGAGTGTGACAGCACTTAAAGGTGTTACGTCCAGAGTTTGTTCCTTGTGATGTGTCCAGAGTTTCTTCCTTCTGGCAGCTTCATGGTCTTGCTAACTTCAAGAATGAAGCTGCAGTCCTTTACGGTGAGTGTTACAGCACATAATGTTGTCATGTCCAGAGATTCTTTCTTCAGATGTGTCCAGATATTCTTCCTTCTGGCAGGTTCATGGTCTTGCTAGCTTCAAGAATGAACCTCCAGACCTTTACAGTGAGTGTTGCAGCACTTAAAGGTGTTATGTCCAGAGTTTGTTCCTTCAGATGTGTCCAGATATTCTTCCTTCTGGCATGTTCATGGTCTTGCTCACTTCAAGAAAGAATGAAGCTGCAGACCTTTACGGTGAGTGTTACAGCATATAAAGGTGTTATATCCAGAGTTTGGTTCTTCAGATGTGTCCAGAATTTCTTCTTTCGGGCAGGTTCATGGTCTTGCTCACTTGAAGAATGAAGCTGCAGACCTTGGTGTTGAGTGTTACAGCACTTAAAGGTGTTATGTGCAGAGTTTGTTCCATCAGATGTGTATAGAGTTTCTTCCTTCTGGCAGGTTCATGGTCTTGCTCACTTCAACAATGAAGCTCCAGACCGTTACGTTGAGTGTTACAGCACTTAAAGGTGTTATGTCCAGAGTTTGTTCCTTCAGATGTGTCCAGAGTTTCTTCCTTCTGGCAAGTTCATTGTCTTGCTCACTTCAAGAATGAAGCTGCAGATCTTGGTGGTGAGTGTTACAGCACTTACAGGTGTTATGTCCCGAGTTTGTTCCATCAGATGTGTCTAGAGTTTCTTCCTTTTGGCAGGTTCATGGTCTTGCTCACTTCAAGAATGAAGCTGCAGACCTTGGTGGTGAGTGTTACAGCACTTAATTGTGTTATGTCCAGACTTTGTTCCATCTATTGTGTATAGAGTTTCTTCCTTCTGGCAGTTTCATGGCATTGCTCACTTCAAGAATGAAGCTGCAGACCTTAGTGGTGAGTGTTACAGCACATAAAGGTGTTATGTCCAGAGTTTGTTCCATCACATGTGTATAGAGTTTCTTCCTTCTGGCAGGTTGATGGACTTGCTCAATACAAGAATGAAGCTGCAGACCTTTACGGTGAGTGTTACAGCACTTAAAGGTGTTATATCCAGAGTTTGTTCCTTCAGATGTGTCCAGAGTTTCCTTCTTCTCTCAGGTTCATGGCCTTGCTCAATTCAAGAGTGAATCTCCGGACGTTTACGGCGAGTTTTACAGCAATTAAAAGTGTTATGTCCAGAGTTTGTTCCTTCAGTTTTGTGCAGAGTTTCTTCCTTCTGGCAGGTTCATGGTCTTGCTCACTTCAAGAATGAACCTGCAGACCTTGGTGGTGAGTGTTACAGCACTTAAAGGTGTTATGTCCAGAGTTTGTTCCATCAGATGTGTATAGACTTTCTTCCTTCAGGCAGGTTCATGGTCTTGCTCACTTCAAGAATGAAGCTACAGACATTTACGGTGAGTGTTACAGCACTTAAAGTTGTTATATCCAGAGTTTGTCCCTTCAGATGTGTCCAGATTTTTTTCCTTCTGGCATGTTCATGGTCTTGCTCACTTCAAGAAATAATGAAGATGCAGAACTTTACGGTGAGTGTTACAGCATATAAAGTGTTGTGTCCAGAGTTTGTTCCTTCAGATGTGTCCAGAGTTTCTTCCTTCTGGCAGGTTCATGGTCTTGCTCACTTCAAGAATGAGGCTGCAGACCTAGGTGGTGAGTGTTACAGCACTTAAAGGTGTTATGTCCAGAGTTTTTTCCTTCAGACGTGTCCAGATTTTCTTTCTTCTAGCAGGTTCATGGTCTTGCTCACTTCAAGAATGAAGCTCCAGTCCTTTACGGTGAGTGTTACAGTACTTAAAGGTGTTATGTACAGAGTTTGTTCCTTCAGATGTGTCCAGTGTTTCTTCCTTCTGGCAGGTTCATGGTCTTGCTCACTTCAAGAATGAAACTGCAGACCATTACGGTGAGTGTTACAGCACTTAAAGGTGTTATGTCCAGAGTTTTTTCCTTCAGATGTGTCCAGTTTCTTCCTTCTGGCAGGTTCATGGTGTTACTCACTTCAACAAGGAAACTGTAGACCTTTACGGTGAGTGTTCCAGAACTGAAATATGTTATGTCCAGAGTTTCTTCCTTCAGATATTTGCAGAGTTTCTTCCATCTGGCAGGTTCATGGTCTTGCTCACTTGAAGAATGAAGCTGCAGACCTTAGTGGTGAGGGTTACAGCATATAAAGGTGTTATGTCCAGAATTTGGTCCTTCAGATGTGTCCAGAAGTTCTTCCTTCGGGCATGGTCATGGTCTTACTCACTTCAAGAATGAAGCTGCAGACCTTGGTGGTGAGTGTTACAGAACTTAATTGTGTTATGTCCAGACTTTGTTCCATCTGTTGTGTATAGAGTTTCTTCCTTCTGGCAGTTTCATGGCCTTGCTCTCTTCAAGAATGAAGCTGCAGACCTTAGTGGTGAGTGTTACAGCACATAAGCGTGTTAAGTCCAGAGTTTGTTCCTTGTGATGTGTCCAGAGTTTCTTCCTTCTGGCAGGTTCATGGTCTTCCTCACTTCAAGAATGAAGCTGCAGACCCTTACGGTTAGTGTTACAGCACTTAATGTTGACATGTCCAGGTTTTATTCCTTCAGATGTGTCCAGAATTTCTTCATTCTGTCAGGTTCATGGTCTTGTTCTCTTCAAGAATGAATCTGCAGACCTTAGTAGTGAGCGTTACAGCACTTAAAGGTTTTATGTCCAGAGTTTGTTCCATAAGATGTGTCTAGAGTTTCTTCCTTCTGGCAGGTGAATGGTCTTGCTCACTTCAAGAATGAAGCTGCAGACCTTATTGGTGAATGTTACAGCACTTAAAGTTGTTATGTACAGAGTTTGTTCCTTGTGATGTGTGCAGAGTTTCTTCCTTCTGGCAGGTTCATGGTCTTGCTCACCTCAAGTATGATGCTGCAGACCTTTACGGTGAGTGTTACAGCACTTAAAGGTGTTATATCCAGAGTTTCTTCCTTCAGATGTGTCCAGAGTTTCTTTCTCCTGGCAGGATCATTGTCTTGCTCACTTCAAGAATGAAGCTCCAGACCTTTACGGTGAGTTTTACAGCACTTAAAGGTGTTATTTCCAGAGTTTGTTCCTTCAGTTGTGTCCAGAGTTTCTTCCTTCTAGCAGGTTCATGGTCTTGCTCACTTCAAGAATGAAGCTGCAGACCTTGGTCGTGAGTGTTACAGCACTTACAGGTGTTATGTCCCGAGTTTGTTCCATCAGATGTGTCCAGAGTTTCTTCCTTTTGGCAGGTACATGGTCTTGCTCATTTCAAGAATGAAGCTGCAGACCTTAGTGCTGAGTGTTACAGCACTTAATGGTGTTATCTAAAGAGTTTGTTCCTTCAGATGTGTCCAAATTTCTTCAATCTGGCAGGTTCATGGTTTGCTCACTTCAAGAATGATGTTGCAGAGCTTTACGGTGAGTGTTACAGCACTTAAAGGTGTTATATCAAGAGTTTCTTCCTTCAGATGTGTCCAGAGTTTCTTTCTTCTGGCAGGTTCATGGTCTTGCTCACTTCAAGAATGAATGAAGCTGCAGACATTTACGTTGAGTGTTACAACATATAAAGGTGTGATGTCCAGAGTTTGGTCCTTGAGATGTGTCCAGAGTTTCTTCCTTCGTGCAGGTTCATGGTCTTGCTCACTTCAAGAATGAAGCTGCAGAAATTATTGGTGACGGTTACAGCACTTAAAGTTGTTATGTCCAGAGTTTTTTCCTTCAGATGTGTCCAGAGTTTCTTCCTTCTGGCAGGTTCATGGTCTTGCTCAATTCAGGAATGAAGCTGCAGACCTTAGTGGTGAGTGTTACAGCACTTAAAGTGTTATGTACAGAGTTTGTTCCTTCAGATATGTCCAGAGTTTCTTCCTTCTGGCAGGTTCATCGTCTTGCTCACTTCAAGAATGAAGCTGCAGACCTTAGTGCTGAGTGTTACAGCACTTAAACGTGTTATGTAAAGAGTTTGTTCCTTCAGATGTGTCCAAAGTTTCTTCAATCTGGCAGGTTCATGGTCTTGCTCACTTCAAGAATGAAGCTGCAGACCTTAGTGGTGAGTGTTACAGCACTTAAAAGTGTTATGTCCAGAGTTTGTTCCTTCATATGTGGCCAGAGTTTCTTCCTTCTGGCAGGTTCATGGTCTTGCTCACTTCAAGAATGAAGCTGCAGACCTTTACGGTGAGTGTTACAGCATTTAAACATGTTACGTCCAGAGTTTGTTCCTTTAGATGTGTCCAGAGTTTCTTACTTCTGGCAGGTTCATGGTCTTGCTCACTTCAAGAATGAAGCTGCAGACCTTAGTGGTGAGGGTTACAACACTTCAAGGTGTTATGTCCAGAGTTTTTTCCTTTAGATGTGTCCAGAGTTTCTTCCTTCTGGCAGGTTCATGGTCTTGCTCAATTCAAGAATGAAGCTGCAGACCTTAGTGGTGAGTGTTACAGTACTTAATGGTGTTATGTCCAGAGTTTGTTCCTGCAGATGTGTCCAGAGTTTCTTCCATCTGCAGGTTCATGGTCTTGCTCACTTCAAGAATGAAGCTGCAGACCTTAGTGGTGAGTGTTACAGCAGTTAAAGGTGTTATGTCCAGAGTTTTTTCCTTCAGATGTGTCCAGAGTTTCTTCCATCTGGCAGGTTCATTGTCTTGCTCACTTCAAGAGTGAAGCTGAATAATTTAGTGGTGATTGTTACACCACTTAAAGGTGTTATGTCCAGAGTTTGTTCCTGCAGATGTGTCCAGAGTTTCTTCCATCTGGCAGGTTCATGGTCTTGCTCACTTCAAGAATGAAGCTGCAGACCTTAGTGGTGAGTGTTACAGCAGTTAAAGGTGTTATGTCCAGAGTTTTTTCCTTCAGATGTGTCCAGAGTTTCTTCCATCTGGCAGGTTCATTGTCTTGCTCACTTCAAGAGTGAAGCTGAATAATTTAGTGGTGATTGTTACACCACTTAAAGGTGTTATGTCCAGAGTTTGTTCCTTCAGATGTGTCCAGATATTCTTCCTTCTAGCATGTTCATGGTCTTGCTCACTTCAAGAAAGAATGAAGCTGCAGACCTTTACGGTGAGTGTGCAGCATATAAAGGTGTTATTTCCAGATTTTTGTCCTTCAGATGTGTCCAGAATTTCTTCTTTCGGGCAGGTTCATGGTCTTGCTCACTTCAAGAATGAAGCTGCAGACCTTGGTGGTGAGTGTTACAGCACTTAAAGGTGTTATGTCCAGAGTTTGTTCCATCAGATATGTATAGAGTTTCTTCCTTCTGGCAGGTTCATTGTCTTGCTCACTTCAACAATGAAGCTGCGGACCTTTACGGTGAGTGTCACAGCACTTAAAGGTGTTATGTCCAGAGTTTGTTCATTCAGATGTGTCCAGAATTTCTTCCTTCTGGCAGGTTCATGGTCTTGCTCACTTCAAGAATGAAGCTGCAGACCGTTAGGGTGAGTGTTACAGCACTTAAAAGTGTTATGTCCAGAGTTTGTTCCTTCAGATGTGGCCAGAGTTTCTTCTTCTGGCAGGTTCATGGTCTTCCTCACTTTAAGAATGAAACTGCAGACCCTTACAGTGAGTGTTACAGCATTTAAACGTCTTATGTCCAGAGTTTGTTCTTTTAGATGTGCCCAGAGTTTCTTCCTTCTGGCAGGTTCATGGTCTTGCTCACTTCAAGAATGAAGCTGCAGACCTAGGTTTTGAGTGTTACAACACTTAAAGGTGTTATGTCCAGAGTTTGTACCGTCAGATATGTCTAGAGTTTCTTCCTTCTGGCAGGTTCATGGTCTTGCTCACTTCAAGAATGAAGCTGCAGACCTTAGTGGTGAGTGTGACAGTAATTAAATTTGTTATGTCCAGAGTTTGTTCGTTCAGATGTGTCCAGAGTTTCTTCCATCTGGTAGGTTCATGGTCTTGCTCACTTCAAGAATGATGTTGCAGAGCTTTACGGTGAGTGTTACAGCACTTAAAGGTGTTATATCCAGAGTTAGTTCCTTCAGATGTGTCCAGAGTTTCTTCCTTCTGGCAAGTTCAAGGTCTTGCTAACTTCAAGAATGAAGCTGCAGACCTTTACGCTGAGTGTTACAGTACGTAAATGTGTTATGTCCAGAGTTTGTTAATTCAGATTTGTCCAGAGTTTCTTCCTTCTGCAGGTTCATGGTCCTGCTCACTTCAACAATGAAGCTGCAGACCTTTACGGTGAGTGTTACAGCACTTAAAAGTGTTATGTCCAGAGTTTGTTCCTTCAGATGTGTCCAGAGTTTCTTTCTTCTGGCAGGTTCATGGTCTTCCTCACTTCAATAATGAAGCTCCAGTCCTTTACGGTGAGTCGTACAGCACTTAAAGGTGTTATGTCCAGCGTTTGTTCCTTCAGATGTGTCCAGAATTTCTTCCTTCTGGCAGTTTCATGGTCTTGCTCCCTTCAAGAATGAAGCTGCAGACATTAGTGGTGAGTGTTACAGCACTTAAAGGTGTTATGTCCAGAGATTTTGCCTTCAGATGTGTCCAGAATTTCTTTCATCTGGCAGGTTCATGGTCTTGCTCACTTCAAGAGTGAAGCTGCAGAATTTAGTGGTGAGTGTTACAGCACTTAAAGGTGTTATGTAAAGAGTTTGTTCCTTCAGATGTGTCCATAGTTTCTTTCTTCTGGCAGTTTCATGGTCTTGCTCACTTCAAGAAAGAATGAAGCTGCAGACTTTTACGGTGAGTTTTACAGCATATAAAGTTGTTATGTCCAGAGTTTGTTCCTTCAGATGTGTATAGAGTTTCTTCCTTCTGGCAGGTTCATGGTCTTGCTCACTTCAAGAATGAAGCTGCAGACCTTTACGGTGAGTGTTACAGCACTTAAAGGTGTTATATCCAGAGTTTGTTCCTTCAGATGTGTCCAGAGTTTCTTTCTTCTGGCAGGTTCATGGATTTGCTCACTTCAAGAATGAAGCTCCAGAGCTTTATGGTGATTTTTTCATCACTTAAAAGTGTTATGTCCAGGGTCTGTTCCTTCAGTTGTGTCCAGAGTTTCTTCCTTCTGGCAGGTTCATGGTCGTGCTCACTTGAAGAATGAAACTGCAGACCTTTACGGTGAGTGTTACAACACTTAAAGGTATTATGTCCAGAGTTTGTTACTTCAGATGTGTCCAGAGTTTCTTCCTTCTGGCAGGTTCATGGTCTTGCTAGCTTCAAGAATGAAGCTGCAGACGTTTACGGTGAGTGTTACAGCACTTAATGTTGTTATTTCGAGAGTTTTTTCCTTTAGATGTGTCCAGAGTTTCTTCCTTCTGGCAGGTTCGTTGTCTTGCTAGATTCAATAATGAAGCTGCAGACCTTAGTGGTGAGCGTTACAGCACTTACGTTTTTATGTCCAGAGTTTGTTCCTTCAGATGTGTCCAGAGTTTCTTCCTTCTGGCAGGTTCATGGTCTTGCTGACCTCAAGAATGAAGCTGCAGACCTTTACGGTGAGTGTTACAGCATTTAAAGGTGTTATGTCCAGAGTTTTTTCCTTCAGATGTGTCCAGAATTTCTACCTTCTGGCAGGTTCATGGTCTTGCTCACTTTAAGAATGATGCTGCAGACCTTAGTGGTGAGGGTTACAGCACTTAAAGATGTTATGTCCACAGTTTTTTCCTTCAGATGTGTCTAGAGTTTCTTCCTTCTGGCATGTTCATGGTCCTGCTCACGTCAAGTAAGAATGAAGCTGCAGACCTTATTGGTGAGTGTTACAGCATATAAAGGTGTTATGTCCAGAGTTTGTTCCTTCAGATGTGTACAGAGTTTCTTCCCTCTGGCAGGTTCATGGTCTTGCTCACTTCAAGAATGAAGCTGCAGACCTAGGTGGTGAGTGTTACAGCACTTAAAGGTTTTGTTTCCAGAGTTTTTTCCTTCAGATGTGTCCAGAGGTTCTTCCATCTGGCAGGTTCATGTTCTTGCTCAGTTCAAGAGTGAAGCTCCAGTCCTTTAGTGGTGAGTGTTACAGCACTTAAAGGTGTTATGTCCAGAGTTTGTTCCTTCAGATGTGGCCAGAATTTCTTCCTTCTGGCAGGTTCATGGTGTTGCTCACTTCAACAAAGAATGAAGCTGCAGATCTTTACGTTGAGTGTTACAGCATATAAAGGTGTTATGTCCGGAGATTGATCCTTCAGATGTGTCCAGATATTCTTCCTTCTGTCATGTACATGGTCTTGCTCACTTCCAGAAAGAATGAAGCTGCAGAGATTTACGGTGAGTGTTACAGCATATAAAGGTGTTATTTCCAGAGTGTGGTCCTTCAGGTATGTCCAGAGTTTCTTTCTTCTGGCAGGTTCATGGACTTACTCACTTCAAGAATGAAGCTCCAGACATTTAGGGTGAGTGTTACACCACGTAAAAGTGTTATGTCCAGAGTTTGTTCCTTCAGATGTGGCCAGAGTTTCTTCCTTCTGGCAGGTTCATTTGTCTTGCTCACTTCAAGAATGAAACTGTAGACATTTACGGTGAGTTTTACAGCACTGAAAAATGTTATGTCCAGAGTTTGTTCCTTCAGATGTGTCCAGAGTTTCGTCCTTCTGGCAAGTTCAAGGTCTTGCTAACTTCAAGAATGAAGCTGCAGACATTTACGCTGAGTGTTACAGTACGTAAAAGTGTTATGTCCAGAGTTTGTTAATTCAGATTTTTCCAGGGTTTCTTCCTTCTGCAGGTTCATGGTCCTGCTCACTTCAACAATGAAACTGCAGACCTTTACGGTGAGTGTTACAGCACTTAAAGGGGTTATGTCCAGAGTTTGTTCCTTCAGATGTGTCCAGAGTATCTTTCTTCTGGCAGGTTCATGGTCTTGGTCACTTCAATAATGAAGCTCCAGTCCTTTACGGTGAGTGTTACAGCACTTAAAGGTGTTATGTCCGGAGTTTGTTCCTCCAGATGTGTACAGAGTTTCTTCCTTCTGGCAGGTTCATGGTCTTGCTCACTTCAAGAATGAAGCTGCAGACCTTAGTGGTGAGGGTTACAGCACTTAAAGGTGTTATGTCCAGAGTTTTTTCCTTCAGATGTGTCCAGAGTTTCTTCCTTCTGGCCGGTTCATGGTCTTGCTCACTTCAAGAATGAAGCTGCAGACCTTAGTGTTGAGTGTTACAGCACTTAAAGTTGTTATGTCCAGAGTTTGTTCCTTCATATGTGGCCAGCATTTCTTCCTTCTGGCAGGTTCATGGTCTTGCTCACTTCAAGAATGAAGCTGCAGACCTTGGTGGTGAGTGTTACAGCACTTAAAGGTGTTATGTCCAGAGTTTTTTCCATCAGATGTGTATAGAGTTTCTTCCTTCTGGCAGGTTCATGGTCTTGCTCATTTCAAGAATGAAGCTGCAGACCTTTAAGGTAAGTGTTACAGCACATAAAGGTGTTATGTCCAGAGTTTTTTCCTTCAGATGTGTCCAGAGTTTCTTTCTTCTGGCAGGTTCAAGGTCTTTCTCACTTCAATAATGAAGCTCCAGTCCTTTACGGTGAGTGTTACAACACTTAAAGGTGTTATGTCCAGAGTTTTTTCCTTCATATGTGTCCAGAGTTTCTTCCTTCTGGCAGTTTCATGCTCTTGCTCACTTCAAGAATGAAACTGCAGACCATTACGGTGAGTGTTACAGCACTGAAAGATGTTATGTCCAGAGTTTGTTCCTTCAGATGTGTCCAGAGTTTCTTCCTTCTGGCAGGTTCATGGTCTTGCTCAATTCAAGAATGAAGCTGCATACCTTTACGGTGAGTGTTATAGCACTTAAAGGTGTTATGTCCAGAGTTTGTTCCTTCAGATGTGTCCAGAGTTTCTTCCTTCTGGCAGGTTCATGGTCTTCCTCACTTCAAGAATGAAGCTGCAGAACTTAGTGGTGAGTTTTACACACTTAAAGGTGTTATGTCCAGAGTTTTTTCCTTCAGATGTGTCCAGAGTTTCTTCCTTCTGGCAGGTTCATGGTCTTGCTCACTTTAAGAATGAAGCTGCAGACCTTAGTGGTGAGTGTTACAACACTTAAAGATGTTATTTACAGAGTTTTTTCCTTCAGATGTGTCCAGAGTTTCTTCCCTCTGGCAGGTTCATGGTCTTGCTCACTTCAAGAATGAAGATGCAGACCTTTACGGTGAGTGTTACAGCACATAAAGGTGTTATATCCAGAGTTTGTTCCTTCAGATGTGTCCAGAGTTTCTTCCTTCTGGCAGGTTCATGGTCTTGCTCACTTCAAGAATGAAGCTGCAGTCCTTTACGGTGAGTGTTACATCATTTAAAGGTGTTATGTCCAGAGTTTTTTACATCAGATTTGTCTAGATTTCCTTCCTTCTGGGAGTTTCATGGACTTGCTCATTTCAAGAATGAAGCTGCAGACCTTAGTGGTGAGTTTTACAGCACTTAAAGCTGTTATGTCCAGAGTTTGTTCCTTCAGATGTGTCCAGAGTTTCTTCCTTCTCCAGGTTCATGGTTTGCTCACTTCAAGAATGAAGCTGCAGACCTTAGTGGTGAGCGTTACAGCAGTTAAGTTTTTATGTCCAGAGTTTGTTCCTTCAGATAAGTCCAGAGTTTCTTCCTTCTGGCAGGTTCATGGTCTTGCTCACTTCAAGAATGAAGCTGCGGACCTTAGTGGTGAGCGTTACATCACTTAAGTTTTTATGTCCAGAGTTTGTTCCTTCAGATAAGTCCAGAGTTTCTTCCTTCTGGCAGGTTCATGGTCTTGCTCACTTCAAGAATGAAGCTGCAGACCTTTACGGTGAGTGTTACAGCATTTAAAGGTGTTATGTCCATTGTTTGTTCCTTCAGATTTGTCCACTTTCTTCCTTCTGGCAGGTTCATGGTCTTGCTCAATTCAAGAATGAAACTGTAGACCTTTACGGTGAGTGTTACAGCAATGAAAGATGCTATGTCCAGAGTTTGTTCCTTCAGATGTGTCCAGAGTTTCTTCCTTCTGGCAGGTTCATGGTCTAGCTCACTTCAAGAATGAAACTGCAGACCTTTACGGTGAGTGTTACGGCATTTAAAGGTGTTATGTCCAGAGTTTGTTCCTTCAGATGTGTCCAGAGTTTCCTCCTTCTGGCAGGTTCATGGTCTTGCTCACTTCAAGAATGAAGCTGCAGACCTTAGTGGTGAGCGTTACAGCACTTAAGTTTTTATGTCCAGAGTTTGTTCCTTCAGATAAGTCCAGAGATTCTTCCTTCTGGCACGTCCATGGTCTTGCTCACTTCAAGAATGAAACTGCAGACCTTACCGGTGAATGTTACAGCACTAAAAATTGTTATGTCTAGAGTTTCTTCCTTCAGATGTGTCCAGGGTTTCTGTCTTCTGGAAGGTTCATGGTCTTGCTCACTTCAAGAATGAAACTGTAGACCTTTACGGTGAGTGTTACAGCACTGAAAGATGTTATTTCCAGAGTTTGTTCCTTCAGTTGTGTGCAGTGTTTCTTCCTTCTGGCAGGTTCATGGTCTTGATCACTTCAAGAAAGAAGCTGCAGAACTTAGTGGTGAGTTTTACAGCACTTAAAGGTGTTATATCCAGAGTTTGTTCCTTCAGATGTGTCCAGAGTTTCTTCCTTCTGGCAGGTTCATGGTCTTGCTCACTTCAAGAATGAAGCTGCAGACCTTAGTGGTGAGTGTTACAACACTTAAAGATGTTATTTACAGAGTTTGTTCCTTCAGATGTGTCCAGAGTTTCTTCCTTCTGGCAGGTTCATGGTCTTGCTCACTTCAAGAATGAAGATGCAGACCTTTACGGTGAGTGTTACAGCACATAAAGGTGTTATGTCCAGAGTTTGTTCCTTCAGATGTGTCCAGAGTTTCTTCCTTCTGGCAGGTTCATGGTCTTGCTCACTTCAAGAATGAAGCTGCAGTCCTTTACGGTGAGTGTTACATCATTTAAAGGTGTTATGTCCAGAGTTTTTTACATCAGATGTGTCTAGATTTCCTTCCTTCTGGGAGGTTCATGGACTTGCTCATTTCAAGAATGAAGCTGCAGACCTTAGTGGTGAGATTTACAGCACTTAAAGCTGTTATGTCCAGAGTTTGTTCCTTCAGATGTGTCCAGAGTTTCTTCCTTCTCCAGGTTCATGGTCTTGCTCACTTCACGAATGAAGCTGCAGACCTTAGTGGTGAGCGTTACAGCAGTTAAGTTTTTATGTCCAGAGTTTGTTCCTTCAGATAAGTCCAGAGTTTCTTCCTTCTGGCGGGTTCATGGTCTTGCTCACTTCAAGAATGAAGCTGCGGACCTTAGTGGTGAGCGTTACAGCACTTAAGTTTTTATGTCCAGAGTTTGTCCCTTCAGATAAGTCCAGAGATTCTTCCTTCTGGCAGGTTCATGGTCTTGCTCACTTCAAGAATGAAGCTGCAGACCTTTACGGTGAGTGTTACAGCACTTAAAGGTGTTATGTCCAGAGTTTGTTCCTTCAGATGTGTCCAGAGTTTCTTCCTTCTGACAAGTTCATGGTCTTGCTCACTTCAAGAATGAAGCTGCAGACCTTTACGGTGAGAGTTACAACATTAATGGTGTTATGTACAGAGTTTGTTCCTTCAGATGTGTGCAGAGTTTCTTCCTTCTGGCAGGTTCATGGTATTGCTCACTTCAAGAATGAAGCTGCAGACCTTAGTGGTGAGTGTTACAGCACTTAAAGTTGTTATGTCCAGAGTTTGTTCCTTCAGATGTGTCCAGAGTTTCTTCCCTCTGGCTGGTTCTTGGTCTTGCTCACTTCAAGAATGAAGCTGCAGACCTTTACGGTGAGTGTTACAGCATTTAATGGAGATATGTCCAGAGTTTCTTACATCAGATGTGTCTAGAGCTCCTTCCTTCTGGGAGGTTCATGGACTTGCTCATTTCAAGAATGAAGCTGAAGACCGTAGTGGTGAGTTTTACAACATTTAAAGGTGTTAGGTCCAGAGTTTGTTCCTTCAGATGTGTCCAGAGTTTCTTCCTTCTGGCAGGTTCATGGTCTTGCTCACTTCAAGAATGAAGCTGCAGACCTTAGTGGTGAGCGTTACAGCACTTATGTTTTTATGTCCAGGATTTGTTCCTTCAGATAAGTCCAGAGTTTCTTCCTTCTTGCAGGTTCATAGTCTTGCTCACTTCAAGAATGAAGCTGCAGAACTTAGTGGTGAGTTTTACAGCACTTAAAGGTGTTATGTCCAGAGTTTGTTCCTTCAGATGTGTCCAGAGTTTCTTCCTTCTGGCAGGTTCATGGTCTTGCTCACTTCAAGAATGACGGGGCAGACCTTTACGGTGAGTGTTACAGCATTTAAATGTGTTATGTCCATTGTTTGTTCCTTCAGATGTGTCCACTTTCTTCCTTCTGGCAGGTTCATGGTCTTGCTCACTTCAAGAATGAAACTGTAGACCTTTACGGTGAGTGTTACAGCAATGAAAGATGCTATGTCCAGAGTTTTTTCCTTCAGATGTGTCCAGAGTTTCTTCCTTCTGGCAGGTTCATGGTCTAGCTCAATTCAAGAATGAAACTGCAGACCTTTACGGTGAGTGTTACAGCATTTAAAGGTGTTATGTCCAGAGTTTGTTCCTTCAGATGTGTCCAGAGTTTCCTCCTTCTGGCAGGTTCATGGTCTTGCTCACTTCAAGAATGAAGCTGCAGTCCTTTACGGTGAGTGTTACATCATTTAAAACTGTTATGTCCAGAGTTTTTTACATCAGATGTGTCTAATTTTCCTTCCTTCTGGGAGGTTCATGGACTTGCTCATTTCAAGAATGAAGCTGCAGACCTTAGTGGTGAGTTTTACAGCACTTAAAGCTGTTATGTCCAGAGTTTGTTCCTTCAGATGTGTCCAGAGTTTCTTCCTTCTCCAGGTTCATGGTCTTGCTCACTTCAAGAATGAAGCTGCAGACCTTAGTGGTGAGCGTTACAGCACTTAAAGGTGTTATGTCCAGAGTGTGTTCCTTCAGATAAGTCCAGAGTTTCTTCCTTCTGGCAGGCTCATGGTCTTGCTCACTTCAAGAATGAAGCTGCGGACCTTAGTGGTGAGCGTTACAGCACTTAAGTTTTTATGTCCAGAGTTTGTTCCTTCAGATGTGTCCAGAGTTTCTTCCTTGTGGCAGGTTCATGGTCTTGCTCACTTCAAGAATGAAGCTGCAGAATTTAGTGGTGAGCGTTACAGCACTTAAGTTTTTATGTCCAGAGTTTGTTCCTTCAGATAAGTCTAGAGATTCTTCCTTCTGGCAGGTCCATGGTCTTCCTCACTTCAAGAATGAAACTGCAGACCCTTACGGTGAATGTTACAGCACTTAAAATTGTTATGTCTAGAGTTTCTTCCTTCATATGTGTCCAGTTTCTTCCTTCTGGAAGGTTCATGGTCTTGCTCACTTCAAGAATGAAACTGTAGACCTTTACGGTGAGTGTTACAGCACTGAAAGATGTTATTTCCAGAGTTTGTTCCTTGAGATGTGTCCAGAGTTTCTTCCTTCTGGCAGGCTCATGGTCTTGCTCACTTCAAGAAAGAAGCTGCAGAACTTAGTGGTGAGTTTTGCAGCACTTAAAGGTTTTATGTCCAGAGTTTGTTCCTTCAGATGTGTCCAGAGTTTCTTCCTTCTGGCAGGTTCATGGTCTTGCTCACTTCAAGAATGAAGCTGCAGACCTTAGTGGTGAGTGTTACAACACTTAAAGGTGTTATTTACAGAGTTTGTTCCTTCAGATGTGTCCAGAGTTTCTTCCTTCTGGCAGGTTCATGGTCTTGCTCACTTCAAGAATGAAGATGGAGACCTTTACGGTGAGTGTTACAGCACATAAAGGTGTTATGTCCAGAGATTGTTCCTTCAGATGTGTCCAGAGTTTCTTCCTTCTGGCAGGTTCATGGTCTTGCTCACTTCAAGAATGAAGCTGCAGTCCTTTAC
The DNA here is from genome assembly GCF_000001405.40 of Homo sapiens. Taxonomy (NCBI): domain Eukaryota; kingdom Metazoa; phylum Chordata; class Mammalia; order Primates; family Hominidae; genus Homo; species Homo sapiens. The sequence goes on from NC_000024.10 coordinate 20,164,277, forward strand.
GGTGAGTGTTACATCATTTAAAGGTGTTATATCCAGAGTTTTTTACATCAGATGTGTCTAGATTTCCTTCCTTCTGGGAGGTTCACGGACTTGCTCATTTCAAGAATGAAGCTGCAGACCTTAGTGGTGAGTTTTACAACACTTAAAGCTGTTATGTCCAGAGTTTGTTCCTTCAGGTGTGTCCAGAGTTTCTTCCTTCTCCAGGTTCATGGTCTTGCTCACTTCAAGAATGAAGCTGCAGACCTTAGTGGTGAGCGTTACAGCACTTAAGTTTTTATGTCCAGAGTTTGTTCCTTCAGATAAGTCCAGAGTTTCTTCCTTCTGGCAGGTTCATGGTCTTGCTCACTTCAAGAATGAAGCTGCGGACCTTAGTGGTGAGCGTTACAGCACTTAAGTTTTTATGTCCAGAGTTTGTTCCTTCAGATAAGTCCAGACTTTCTTCCTTCTGGCAGGTTCATGGTCTTGCTCACTTCAAGAATGAAGCTGCAGACCTTTACGGTGAGTGTTATAGCACTTAAAGGTGTTATGTCCAGAGTTTGTTCCTTCAGAAGTGTCCAGAGTTTCTTCCTTCTGACAAGTTCATGGTCTTGCTCACTTCAAGAATGAAGCTGCAGACCTTTACGGTGAGTGTTACAGCATTAATGGTGTTATGTACAGAGTTTGTTCCTTCAGATGTGTGCAGAGTTTCTTCCTTCTGGCAGGTTCATGGTATTGCTCACTTCAAGAATGAAGCTGCAGACCTTAGTGGTGAGTGTTACAGCACTTAAAGTTGTTATGTCCAGGGTTTGTTCCTTCAGATGTGTACAGAGTTTCTTCCCTCTGGCTGGTTCTTGGTCTTGCTCACTTCAAGAATGAAGCTGCAGACCTTTACGGTGAGTGTTACAGCATTTAATGGAGTTATGTCCAGAGTTTCTTACATCAGATGTGTCTAGAACTCCTTCCTTCTGGGAGGTTCATGGACTTGCTCATTTCAAGAATGAAGCTGAAGACCTTAGTGGTGAGTTTTACAGCACTTAAAGGTGTTAGGTCCAGAGTTTGTTCCTTCAGATGTGTCCAGAGTTTCTTCCTTCTGGCAGGTTCATCGTGTTGCTCACTTCAAGAATGAAGCTGCAGACCTTAGTGGTGAGCGTTACAGCACTTAAGTTTTTATGTCCAGGGTTTGTTCCTTCAGATAAGTCCAGAGTTTCTTCCTTCTTGCAGGTTCATGGTCTTGCTCACTTCAAGAATGAAGCTGCAGAACTTAGTGGTGAGTTTTACAGCACATAAAGGTGTTATGTCCAGAGTTTGTTCCTTCAGATGTGTCCAGAGTTTCTTCCTTCTGGCAGGTTCATGGTCTTGCTCACTTCAAGAATGACGCGGCAGACCTTTACGGTGAGTGTTACAGCATTTAATAGTGTTATGTCCAGAGGTTGTTCCTTCAGATGTGTCCACTTTCTTCCTTCTGGCAGGTTCATGGTCTTGCTCACTTCAAGAATGAAACTGTAGACCTTTACGGTGAGTGTTACAGCAATGAATGATGCTATGTCCAGAGTTTGTTCCTTCAGATGTGTCCAGAGTTTCTTCCTTCTGGCAGGTTCATGGTCTTGCTCACTTCAAGAATGAAGCTGCAGTCCTTTACGGTGAGTGTTACAGCATTTAAAGGTGTTATGTCCAGAGTTTGTTCCTTCAGATGTGTCCAGAGTTTCCTCCTTCTGGCAGGTTCATGGTCTTGCTCACTTCAAGAATGAAGCTGCAGACCTTAGTGGTGAGTGTTACAGCACTTAAATTTGTTATGTCCAGAGTTTGTTCCTTCAGATGTGTCCAGAGTTTCTTCCCTCTGGCTGGTTGTTGGTCTTCCTCACTTCAAGAATGAAGCTGCATACCTTTACGGTGAGTGTTACAGCATTTAATGGAGTTATGTCCAGAGTTTCTTACATCAGATGTGTCTAGAGCTCCTTCCTTCTGGGAGGTTCATGGACTTGCTCATTTCAAGAATGAAGCTGAAGTCCTTAGTGGTGAGTATTACAACACTTAAAGGTGTTAGGTCCAGAGTTTGTTCCTTCAGATGTGTCCAGAGTTTCTTCCTTCTGGCAGGTTCATGGTCTTGCTCACTTCAAGAATGAAGCTGCAGACCTTAGTGCTGAGCGTTACAGCACTTAAGTTTTTATGTCCAGAGTTTGTTCCTTCAGATAAGTCCAGAGATTCTTCCTTCTGGCAGGTCCATGGTCTTGCTCACTTCAAGAATGAAACTGCAGACCCTTACGGTGAGTGTTACAGCATATAAAATTGTTATGTCTAGAGTTTGTTCTTTCATATGTGTCCAGTTTCTTCCTTCTGGAAGGTTCATGGTCTTGCTCACTTCAAGAATGAAACTGTAGACCTTTACGGTGAGTGTTACAGCACTGAAAGATGTTATTTCCAGAGTTTGTTCCTTCAGATGTGTCCAGAGTTTCTTCCTTCTGTCAGGTTCATGGTCTTGCTCACTTCAAGAATGAAGCTGCAGAACTTAGTGGTGAGTTTTACAGCACTTAAAGGTGTTATATCCAGAGTTTGTTCCTTCAGATGTGTCCAGAGTTTCTTCCTTCTGGCAGGTTCATGGTCTTGCTCACTTCAAGAATGAAGCTGCAGACCTTAGTGGTGAGTGTTACAACAATTAAAGATGTTATTTACAGAGTTTGTTCCTTCAGATGTGTCCAGAGTTTCTTCCTTCTGGCAGGTTCATGGTCTTGCTCACTTCAAGAATGAAGATGCAGACCTTTACGGTGAGTGTTACAGCACATAAAGGTGTTATGTCCAGAGTTTGTTCCTTCAGATGTGTCCAGAGTTTCTTCCTTCTGGCAGGTTCATGGTCTTGCTCACTTCAAGAATGAAGCTGCAGTCCTTTACGGTGAGTGTTACATCATTTAAAGGTGTTATGTCCAGAGTTATTTACATCAGATGTGTCTAATTTTCCTTCCTTCTGGGAGGTTCATGGACTTGCTCATTTCAAGAATGAAGCTGCAGACCTTAGTGGTGAGTTTTACAGCACTTAAAGCTGTTATGTCCAGAGTTTGTTCCTTCAGATGTGTCCAGAGTTTCTTCCTTCTCCAGGTTCATGGTCTTGCTCACTTCAAGAATGAAGCTGCAGACCTTAGTGGTGAGCGTTACAGCACTTAGGTTTTTATGTCCAGAGTTTGTTCCTTCAGATAAGTCCAGAGTTTCTTCCTTCTGGCAGGTTCATGGTCTTGCTCACTTCAAGAATGAAGCTGCGGACCTTAGTGGTGAGCGTTACAGCACTTAAGTTTTTATGTCCAGAGTTTGTTCCTTCAGATAAGTCCAGAGTTTCTTCCTTGTGGCAGGTTCATGGTCTTGCTCACTTCAAGAATGAAGCTGCAGACCTTAGTGGTGAGCGTTACAGCACTTAAGTTTTTATGTCCAGAGTTTGTTCCTTCAGATAAGTCCAGAGATTCTTCCTTCCGGCAGGTCCATGGTCTTGCTCACTTCAAGAATGAAACTGCAGACCCTTACGGTGAGTGTTACAGCACTTAAAGGTATTATGTCCAGAGTTTGTTCCTTCAGATGTGTCCAGAGTTTCTTTCTTCTGGCAGGTTCATGGTTTTGCTCACTTCAATAATGAATCTCCAGTCCTTTACGGTGAGTGTTACAGCACTTAATGGTGTTATGTCCAGAGTTTATTCCTTCAGATGTGTCCAGAGTTTCTTCCTTCTGGCAGGTTCATGGTCTTGCTCACTTCAAGAATGAAGCTGCAGACCTTAGTGGAGAGTGTTACAGCACTTAAAGGTGTTATGTAAAGAGTTTGTTCCTTCAGATGTGTCCAAAGTTTCTTCAATCTGGCAGGTTCATGGTCTTTCTCACTTCAAGAAAGAATGAAGCTGCAGAATTTAGTGGTGAGTGTTACAGCACTTAAAGGTGTTATTTGCAGAGTTTTGTCCTTCAGATTTGTCCAGATATTCTTCCTTCTGGCAGGTTCATGGTCTTGCTCACTTCAAGAAAGAATGAAGCTGCAGACCTTTACGGTGAGTGTTACAGCATATAAAGGCGTTATGTCCAGAGTTTGTTCTTTCAGATTTGTCCAGAATTTCTTCCTTCTGGAAGGTTCATGGTCTTGCTCACTTCAAGAATGAAACTGCAGACCTTGGTGGTGAGTGTTACAGCACTTAAATATGTTATGTCCAGATTTTGATCCATGTGATGTGCATAGAGTTTCTTCCTTCTGGCAGGTTCATGGTCTTGCTCACTTGAAGAATGAAGCTGCAGACCTTAGTGGTGAGTGTTACAGCACTTAAAGGTGTTATGTCCAGAGTTTGTTCCGTGTGATGTGTGCAGAGTTTCTTCCTTCTGGCAGGTTCATGGTCTTGCTCACTTCAAGAATGATGCTGCAGACCTTTACGGTGAGTGTTACAGCACTTAAAGGTGTTATATCCAGAGTTTGTTCCTTGATATGTGTCCAGAGTTTCCTTCTTTTGGCAGTTTCATGGTCTTGCTCACTTCAAGAATGAAGCTCCAGACCTTTACGGTGAGTTTTACAGCACTTAAAGGTGTTATGTCCAGAGATTGTTCCTTCAGTTGTGTCCAGAGTTTCTTTCTTCTGGCAGTATCATGGTCTTGCTCACTTCAAGAATGAAACTGCAGACCTTTACGGTGAGTGTTACAACACTTAAAGGAATTATGTCCAGAGTTTTTTCCGTCAGATGTGTACAGAGTTACTTCCTTCTGGCACGTTCATGGTCTTGCTAGCTTCAAGAATGAACCTCCAGTCTTTACGGTGAGTGTTACAGCACTTAAAGGTGTTATGTCCAGAGTTTGTTCCTTCAGATGTGTCCAGAGTTTCTTCCTTCTGGCAGGTTCATGATTTGCTCAATTCAAGAATGAAACTGCAGACCCTTACGGTGAGTGTTACACCACTTAAAGGTGTTATGTCCAGAGTTTGTTCTTACAGATGTATCCACAGTTTCTTCCTTCTGGCAGGTTCATGGTCTTGCTCACTTCAAGTAAGAAGCTGCAGACCTTAGTGGTGAGTGTTACAACACTTAAAGGTGTTATGTCCAGAGTTTGTTCCTTGTGATGTGTGCAGAGTTTCTTCCTTCTGGCAAGTTCATTGTCTTGCTCACTTCAAGAATGAAGCTGTAGACCTTGGTGGTGAGTGTTACAGCACTTACAGGTGTTATGTCCCGAGTTTGTTCCATCAGATGTGTCCAGAGTTTCTTCCTTTTGGCAGGTTCATGGTCTTGCTCACTTCAAGAATGAAGCTGCAGACCTTAGTGGTGAGTGTTACAGCACTTAAAGGTGTTATGTAGAGAGTTTGTTCCTCGTGATGTGTGGAGAGTTTCTTCCTTCTGGCAGGTTCATGGTCTTGCTCACATCAAGAATGATGCTGCAGACCTTTACGGTGAAAGTTACAGTACTTAAAGGTGTTATATCCACAGTTTGTTCCTTCAGATGTGTCCAGAGTTTCTTTCTTCTGGCAGTTTCATGGTCTTGCTCACTTCAAGAATGAAGCTCCAGACCTTTACGGTGAGTTTTACAGCACTTAAAGGTGTTATGTCCAGAGTTTGTTCCTTCAGTTGTGTCCAGAGTTTCTTCCTTCTGGCAGGTTCATTGTCTTGCTCAGTTCAAGAATGAAACTGCAGACCTTTACGGTGAGTGTTACAGCACTTAAAGGCATTATGTCCAGAGTTTTTTCCTTCAGATGTGTACAGAGTTTCTTCCTTCTGGCAGGTTCATGGTCTTGCTCACTTGAAGAATGAAACTGCAGACCCTTACGGTGAGTGTTACATCACTTAAAGTTGTTATGTCCAGAGTTTGTTCTTTCAGATGTGTCCACAGTTTATTCCTTCTGGCAGGTTCATGGTCTTGCTCACTTCAAGAATGAAACTGCAGACCTTTACGGTGAGTGTTACAGCACTAAAAGGTATTATGTCCAGAGATTTTTCCTTCAGATGTGTACAGAGTTTCTTCCTTCTGGCAGGTTCATGGTCTTGCTAGCTTCAAGAATGAACCTCCAGTCCTTTATGGTGAGTGTTACATCACTTAAAGGTGTTATGTCCAGAGTTTGTTCTTTCAGAAGTGTCCACAGTTTCTTCCTTCTGGCAGATTCATGGTCTTTCTCACTTCAAGTATGAAGCTGCAGACCTTTGTGGTGAGTGTTACAGCACTTACAGGTGTTATGTCCCGAGGTTGTTCCATCAGATGTGTCCAGAGTTTATTCCTTTTGGCAGGTTCATGGTCTTGCTCTCTTCAAGGATGAATCTGCAGACCTTAGTGGTGAGAGTTACAGCAATTAAAGGTGTTATGTCCAGAGTATGTTCCTTCAGATGTGTCCAAAGTTTCTTCAATCTGGCAGGTTCATGGTCTTGCTCACTTCAAGAGTGAAGCTGCAGAATTTAGTGGTGAGTGTTACAGCACTAAAAGGTGTTATGTCCAGAGTTTGTTACATCAGATGTGTCCAGATATTCTTCCTTCTGTCATGTTCATGGTCTTGCTCACTTCAAGAAAGAATGAAGCTGCAGACATTTACAGTGAGTGTTACAGCACTTAAAGGTGTTATGTCCAGAGTTTGGTCACTCAGATAAGTCCAGAATTTTTTCCTTCGGGCTGGTTCATGGTCTTGCTCACTTCAAGAATGAAGCTGCAGACCTTGGTGGTGAGTGTTACAGCATTTACAGGTGTTACGTCCAGAGTTTGTTCCTTTAGATGTGTCCAGAGTTTCTTACTTCTGGCAGGTTCATGGTCTTGCTCACTTCAAGGATGAAGCTGCAGACCTTAGTGGTGAGAGTTACAGCAATTAAAGGTGTTATGTCCAGAGTATGTTCCTTCAGATGTGTCCAAAGTTTCTTCAATCTGGCAGGTTCATGGTCTTGCTCACTTCAAGAGTGAAGCTGCAGAATTTAGTGGTGAGTGTTACAGCACTAAAAGGTGTTATGTCCAGAGTTTGTTACATCAGATGTGTCCAGATATTCTTCCTTCTGTCATGTTCATGGTCTTGCTCACTTCAAGAAAGAATGAAGCTGCAGACATTTACAGTGAGTGTTACAGCATATAAAGGTGTTATGTCCAGAGTTTGGTCACTCAGATGTGTCCAGAATTTTTTCCTTCGGGCTGGTTCATGGTCTTGCTCACTTCAAGAATGAAGCTGCAGACCTTGGTGGTGAGTGTTACAGCACTTAAATTTGTTATGTCCAGAGTTTGTTCCATCTGATGTGTATAGTGTTACTTCCTTCTGGCAGGTTCATGGTCTTCCTCACTTCAAGAATGAAGCTGCCGGCCTTAGTGGTGAGTGTTACAGCACTTAAAGGTGTCATGTCCAGAGTTTGTTCCTTGTGATGTGTCCAGAGTTTCTTCCTTCTGGCAGGTTCATGGTCTTGTTCTCTTCAGGAATGAAGCTGCAGACCTTAGCGGTGAGCGTTACAGCACTTAAAGGTTTTATGTCCAGAGTTGTTCCATCAGATGTGTCTAGAGTTTCTTCCTTCTGGCAGGTTCATGGTCTTGCTCTCTTCAAGGATGAAGCTGCAGACTTCAGTAGTGAGTGTTACAGCTCTTAAAGGTGTTATGTAAAGAGTTTGTTACTTCAGATGTGTCCAAAGTTTCTTCAATCTGGCAGGTTCATCGTCATGCTCACTTCAAGAGTGAAGCTGCAGAATTTAGTGGTGAGTGTTACAGCACTTAAAGTTGTTATGTCTAGAGTTTGTTACTTCAGATGTGTCCAGATATTCTTCCTTCTAGCAAGTTCATGGTCTTGCTCAGTTCAAGAAAGAATGAAGCTGCAGACCTTAGTGGTGAGTGTTACAGCACTTAAAGGTCTTATATCCAGAGTTTGTTCCTTGTGATGTGTCCAGAGTTTCTTCCTTCTGGCAGGTTCATGGTCTTGCTCACTTCAAGAATGAAGCTGCAGACCTTTACGGTGAGTGTTACAGCACTTAATGTTGTCATGTCCAGAGTTTGTTCCTTCAGATGTGTCCAGAGTTTCTTCATTCTAGCACGTTCATTGTCTTGTTCTCTTTAAGAATGAAGCTGCAGACCTTAGCGGTGAGCGTTACAGCACTTAAAGGTTTTATATCCAGAGTTTGTTCCATCAGATGTGTCTAGAGTTTCTTCCTTCTGGCAGGTTCATGGTCTTGCTCACTTCAAGGATGCTGCTGCAGACCTTAGTGGTGAGTGTTACAGCACTTAAAGGTGTTATGTCCAGAGTTTGTTCCTTGTGAAGTGTGCAGAGTTTCTTCCATCTGGCAGGTTCATGGTCTTGCTCACTTCAAGAATGATGCTGCAGAAATTTACGGTGAATGTTACAGTACTTAAAGGTGTTATATCCAGAGTTTGTTCCTTCAGATGTGTCCAGATTTTCTTTCTTCTTGCAGGTTCATGGTCTTGCTCACTTCAAGAATGAAGCTCCAGACCTTTACGGTGAGTTTTACAGCACTTAAAGGTGTTATGTCCAGAGTTTGTTCCTTCAGTTGTGTCCAGAGTTTCTTCCTTCTGGCAGGTTCATGGTCTTGCTCACTTCAAGAATGAAACTGCAGACCTTTACGGTGAGGGTTACAGCACTTAAAGGTATTATGTCCAGAGTTTTTTCCTTCAGATGTGTACAGAGTTTCTTCCTTCTGGCAGGTTCATGGTCTTGCTAGCTTCAAGAATGAACCTCCAGTCCTTTACGGTGAGTGTTACAGCACTTAAAGGTGTTATGTCCAGAGTTTTTTCCTTCAGATGTGTCCAGAGTTTCTTCCTTCTGGCCGGTTCATGGTCTTGCTCACTTCCAGAATGAAACTGCAGACCCTTACGGTGAGTGTTACAGGACCTAAAGGTGTTATGTCCATAGTTTGTTCTTTCAGATGTGTCCACAGTTTCTTCCTTCTGGCAGGTTCATGGTCTTGCTCACTTCAAGAATGAAGCTGCAGACCTTGGTGATGAGTGTTACAGCACTTTCAAGTGTTATGTCCCGAGTTTGTTCCATCAGATGTGTCCAGAGTTTCTTCCTTTTGGCAGGTTCATGGTCTTGCTCACTTCAAGAATGAAGCTGCAGACCTCAGTGGTGAGTGTTACAGCACTTAAAGGTGTTATGTAAAGAGTTTGTTCCTTCAGATGTGTCCAAAATTTCTTCAATCTGGCGGGTTCATGGTCTTGCTCACTTCAAGAGTGAAGCTGCAGAATTTACTGGTGAGTGTTACAGCACTAAAAGGTGTCATGTCCAGAGTTTTTTACTTCAGTTGTGTCCAGATATTCTTCCTTCTGGCAGGTTCATGGTCTTGCTCACTTCAAGAAAGAATGAAGCTGCAGACCTTTACGGTGAGTGTTACAGCACTTAAAGGTGTTATGTAAAGAGTTTGTTCCTTCAGATGTGTCCAAAGTTTCTTCAATCTGGCAGGTTCATGGTCTTGCTCACTTCAAGAATGAAGCTGCAGACCTCAGTGGTGAGAGTTACAGCACTTAAAGGTGTTATGTAAAGAGTTTGTTCCTTCAGATGTGTCCAAATTTTCTTCAATCTGGCAGGTTCATGGTCTTGCTCACTTCAAGAGTGAAGCTGCAGAATTTAGTGGTGAGTGTTACAGCACTTAAAGTTGTTATGTCTAGAGTTTGTTACTTCAGATGTGTCCAGATAGTCTTCCTTCTGGCAGGTTCATGGTCTTGCTCACTTCAAGAAAGAATGAAGCTGCAGACCTTACCGGTGAGTGTCACAGCATATAAAGGTGTTATGTCCAGAGTTTGGTCCTTCAGATGTGTCCAGAATTTTTTCCTTCGTACTGGTTCATGGTCTTGCTCACTTCAAGAATGAAGCTGCAGTCCTTGGTGGTGAGTATTAGAGCCCTTAAATGTGTAATGTCGAGAGTTTGTTCCATCTGATGTGTATAGTGTTTCTTCCTTCTTTCAGGTTCATGGTCTTGCTCACTTCAAGAATGAAGCTGCAGACCTTAGTGGTGAGTGTTACAGCACTTAAAGGTGTTATGTCCAGAGTTTGTTCCTTGTTATGTGTCCAGAGTTTCTTCCTTCTGGCAGGTTCATGGTCTTGCTCACTTCAAGAATGAAGCTGCAGACCTTTACGGTGAGTGTTACAGCACTTAACGTTGTCATGTCCAGAGTTTGTTCCTTCAGATATGTCCAGAGTTTCTTCATTCTGGCAGGTTCATGGTCTTGTTCTCTTCAAGAATGAAGCTGCAGACCTTAGCGGTGAGCGTTACAACACTTAAAGGTTTTATGTCCAGAGTTTGTTCCATCAGATGTGTCTAGAGTTTCTTCCTTCTGGCAGGTTCATGGTCTTGCTCACTTCAAGGATGAAGCTGCAGACCTTAGTGGTGAGTGTTACAGCACTTAAAGGTGTTATGTCCAGAGTTTCTTCCTTTTGATGTGTGCAGAGTTTCTTCCTTCTGGCAGGTTCATTTCTTGCTCACTTCAAAAATGATGCTGCAGACCTTTACGGTGAATGTTACAGTACTTAAAGGTGTTATATCCAGAGTTTGTTCCTTCTGATGTGTCCAGATTTTCCGTCTTCTTGCAGTTTCATGGTCTTGCTCACTTCAAGAATGAAGCTCCAGACCTTTACGGTGAGTTTTACAGCACTTAAAGGTGTTATGTCCAGAGTTTGTTCCTTCAGATGTGTCTAGAGTTTCTTCCTTCTGGCAGGTTCATGGTCTTGCTCACTTCAAGAATGATGCTGCAGACATTTACGGTGAAAGTTACAGTACTTAAAGTTGTTATATCCAGTGTTTGTTCCTTCAGATGTGTCCAGAGTTTCTTCCTTCTGGCAGGTTCATTGTCTTGCTCACTTCAAGAATGAAATTGCAGACCTTAGTGGTGAGAGTTACAGCACTTAAAGGTGTTATGTCCAGAGTATGTTCCTTCAGATGTGTCCAAAGTTTCTTCAATCTGACAGGTTCATGGTCTTGCTCACTTCAAGAGTGAAGCTGCAGAATTTAGTGGTGAGTGTTACAGCACTAAAAGGTGTTATGTCCAGAGTTTGTTCCTTGTGATGTGTCCAGAGTTTCTTCCTTCTGGCAGGTTCGTGGTCTTGTTCACTTCAAGAATTAAGATGCAAACCTTTACGGTGAGTGTTACAGCACTTAATGTTGTCATGTCCAGAGTTTGTTCCTTCAGATGTGTCCAGGGTTTCTGTCTTCTGGCAGGTTCATGGTCTTGCTCACTTCAAGAATGAAGCTGCAGACCTTAGTGGTGAGTGTTACAGCAGTTAAGTTTTTATGTCCAGAGTTTGTTCCTTGTGATGTGTCCAGAGTTTCTTCCTTCTGGGAGGTTCGTGGTCTTCTTCTCTTCAGGAATGAAGCTGCAGACCTTTACGGTGAGCGTTACAGCACTTAAAAGTGTTATGTCCAGAGTTTGTTCCTTTAGATGTGTCCAGAGTTTCTTCCTTCTGGCAGGTTCATGGTCTTGCTCACTTCAAGAATGAAACTGCAGACCTTTACGGTGAGAGTTACAGCATTAAAGGTGTTATGTCCAGAGTTTGTTCTTTCAGATGTGTCCACAGTTTCTTCCTTCTGGCAGGTTCATGGTCTTGCTCAATTCAAGCATGAAGCTGCAGAACTTACTGGTGAGTGTTACAGCACTTACAGGTGTTATGTCCAGAGTTTGTTCCATCAGATATGTCCAGAGTTTCTTCCTTTTGACAGGTTCATGGTCTTGCTCACTTCAAGAATGAAGCTGCAGACCTCAGTGGTGAGTGTTACAGCACTTAAAGGTGTTATGTAAAGAGTTTGTTCCTTCAGATGTGTCCAAAGTTTCTTCAATCTGGCAGGTTCATGGTCTTGCTCACTTCAAGAGTGAAGCTGCAGAATTTAGTGGTGAGTGTTACAGCACTTAAAAGTGTTATGTCTAGAGTTTGTTACTTTAGATGTGTCCAGATATTCTTCCTTCTGTCAGGTTCATGGTCTTGCTCACTTCAAGAAAGAATGAAGCTGCAGACCTTTACGGTGAGTGTTACAGCATATAAAGGTGTTATGTCCAGAGTTTGGTCCTTCAGATATGTCCAGAATTTCTTCCTTCGGGCTGGTTCATGGTCTTCCTCACTTCAAGAATGAAGCTGCAGACCTTGGTGGTGAGTGTTATAGCACTTAAATATGTTATGTCCAGAGTTTGTTCCATCAGATGTGTCTAGAGTTTCTTCCTTCTGGCAGGTTCATGGTCTTGCTCACTTCAAGGATGAAGCTGCAGACCTTAGTGGTGTGTGTTACAGCACTTAAAGGTGTTATGTCCAGAGTTTCTTCCTTTTGATGTGTGCAGAGTTTCTTCCTTCTGGCAGGTTCATTTCTTGCTCACTTCAAAAATGATGCTGCAGACCTTTACGGTGAATGTTACAGTACTTAAAGGTCTTATATACAGAGTTTGTTCCTTCTGATGTGTCCAGGTTTTCTTTCTTCTTGCAGTTTCATGGTCTTGCTCACTTCAAGAATGAAGCTCCAGACCTTTACGGTGAGTTTTACAGCACTTAAAGCTGTTATGTCCAGAGTTTGTTCCTTCAGATGTGTCTAGAATTTCTTCCTTCTGGAAGTTTCATGGTCTTGCTCACTTCAAGAATGATGCTGCAGACATTTACGGTGAAAGTTACAGTACTTAAAGTTGTTATATCCAGTGTTTGTTCCTTCACATGTGTCCAGAGTTTCTTCCTTCTGGCAGGTTCATTGACTTGCTCACTTCAAGAATGAAATTGCAGACCTTTACGGTGAGTGTTACAGCACTTAAAGGTATTATGTCCAGAGTTTTTTCCTTCAGATGTGTACAGAGTTTCTTCCTTCTGGCAGGTTCATGGTCTTGCTAGCTTCAAGAATGAACCTCCAGTCCTTTATGGTGAGTGTTACAGCACTTAAAGGTGTTATGTCCAGAGTTTGTTCTTTCAGACGTGTCCAGAGTTTCTTCCTTCTGGCAGGTTCATGGTATTTCTCACTTCAAGTATGAAGCTGCAGACCTTGGTGGTGAGTGTTACAGCACTTACAGGTGTTATGTCCCGAGTTTGTTCCATCAGATGTGTCCAGAGTTTATTCCTTTTGGCAGGTTCATGGTCTTGCTCACTTCAAGGATGAATCTGCAGACCTTAGTGGTGAGAGTTACAGCACTTAAAGGTGTTATGTCCAGAGTATGTTCCTTCAGATGTGTCCAAAGTTTCTTCAATCTGGCAGGTTCATGGTCTTGCTCACTTCAAGAGTGAAGCTGCAGAATTTAGTGGTGAGTGTTACAGCACTAAAAGGTGTTATGTCCAGAGTTTCTTACTTCAGATGTGTCCAGATATTCTTCCTTCTGTCATGTTCATGGTCTTGCTCACTTCAAGAAAGAATGAAGCTGCAGACCTTTACGGTGAGTGTTACAGCATATAAAGGTGTTATGTCCAGAGTTTGGTCCTTCAGATGTGTCCAGAATTTTTTCCTTCGGGCTGGTTCATGGTCTTGCTCACTTCAAGAATGAAGCTGCAGACTTTGGTGGTGAGTGTTACAGCACTTAAATGTGTTATGTCCAGAGTTTGTTCCATCTGATGTGTATAGTGTTTCCTCCTTCTGGCAGGTTCATTGTCTTGCTCACTTCAAGAATGAAGCTGCAGACCTTAGTGGTGAGTGTTACAGCACTTAAAGGTGTTATGTCCAGAGTTTGTTCCTTGTGATGTGTGCAGAGTTTCTTCCATCTGGCAGGTTCATGGTCTTGCTCACTTCAAGAATGATGCTGCAGACCTTTACGGTGAATGTTACAGTACTTAAAGGTGTTATATCCAGAATTTGTTCCTTCAGATGTGTCCAGATTTTCTTTCTTCTTGCAGTTTCATGGTCTTGCTCACTTCAAGAATGAAGCTCCAGACCTTTACGGTGAGTTTTACAGCACTTAAATGTGTTATATCCAGAGTTTGTTCCTTCAGTTGTGTCCAGAGTTTCTTCCTTCTGGCAGGTTCATGGTCTTGCTCACTTCAAGAATGAAACTGCAGACCTTTACGGTGAGTGTTACAGCACTTAAAGGTATTATGTCCAGAGTTTTTTCCTTCAGATGTGTACAGAGTTTCTTCCTTCTGGCAGGTTCATGGTCTTGCTAGCTTCAGGAATGAACCTCCAGTCCTTTACGGTCAGTGTTACAGCACTTAAAGGTGTTATGTCCAGAGTTTTTTCCTTCAGATGTGTCCAGTGTTTCTTCCTTCTGGCAGTTTCATGGTCTTGCTCACTTCAAGAATGAAACTGCAGACCCTTACGGTGAGTGTTACAGCACTTAAAGGTGTTATGTCCAGAGTTTGATGTTTCAGATGTGTCCACAGTTTCTTCCTTCTGGCAGGTTCATGGTCTTGCTCACTTCAAGAATGAAGCTGCAGACCTTGGTGATGAGTTTTACAGCACTTAATGGTGTTATGTAATGAGTTTTTTCCTTCGGATGTGTCCAAAGTTTCTTCAATCTGGCAGGTTCAAGGTCTTGCTCACTTCAAGAGTGAAGGTGCAGAATTTAGTGGTGAGTGTTACAGCACTAAAAGGTGTTATGTCCGGAGATTGTTTCTTCAGATGTGTCCAGATATTCTTCCTTTTGGCAGGTTCATGGTCTTGCTCACTTCAAGAAAGAATGAAGCTGCAGACCTTTACGGTGAGTATTGCAGCACTTAAAGGTGTTAGGTAAAGAGTTTGTTCCTTCCGATGTGTCCAAAGTTTCTTCAATCTGGCAGTTTCATGGTCTTGCTCACTTCAAGAATGAAGCTGCAGACCTTTACAGTGAGTGTTACAGCACTTAATGTTGTCATGTCCAGAGTTTGTTCCTTCAGATGTGTCCAGAGTTTCTTCATTCTGGCAGGTTCATGGTCTTGTTCTCTTCAAGAATTTAGCTGCAGTCCTTAGTGGTGAGCGTTACAGCACTTAAAGGTTTTATGTCCAGAGTTTGTTCCATCAGATGTGTCTAGAGTTTCTTCCTTCTGGCAGGTTCATGGTCTTGCTCACTTCAAGAATGAAACTGCAGACCTTTACTGTGAGTGTTACAGCACTTAAAGGTATTTTGTCCAGAGTTTTTTCCTTCAGATGTGTCCAGAGTTTCTTCCTTCTGGCAGGTTCGTGGTCTTCTTCTCTTCAGGAATGAAGCTGCAGACCTTAGCGGTGAGTGTTACAGCACTTAAAGGTTTTATGTCCAGAGTTTGTTCCATCAGATGTGTCTAGAGTTTGTTCCTTCTGGCAGGTTCATGGTCTTGCTCACTTCAAGGATGAAGCTGCAGACCTTACCGGTGAGTGTTACAGCACTTAAAGGTGTTATGTCCAGAGTTTGTTCCTTCAGATGTGTCCAGGGTTTCTGTCTTCTGGCAGGTTCATGACTTCCTCACTTCAAGAATGAAGCTGCAGACCTTACTGGTGAGTGTTACAGCACTTAAAGGTGTTATGTCCAGAGTTTGTTTCTTCAGATGTGTCCAGAGTTTCTTCCTTCTGGCAGTTTCGTGGTCTTCCTCACTTCAAGAATGAAGCTGCAGACCTTACTGGTGAGTGTTACAGCACTTAAAGGCATTATGTCCAGAGTTTTTTCCTTCAGATGTGTACAGAGTTTCTTCCTTCTGGCAGGTTCATGGTCTTGCTCACTTGAAGAATGAAACTGCAGACCCTTACGGTGAGTGTTACATCACTTAAAGGTGTTATGTCCAGAGTTTGTTCTTTCAGATGTGTCCACAGTTTATTCCTTCTGGCAGGTTCATGGTCTTGCTCACTTCAAGAATGAAACTGCAGACCTTTACGGTGAGTGTTACAGCACTAAAAGGTATTATGTCCAGAGATTTTTCCTTCAGATGTGTACAGAGTTTCTTCCTTCTGGCAGGTTCATGGTCTTGCTAGCTTCAAGAATGAACCTCCAGTCCTTTATGGTGAGTGTTACATCACTTAAAGGTGTTATGTCCAGAGTTAGATCCTTCAGATGTGTCCAGATATTCTTCCTTTTGGCAGGTTCATGGTCTTTCTCACTTCAAGAAAGAATGAAGCTGCAGACCTTTACGGTGAGTATTGCAGCACTTAAAGGTGTTAGGTAAAGAGTTTGTTCCTTCATATGTGTCCAGAGTTTCTTCCTTCTGGCAGGTTCATGGTATTGCTAGCTTCAAGAATGAACCTCCAGTCCTTTACGGTGAGTGTTACAGCATTTAAAGGTGTTATGTCCAGAGTTTGTTCTTTCAGATTTGTCCACAGTTTCTTCCTTCTGGCAGGTTCATGGTCTTGCTCTCTTCAAGAATGAAGCTGCAGACCTTGGTGATGAGTGTTGCAGCACTTACAGGCGTTATGTCGCGAGTTTGTTCCATCAGATGTGTCCAGAGTTTCTTCCTTTTGGCAGGTTCATGGTCTTGCTCACTTCAAGAATGAAGCTGCAGACCTCAGTGGTGAGTGTTACAGCACTTAATGGTGTTATGTAAAGAGTTTGTTCCTTCAGGTGTGTCCAAAGTTTCTTCAGTCTGGCAGGTTCATGGTCTTCCTCACTTCAAGAAAGAATGAAGCTGCAGAATTTAGTGGTGAGTGTTAACAGCACTAAAAGTTGTTATGTCCAGAGTTTGTTCCTTCAGATGTGTCCAGAGTTTCTTCCTTCTGGCAGGTTCATTGTCTTGCTCACTTCAAGGATGAGGCTGCAGACCTTAGTGGTGAGTGTTACAGCACTTAAAGGTGTTATGTCCTGAGTTTGTTCCTTCAGATGTGTCAAGAGTTTCTTCCTTCTTGCAGGTTCGTGGTCTTGATCACTTCAAGAAAGAAGCTGCAGAACTTAGTGGTGAGTTTTACAGCACTTAAAGGTGTTATATCCAGAGTTTGTTCCTTCAGATGTGTCCAGAGTTTCTTCCTTCTGGCAGGTTCATGGTCTTGCTCACTTCAAGAATGAAGCTGCAGACCTTAGTGGTGAGTGTTACAACACTTAAAGATGTTATTTACAGAGTTTGTTCCTTCAGATGTGTCCAGAGTTTCTTCCTTCTGGCAGGTTCATGGTCTTGCTCACTTCAAGAATGAAGATGCAGACCTTTACGGTGAGTGTTACAGCACATAAAGGTGTTATGTCCAGAGTTTGTTCCTTCAGATGTGTCCAGGGTTTCTGTCTTCTGGCAGGTTCATGGTCTTGCTCACTTCAAGAATGAAGCTGCAGTCCTTTACGGTGAGTGTTACATCATTTAAAGGTGTTATGTCCAGAGTTTTTTACATCAGATGTGTCTAGATTTCCTTCCTTCTGGGAGGTTCATGGACTTGCTCATTTCAAGAATGAAGCTGCAGACCTTAGTGGTGAGATTTACAGCACTTAAAGCTGTTATGTCCAGAGTTTGTTCCTTCAGATGTGTCCAGAGTTTCTTCCTTCTCCAGGTTCATGGTCTTGCTCACTTCACGAATGAAGCTGCAGACCTTAGTGGTGAGCGTTACAGCAGTTAAGTTTTTATGTCCAGAGTTTGTTCCTTCAGATAAGTCCAGAGTTTCTTCCTTCTGGCGGGTTCATGGTCTTGCTCACTTCAAGAATGAAGCTGCGGACCTTAGTGGTGAGCGTTACAGCACTTAAGTTTTTATGTCCAGAGTTTTTTCCTTCAGATATGTCCAGCGTTTCTTCCTTCTGGCAGGTTCATGGTCTTGCTCATTTCAAGAATGAAGCTGCAGACTTTTACGGTGAGTGTTACAGCACTTAAAGGTGTTTTGTCCAGAGTTTGTTGCTTCAGATGTGTCCAGAGTTTCTTTCTTCTGGCAGGTTCATGGTGTTGCTCACTTCAAGAATGAAGCTGCAGACCTTACTGGTGAGTGTTACAGCACTTAAAGCTGTTATGTCCAGAGTTTGTTCCTTCATATGTTTCCAGAGTTTCTTCCTTCTGGCAGGTTCGTGGTCTTGCTCACTTCTTTAATGAAGCTGCAGACCTTACTGGTGAGTGTTACAGCACTTAAAGTTGTTATGTCCAGAGTTTGTTTCTTCAGATGTGTCCAGAGATTCTTCCTTCTGGCAGTTTCCTGGTCTTCCTCACTTCAAGAATGAAGCTGCAGACTTTACTGGTGAGTGTTACAGCACTTAAAGTTGTTATGTCCAGAGTTTGTTCCTTCAGATGTGTCCAGAGTGTCTTCCTTCTGGCAGCTTCATGGTCTGCTCACTTCACTAATGAAGCTGCAGACCTTACTGGTGAGTGTTACAGCACTTAAAGATGTTATGTCCAGAGTTTGTTCCTTCAGATGTGTCCAGGGTTTCTGTCTTCTGGCAGGTTCATGTTATGGCTCACTTCAAGAATGAAGCTGCAGACCTTAGTGGTGAGAGTTACAGCACTTAAAGGTGTTATGTCCAGAGTTTTTTCCTTCAGATAAGTCCAGACTTTCTTCCTTCTGGCAGGTTCATGGTCTTGCTCACTTCAAGAATGAAGCTGCAGACCTTTACGGTGAGTGTTATAGCACTTAAAGGTGTTATGTCCAGAGTTTGTTCCTTCAGAAGTGTCCAGAGTTTCTTCCTTCTGACAAGTTCATGGTCTTGCTCACTTCAAGAATGAAGCTGCAGACCTTTACGGTGAGTGTTACAGCATTAATGGTGTTATGTACAGAGTTTGTTCCTTCAGATGTGTGCAGAGTTTCTTCCTTCTGGCAGGTTCATGGTATTGCTCACTTCAAGAATGAAGCTGCAGACCTTAGTGGTGAGTGTTACAGCACTTAAAGTTGTTATGTCCAGGGTTTGTTCCTTCAGATGTGTACAGAGTTTCTTCCCTCTGGCTGGTTCTTGGTCTTGCTCACTTCAAGAATGAAGCTGCAGACCTTTACGGTGAGTGTTACAGCATTTAATGTAGTTATGTCCAGAGTTTCTTACATCAGATGTGTCTAGAACTCCTTCATTCTGGCAGGTTCATGGTCTTGTTCTCTTCAAGAATTAAGCTGCAGTCCTTAGTGGTGAGCGTTACAGCACTTAAAGGTTTTATGTCCAGAGTTTGTTCCATCAGATGTGTCTAGAGTTTCTTCCTTCTGGCAGGTTCATGGTCTTGCTCACTTCAAGAATGAAACTGCAGACCTTTACTGTGAGTGTTACAGCACTTAAAGGTATTTTGTCCAGAGTTTTTTCCTTCAGATGTGTACAGAGTTTCTTCCTTCTGGCAGGTTCATGGTCTTGCTCACTTCAAGAATGAAACTGTGGACCCTTTCGGTGAGTGTTACAGCACTTAAAGTTGTTATGTCCAGAGTTTGTTCCTTTAGATGTGTCCAGAGTTTCTTCCTTCTGGCAGGTTCATGGTCTTGCTCACTTCAAGAGTGAAGCTGCAGAATTTAGTGGTGCGTGTTACAGCACTAAAAGGTGTTATGTCCAGAGTTTTTTACTTCAGATGTGTCCAGATATTCTTCCTTCTGGCAGGTTCATGGTCTTGCTCACTTCAAGAAAGAATGAAGCTGCAGACCTTTACGGTGAGTGTTACAGCATATAAAGGTGTTATGTCCAGAGTTTGGTCCTTCAGATGTGTCCAGAATTTCTTCCTTCGGGCTGGTTCATGGTCTTGCTCACTTCAAGAATGAAGCTGCAGACCTTGGTGGTGAGTGTTATACCACTTAAATGTGTTATGTCCAGAGTTTGTTCCATCTGATGAGTATAGTGTTTCTTCCTTCTGGCAGGTTCATGGTCTTGCTCACTTCAAGAATGAAGCTGCAGACCTTACCGGTGAGTGTTACAGCACTTAAAGGTGTTATGTCCAGAGTTTGTTCCTTCAGATGTGTCCAGGGTTTCTGTCTTCTGGCAGGTTCATGGTCTTGCTCACTTCAAGAATGAAGATGCAAACCTTTACGGTGAGTGTTACAGCACTTAATGTTGTCATGTCCAGAGTTTGTTCCTTCAGATGTGTCCAGAGTTTCTTCATTCTGTCAGGTTCATGGTCTTGTTCTCTTCAAGAATGAAGCTGCAGACCTTAATGGTGAGCGTTTCAGTACTTAAAGGTTTTATGTCCAGAGTTTGTTCTTTCAGATTTGTCCAGTTTCTTCCTTCTGGAAGGTTCACGGTCTTGCTCACTTCAAGAATGAAACTGCAGACCTTAGTGGTGAGTGTTACAGTACTTAAAGGTGTTATGTCCAGAGTTTGTTCCTTCTGATGTGCGCAGAGTTTCTCCCTTTTGGCAAGTTCGTGGTCTTGCTCACCTCAAGAAAGAAGCTGCAGGCCTTGGTGGTGAGTGTTACAGCACTTACAGGTGTAATGTCCCGAGTTTGTTCCATCAGATGTGTCCAGAGTTTCTTCCTTTTGGCAGGTTCATCGTCTTGCTCACTTCAAGAGTGAAGCTGCAGACCTTAGTGGTGAGTGTTACAGCACTTAAAGATGTTATGTCCAGGGTTTGTTCCTTCAGATGTGTCCAGAGTTTCTTCCTTCTGGCAGGTTCATGGTTTTGCTCACTTCAAGAATGAAGCTGCAGTCCTTTATGGTGAGTGTTACAGCACTTAATGTTGTCAGGTCCAGAGTTTGTTCCTTCATATGTGTCCAGAGTTTCTTCCTTCTGGCAGGTTCATGGTATTGCTAGCTTCAAGAATGAACCTCCAGTCCTTTACGGTGAGTGTTACAGCATTTAAAGGTGTTATGTCCAGAGTTTGTTCTTTCAGATTTGTCCACAGTTTCTTCCTTCTGGCAGGTTCATGGTCTTGCTCTCTTCAAGAATGAAGCTGCAGACCTTGGTGATGAGTGTTGCAGCACTTACAGGCGTTATGTCGCGAGTTTGTTCCATCAGATGTGTCCAGAGTTTCTTCCTTTTGGCAGGTTCATGGTCTTGCTCACTTCAAGAATGAAGCTGCAGACCTTACCGGTGAGTGTTACAGCACTTAATGGTGTTATGTAAAGAGTTTGTTCCTTCAGATGTGTCCAGGGTTTCTTCAGTCTGGCAGGTTCATGGTCTTCCTCACTTCAAGAGTGAAGCTGCAGAATTTAGTGGTGAGTGTTAACAGCACTAAAAGTTGTTATGTCCAGAGTTTGTTACTTCAGATATGTCCAGATATTCTTCCTTCTGGCAGGTTCATGGTCTTGCTCACTTCAAGAAAGAATGAAGCTGCAGACCTTTACGGTGAGTGTTACAGCATATAAAGGTGTTAAGTCCAGAGTTTGGTCCTTCAGATGTGTCCAGAATTTCTTCCTTCGGGCCGGTTCATGGTCTTGCTCACTTCAAGAATGAAGCTGCAGACCTTGGTGGTGAGTGTTACAGCACTTTAATGTGTTATGTCCAGAGTTTGTTCCATCAAATGTGTATAGAGTTTCTTCCTTCTGGCAGGTTCATGGTCTTCCTCACTTCAAGAATGAAGCTGCAGACCTTAGTGGTGAGTGTTACAGCACTTAAAGGTGTTATGTCCAGTGTTTGTTCCTTGTGATGTGTCCAGAGTTTCTTCCTTCTGGCAGGTTCATGGTCTTGCTCACTTCAGGAATTAAGCTGCAGACCTTTACGGTGAGTGTTACAGCACTTAATTTTGTCATGTCCAGAGTTTGTTCCTTCAGATGTGTCCAGAGTTTCTTCATTCTGGCAGGTTCATGGTCTTGTTCTCTTCAAGAATGAAGCTGCAGACCTTAGTGGTGAGTGTTACAGCACTTAAAGGTTTTATGTAAAGAGTTTGTTCCTACAGATGTGTCCAAAGTTTCTTCAATCTTTCAGTTTCATGGTCTTACTCACTTCAAGAGTGAAGCTGCAGAATTTAGTGGTGAGTGTTACAGCACTTAAAGGTGTTATGTCTAGAGATTGTTACTTCAGATGTGTCCAGATATTCTTCCTTCTGGCAGGTTCATGGTCTTGCTCACTTCAAGAAAGAATGAAGCTGCAGACCTTTACGGTGAGTGTTACAGCATATAACGGTGTTAAGTCCAGAGTTTGGTCCTTCAGATGTGTCCAGAATTTTTTCCTACGGGCTGGTTCAAGGTCTTGCTCACTTCAAGAATGAAGCTGCAGACCTTGGTGGTGAGTGTTACAGCACTTAAATGTGTTATGTCCAGAGTTTGTTCCATCTGATGTGTATAGAGTTTCTTCCTTCTGGCAGGTTCATGGTCTTGCTCACTTCAAGAATGAAGCTGCAGACCTTAGTGGTGAGTGTTACAGCACTTAAAGATGTTATGTCCAGAGTTTGTTCCTTGTGATGTGTCCAGAGTTTCTTCCTTCTGGCAGCTTCATGGTCTTGCTCACTTCAAGAATGAAGCTGCAGTCCTTTACGGTGAGTGTTACAGCACTTAATGTTGTCATGTCCAGAGTTTGTTCCTTCAGATGTGTCCAGAGTTTCTTCCTTCTGGCAGGTTCATGGTCTTGCTAGCTTCAAGAATGAACCTCCAGTCCTTTACGGTGAGTGTTGCAGCACTTAAAGGTGTTATGTCCAGAGTTTGTTCCTTCAGATGTGTCCAGATATTCTTCCTTCTGGCATGTTCATGGTCTTGCTCACTTCAAGAAAGAATGAAGCTGCAGACCTTTACGGTGAGTGTTACAGCATATAAAGGTGTTATATCCAGAGTTTGGTTCTTCAGATGTGTCCAGAATTTCTTCTTTCGGGCAGGTTCATGGTCTTGCTCACTTGAAGAATGAAGCTGCAGACCTTGGTGTTGAGTGTTACAGCACTTAAAGGTGTTATGTGCAGAGTTTGTTCCATCAGATGTGTATAGAGTTTCTTCCTTCTGGCAGGTTCATGGTCTTGCTCACTTCAACAATGAAGCTCCAGACCGTTACGTTGAGTGTTACAGCACTTAAAGGTGTTATGTCCAGAGTTTGTTCCTTCAGATGTGTCCAGAGTTTCTTCCTTCTGGCAAGTTCATTGTCTTGCTCACTTCAAGAATGAAGCTGCAGATCTTGGTGGTGAGTGTTACAGCACTTACAGGTGTTATGTCCCGAGTTTGTTCCATCAGATGTGTCTAGAGTTTCTTCCTTTTGGCAGGTTCATGGTCTTGCTCACTTCAAGAATGAAGCTGCAGACCTTGGTGGTGAGTGTTACAGCACTTAATTGTGTTATGTCCAGACTTTGTTCCATCTATTGTGTATAGAGTTTCTTCCTTCTGGCAGTTTCATGGCATTGCTCACTTCAAGAATGAAGCTGCAGACCTTAGTGGTGAGTGTTACAGCACATAAAGGTGTTATGTCCAGAGTTTGTTCCATCACATGTGTATAGAGTTTCTTCCTTCTGGCAGGTTGATGGACTTGCTCAATACAAGAATGAAGCTGCAGACCTTTACGGTGAGTGTTACAGCACTTAAAGGTGTTATATCCAGAGTTTGTTCCTTCAGATGTGTCCAGAGTTTCCTTCTTCTGGCAGGTTCATGGCCTTGCTCACTTGAAGAGTGAATCTCCGGACGTTTACGGCGAGTTTTACAGCAATTAAAAGTGTTATGTCCAGAGTTTGTTCATGCAGATGTGACCGGAGTTTCTTCCTTCTGGCAGGTTCATGGTCTTGCTCACTTCAAGAATGAACCTGCAGACCTTGGTGGTGAGTGTTACAGCACTTAAAGGTGTTATGTCCAGAGTTTGTTCCATCAGATGTGTATAGACTTTCTTCCTTCAGGCAGGTTCATGGTCTTGCTCACTTCAAGAATGAAGCTACAGACATTTACGGTGAGTGTTACAGCACTTAAAGTTGTTATATCCAGAGTTTGTCCCTTCAGATGTGTCCAGATTTTTTTCCTTCTGGCATGTTCATGGTCTTGCTCACTTCAAGAAATAATGAAGATGCAGAACTTTACGGTGAGTGTTACAGCATATAAAGTGTTGTGTCCAGAGTTTGTTCCTTCAGATGTGTCCAGAGTTTCTTCCTTCTGGCAGGTTCATGGTCTTGCTCACTTCAAGAATGAGGCTGCAGACCTAGGTGGTGAGTGTTACAGCACTTAAAGGTGTTATGTCCAGAGTTTTTTCCTTCAGACGTGTCCAGATTTTCTTTCTTCTAGCAGGTTCATGGTCTTGCTCACTTCAAGAATGAAGCTCCAGTCCTTTACGGTGAGTGTTACAGTACTTAAAGGTGTTATGTACAGAGTTTGTTCCTTCAGATGTGTCCAGTGTTTCTTCCTTCTGGCAGGTTCATGGTCTTGCTCACTTCAAGAATGAAACTGCAGACCATTACGGTGAGTGTTACAGCACTTAAAGGTGTTATGTCCAGAGTTTTTTCCTTCAGATGTGTCCAGTTTCTTCCTTCTGGCAGGTTCATGGTGTTACTCACTTCAACAAGGAAACTGTAGACCTTTACGGTGAGTGTTCCAGAACTGAAATATGTTATGTCCAGAGTTTCTTCCTTCAGATATTTGCAGAGTTTCTTCCATCTGGCAGGTTCATGGTCTTGCTCACTTGAAGAATGAAGCTGCAGACCTTAGTGGTGAGGGTTACAGCATATAAAGGTGTTATGTCCAGAATTTGGTCCTTCAGATGTGTCCAGAAGTTCTTCCTTCGGGCATGGTCATGGTCTTACTCACTTCAAGAATGAAGCTGCAGACCTTGGTGGTGAGTGTTACAGAACTTAATTGTGTTATGTCCAGACTTTGTTCCATCTGTTGTGTATAGAGTTTCTTCCTTCTGGCAGTTTCATGGCCTTGCTCTCTTCAAGAATGAAGCTGCAGACCTTAGTGGTGAGTGTTACAGCACATAAGCGTGTTAAGTCCAGAGTTTGTTCCTTGTGATGTGTCCAGAGTTTCTTCCTTCTGGCAGGTTCATGGTCTTCCTCACTTCAAGAATGAAGCTGCAGACCCTTACGGTTAGTGTTACAGCACTTAATGTTGACATGTCCAGGTTTTATTCCTTCAGATGTGTCCAGAATTTCTTCATTCTGTCAGGTTCATGGTCTTGTTCTCTTCAAGAATGAATCTGCAGACCTTAGTAGTGAGCGTTACAGCACTTAAAGGTTTTATGTCCAGAGTTTGTTCCATAAGATGTGTCTAGAGTTTCTTCCTTCTGGCAGGTGAATGGTCTTGCTCACTTCAAGAATGAAGCTGCAGACCTTATTGGTGAATGTTACAGCACTTAAAGTTGTTATGTACAGAGTTTGTTCCTTGTGATGTGTGCAGAGTTTCTTCCTTCTGGCAGGTTCATGGTCTTGCTCACCTCAAGTATGATGCTGCAGACCTTTACGGTGAGTGTTACAGCACTTAAAGGTGTTATATCCAGAGTTTCTTCCTTCAGATGTGTCCAGAGTTTCTTTCTCCTGGCAGGATCATTGTCTTGCTCACTTCAAGAATGAAGCTCCAGACCTTACCGGTGAGTTTTACAGCACTTAAAGGTGTTATTTCCAGAGTTTGTTCCTTCAGTTGTGTCCAGGGTTTCTGTCTTCTAGCAGGTTCATGGTCTTGCTCACTTCAAGAATGAAGCTGCAGACCTTGGTCGTGAGTGTTACAGCACTTACAGGTGTTATGTCCCGAGTTTGTTCCATCAGATGTGTCCAGAGTTTCTTCCTTTTGGCAGGTACATGGTCTTGCTCATTTCAAGAATGAAGCTGCAGACCTTAGTGCTGAGTGTTACAGCACTTAATGGTGTTATCTAAAGAGTTTGTTCCTTCAGATGTGTCCAAATTTCTTCAATCTGGCAGGTTCATGGTTTGCTCACTTCAAGAATGATGTTGCAGAGCTTTACGGTGAGTGTTACAGCACTTAAAGGTGTTATATCAAGAGTTTCTTCCTTCAGATGTGTCCAGAGTTTCTTTCTTCTGGCAGGTTCATGGTCTTGCTCACTTCAAGAATGAATGAAGCTGCAGACATTTACGTTGAGTGTTACAACATATAAAGGTGTGATGTCCAGAGTTTGGTCCTTGAGATGTGTCCAGAGTTTCTTCCTTCGTGCAGGTTCATGGTCTTGCTCACTTCAAGAATGAAGCTGCAGAAATTATTGGTGACGGTTACAGCACTTAAAGTTGTTATGTCCAGAGTTTTTTCCTTCAGATGTGTCCAGAGTTTCTTCCTTCTGGCAGGTTCATGGTCTTGCTCAATTCAGGAATGAAGCTGCAGACCTTAGTGGTGAGTGTTACAGCACTTAAAGTGTTATGTACAGAGTTTGTTCCTTCAGATATGTCCAGAGTTTCTTCCTTCTGGCAGGTTCATCGTCTTGCTCACTTCAAGAATGAAGCTGCAGACCTTAGTGCTGAGTGTTACAGCACTTAAACGTGTTATGTAAAGAGTTTGTTCCTTCAGATGTGTCCAAAGTTTCTTCAATCTGGCAGGTTCATGGTCTTGCTCACTTCAAGAATGAAGCTGCAGACCTTAGTGGTGAGTGTTACAGCACTTAAAAGTGTTATGTCCAGAGTTTGTTCCTTCATATGTGGCCAGAGTTTCTTCCTTCTGGCAGGTTCATGGTCTTGCTCACTTCAAGAATGAAGCTGCAGACCTTTACGGTGAGTGTTACAGCATTTAAACATGTTACGTCCAGAGTTTGTTCCTTTAGATGTGTCCAGAGTTTCTTACTTCTGGCAGGTTCATGGTCTTGCTCACTTCAAGAATGACGCGGCAGACCTTTACGGTGAGGGTTACAACACTTAAAGGTGTTATGTCCAGAGTTTTTTCCTTTAGATGTGTCCAGAGTTTCTTCCTTCTGGCAGGTTCATGGTCTTGCTCAATT
Organism: Homo sapiens; assembly: GCF_000001405.40. Lineage (NCBI taxonomy): Eukaryota > Metazoa > Chordata > Mammalia > Primates > Hominidae > Homo > Homo sapiens. Next base: position 20,190,666 of record NC_000024.10, read on the forward strand.
CAAGAATGAAGCTGCAGACCTTAGTGGTGAGTGTTACAGTACTTAATGGTGTTATGTCCAGAGTTTGTTCCTGCAGATGTGTCCAGAGTTTCTTCCATCTGCAGGTTCATGGTCTTGCTCACTTCAAGAATGAAGCTGCAGACCTTAGTGGTGAGTGTTACAGCAGTTAAAGGTGTTATGTCCAGAGTTTTTTCCTTCAGATGTGTCCAGAGTTTCTTCCATCTGGCAGGTTCATTGTCTTGCTCACTTCAAGAGTGAAGCTGAATAATTTAGTGGTGATTGTTACACCACTTAAAGGTGTTATGTCCAGAGTTTCTTACATCAGATGTGTCCAGAACTCCTTCCATCTGGCAGGTTCATGGTCTTGCTCACTTCAAGAATGAAGCTGCAGACCTTACCGGTGAGTGTTACAGCAGTTAAAGGTGTTATGTCCAGAGTTTTTTCCTTCAGATGTGTCCAGGGTTTCTGTCTTCTGGCAGGTTCATTGTCTTGCTCACTTCAAGAGTGAAGCTGAATAATTTAGTGGTGATTGTTACACCACTTAAAGGTGTTATGTCCAGAGTTTGTTCCTTCAGATGTGTCCAGATATTCTTCCTTCTAGCATGTTCATGGTCTTGCTCACTTCAAGAAAGAATGAAGCTGCAGACCTTTACGGTGAGTGTTGCAGCATATAAAGGTGTTATTTCCAGATTTTTGTCCTTCAGATGTGTCCAGAATTTCTTCTTTCGGGCAGGTTCATGGTCTTGCTCACTTCAAGAATGAAGCTGCAGACCTTGGTGGTGAGTGTTACAGAACTTAAAGGTGTTATGTCCAGAGTTTGATCCATTAGATATGTATAGAGTTTCTTCCTTCTGGCAGGTTCATGGTCTTGCTCACTTGAAGAATGAAGCTGCAGACCTTAGTGGTGAGTGTCACAGCACTTAAAGGTGTTATGTCCAGAGTTTATTCATTCAGATGTGTCCAGAATTTCTTCCTTCTGGCAGATTCATGGTCTTGCTCACTTCAAGAATGAAGCTGCAGACCGTTAGGGTGAGTGTTACAGCACTTAAAAGTGTTATGTCCAGAGTTTCTTCCTTCGGATGTGGCCACAGTTTCTTCTTCTGGCAGGTTCATGGTCTTCCTCACTTCAAGAATGAAGCTGTAGACCCTTACGGTGAGTGTTACAGCACTTAATGTTGTCATGTCCAGGTATTTTTCCTTCAGATGTGTCCAGAATTTCTTCATTCTGGCTGGTTCATGGTCTTGTTCTCTTCAAGAATGAAGCTGCAGACCTTATTGGTGAGCGTTACAGCACTTAAAGGTTTTATATCCAGAGTTTGTTCCATAAGATATGTCTAGAGTTTCTTCCTTCTGGCTGGTGCATGATCTTGCTCACTTCAAGAATGAAGCTGCAGACCTTAGTGGTGAGAGTTACAGCACTTAAAGGTGTTATGTACAGAGTTTGCTCCTTGTGATGTGTGCAGAGTTTCTTCCTTCTGGCAGGTTCATGGTCTTGCTCACTTCAAGAATGATGCTGCAGACCTTTACGGTGAGTGTTACAGCTCTGAAAGGTGTTATATCCAGAGTTTGTTCCTTCAGATGTGTCCAGAGTTTCTTTCTCCTGGCAGGTTCATGGTCTTGCTCACTTCAAGAATGAAGCTCCAGACCTTTACGGTGAGTTTTACAGCACTTTGAGGTGTTATGTCCGAGTTTGTTCCTTCAGTTGTGTCCAGAGTTTCTTCCTTCTGGCAGGTTCATGGTCTTGCTCGCTTCAAGGATGAAGCTGCAGACCTTGGTCGTGAGAGTTACAGCACTTACAGGTGTTATGTCCCGAGTTTGTTCCATCAGATGTGTCCAAAGTTTCTTCCTTTTGGCAGGTACATGGTCTTGCTCATTTCTAGAATGAAGCTGCAGACCTTAGTGCTGAGTATTACAGAACTTAAAGGTGTTATGTAAAGGGTTTGTTCCTTCAGATGTGTCAAAAGTTTCTTCCATCTGGCAGGTTCATGGTCTTGCTCACTTCAAGAATGATGTTGCAGAGCTTACCGGTGAATGTTACAGCACTTATAGCTGTTATATCCAGATTTTGTTCCTTCAAATGTGTCCAGGGTTTCTGTCTTCTGGCAGGTTCATGGTCTTGCTCACTTCAAGAATGAATGAAGCTGTAGACATTTACGTTGAGTGTTACAGCATATAAAGGTGTTATGTCTAGAGTTTGGTCCTTCAGATATGTCCAGAGTTTCTTCCTTCGGGCAGGTTCATGGTCTTGCTCACTTCAAGAATGAAGCTGCAGACATTATTGTTGAGGGTTACAGCACTTAAATGTGTTATGTCCAGAGTTTTTCCTTCAGATATGTCCAGAGTTTCTTCCTTCTGGCAGGTTCATGGTCTTGCTCAATTCAAGAATGAAGCTGCCGACCTTACCGGTGAGTGTTACAGCACTTTAAGGTGTTATGTCCAGAGTTTGTTCCTTCAGATGTGTCCAGGGTTTCTGTCTTCTGGCACGTTCATGGTCTTGCTCACTTCAAGAAAGAAGCTGCAGACCTTAGTGGTGAGTGTTACAGTACTTAAAGGTGTTATGTCCAGAGTTTTTTCCTTCAGATGTGTCCAGGGTTTCTTTCATCTGGCAGGTTCATGGTCTTGCTCACTTCAAGAGTGAAGCTGCAAAATTTATTGGTGATTGTTACAGCACCTAAATGTGTTATGTCCAGAGTTTGTACCTTCAGATGTGTCCAGATATTCTTCCTTCTGGCATGTTAATGGTCTTGCTCACTTCAAGAAAGAATGAAGCTGCAGACCTTTACGGTGAGTGTTACAGCATATAAAGGTGTTATGTCCAGAGTTTGGTCCTTCAGATGTGTCCAGAATTTCTTCTATCGGGCAGGTTCATGGTCTCGCTCACTTCAAGAATGAAGCTGCAGACCTTATTGGTGAGGGTTACAGCACGTAAAGGTGTTATGTCCAGAGTTTTTTCCTTCAGATGTGTGAAGAGTTTCTTCCTTCTGGAAGGTTCATGGTCTTGCTCACTTCAAGAATGAAGCTGCAGACCTTAGTGGTGAGGGTTACAGCAGTTAAAGGTGTTATGTCCAGAGTTTATTCCTTCAGATGTGTCCAGAGTTTCTTCCTTCTGGCAGGTTCATGGTCTTGCTCACTTCAAGAATGAAGCTGCAGACCTTAGTAGTGAGTGTTACAGCACTTAAAGGTGTTATGTCCAGAGTTTTTTCCTTCAGATGTGTCCAGAGTTTCTTTCATCTGGCAGGTTCATGGTCTTGCTCACTTCAAGAGTGAAGCTGCAAAATTTAGTGGTTATTGTTACAGCACATAAAGGTGTTATGTCCAGAGTTTGTTCTTTCAGATGTGTCCAGATATTCTTCCTTCTGGCATGTTCATGGTCTTGCTCACTTCAAGAAAGAATGAAGCTGCAGACCTTTACGGTGAGTGTTACAGCATATAAAGGTGTTATGTCCAGAGTTTGGTTCTTCAGATGTGTCCAGAATTTCTTCTTTCGGGCAGGTTCATGGTCTTGCTCACTTGAAGAATGAAGCTGCAGACCTTGGTGTTGAGTGTTACAGCATTTTAAGGTGTTATGTGCAGAGTTTGTTCCATCAGATGTGTATAGAGTTTCTTCCTTCTGGCAGGTTCATGGTCTTGCTCACTTCAAGAGTGAAGCTGCAGAATTTAGTGGTGAGTGTTACAGCACTTAAAGGTGTTATGTCCAGAGTTTGTTCCTTCAGATGTGTCCAAAGTTTCTTCAATCTGGCAGGTTCATGGTCTTGCACACTTCAAGAGTGAAGGTGCAGAATTTAGTGGTGAGTGTTACAGCACTTAAAATTGTTATGTCCAGAGTTTGTTATTTCAGATGTGTCCAGATATTCTTCCTTCTGGCAGGTTCATGGTCTTGCTCACTTCAAGAAAGAATGAAGCTGCTGACCTTTACGGTGAGTGTTACAGCATATAAAAGTGTTTTGTCCAGAGTTTGGTCCTTCAGATGTGTCCAGAAGTTCTTCCTTCGGGCAGGGTCATGGTCTTACTCACTTCAAGAATGAACCTGCAGACCTTGATGGTGAGTGTTACAGCACTTAATTGTGTTATATCCAGACTTTGTTCCATCTGTTGTGTATAGAGTTTCTTCTTTCTGGCAGTTTTATGGCCTTGCTCACTTCAAGAATGAAGCTGCAGAACTTAGTGGTGAGTGTTACAGCACATAAAGCTGTTATGTCCAGAGTTTGGTCCATCACATATGTCCAGAGTTTCTTCCTTCTGGCAGGTTGATGGACTTGCTCAATTCAAGAACGAAGCTGTAGACTTTACGGTGAGTGTTACAGCACATAAAGGTGTTATATCCAGAGTTTGTTCCTTCAGATGTGTCCAGAGTTTCCTTCTTCTCTCAGGTTCATGGCCTTGCTCACGTCAAGAATGAATCTCCGGACGTTTACGGCGAGTTTTACAGCATTTAAAAGTGGTATGTCCAGAGTTGTTCCTTCAGTTTTGTTCAGAGTTTCTTCCTTCTGGCAGGTTCATGGTCTTGCTCACTTCAAGAATGAAGCTGCAGACCTTGGTGGTGAGTGTTACCGCACTTAAAGGTGTTATGTCCAGAGTTGGTTCCATCAGATGTGTCCAGAGTTTTTTCCTTCTGGCATGTTCATGGTCTTGCTCACTTCAAGAAAGAATGAAGCTGCAGAACTTTACGGTGAGTGTTACAGCATATAAAGTGTTGTGTCCAGAGTTTGTTCCTTCAGATGTGTCCAGAGTTTCTTCCTTCTTGCATGTTCGTGGTCTTGCTCACTTCCTTAATGAAGCTGCAGACCTTACCGGTGAGTGTTACAGCACTTAAAGGTGTTATGTCCAGAGTTTGTTCCTTCAGATGTGTCCAGGGTTTCTGTCTTCTGGCAGGTTCATGGTGTTGCTCACTTCAAGAATCAAGCTGCAGACCTTACTGGTGAGTGTTACAGCACTTAAAGCTGTTATGTCCAGAGTTTGTTCCTTCAGATGTTTCCAGAGTTTCTTCCTTCTGGCAGGTTCGTGGTCTTGCTCACTTCTTTAATGAAGCTGCAGACCTTACTGGTGAGTGTTACAGCACTTAAAGGTGTTATGTCCAGAGTTTGTTCCTTCAGATGTGTCCAGAGTGTCTTCCTTCTGGCAGGTTCGTGGTCTTGCTCACTTCACTAATGAAGCTGCAGACCTTACTGGTGAGTATTACAGCACTTAAAGGTGTTATGTCCAGAGTTTGTTCCTTCAGATGTGTCCAGGGTTTCTGTCTTCTGGCAGGTTCATGGTCTTCCTCACTTCAAGAATGAAGCTGCCGACCTTAGTGTTGAGTGTTACAGCACTTGAAGGTGTTATGTCCAGAGTTCTTTCCTTCAGATGTGTCCAGCGTTTCTTCCTTCTGGCAGGTTCATGGTCTTCCTCACTTCAAGAATGAAGCTGCAGACCTTACTGGTGAGTGTTACAGCAATTAAAGTTGTTATATCCAGAGTTTGTTCCTTCAGATGTTTCCAGAGTTTCTTCCTTCTGGCAGGTTCGTCTTCTTGCTCTCTTCTTTAATGAAGCTGCAGACTTACCGGTGAGTGTTACAGCACTTAAAGGTGTTAGGTCCAGAGTTTGTTTCTTCAGATGTGTCCAGGGTTTCTGTCTTCTGGCAGTTTCGTGGTCTTCCTCACTTCAAGAATGAAGCTGCAGACCTTACTGGTGAGTGTTACAGCACTTTAAGGTGTTATGTCCAGAGTTTGTTCCTTCAGATGTGTCCAGAGTGTCTTCCTTCTGGCAGGTTCATGGTCTTGCTCACTTCACTAATGAAGCTGCAGACCTTACTGGTGAGTGTTACAGCACTTAAAGGTGTTATGTCCAGAGTTTGTTCCTTCAGATGTGTCCAGGGTTTCTGTCTTCTGGCAGGTTCATGGACTTCCTCACTTCAAGAATGAAGCTGCCGACCTTAGTGGTGAGTGTTACAGCACTTGAAGTTGTTATGTCCAGAGTTCTTTCCTTCAGATGTGTCCAGCGTTTCTTCCTTCTGGCAGGTTCATGGTCTTCCTCACTTCAAGAATGAAGCTGCAGACCTTACTGGTGAGTGTTACAGCAATTAAAGTTGTTATATCCAGAGTTTGTTCCTTCAGATGTTTCCAGAGTTTCTTCCTTCTGGCAGGTTCGTGGTGTTGCTCACTTCTTTAATGAAGCTACAGACCTTACCGGTGAGTGTTACAGCACTTAAAGGTGTTATGTCCAGAGTTTGTTTCTTCAGATGTGTCCAGGGTTTCTGTCTTCTGGCAGTTTCGTGGTCTTCCTCACTTCAAGAATGAAGCTGCAGACCTTACTGGTGAGTGTTACAGCACTTTAAGGTGTTATGTCCAGAGTTTCTTCCTTCAGATGTGTCCAGAGTGTCTTCCTTCTGGCAGGTTCATGGTCTTACTCACTTCAAGAATGAAGCTGCAGACCTTACTGGTGAGTGTTACAGCACTTAAAGGTGTTATGTCCAGAGATTTTTCCTTCAGATGTGTCCAGGGTTTCTGTCTTCTGGCAGGTTCATGGTCTTGCTCACTTCCAGAATGAAGCTGCAGACTTTAGTGGTGAGTGTTACAGCACTTAAAGTTGTTATGTCCAGAGTTTTTTCCTTCAGATGTGTCCAGCGTTTCTTCCTTCTGGCAGGTTCATGGTCTTGCTCACTTCAAGAATGAAGCTGCAGACCTTACTGTTGAGTGTTAAAGCACTTAAAGGTGTTATATCCAGATTTTGTTCCTTCAGATGTGTACAGAGTTTCTTCCTTCTGGCAGGTTCATGGTGTTGCTCACTTCAACAATGAAGCTGCAGACCTTACTGTTGAGTGTTACAGCACTTAAAAGTGTTATGTCCAGAGTTTGTTCCTTCAGATGTGTCCAGAGTTTCTTCCTTCTGGCAGGTTCGTGGTCTTGCTCACTTCCTTAATGAAGCTGCAGACCTTACTGGTGAGTGTTACAGCACTTAAAGGTGTTATGTCCAGAGTTTGTTCCTTCAGATGTGTCCAGTGTTTCTTCCTTCTGGCAGGTTCATGGTGTTGCTCACTTCAAGAATGAAGCTGCAGACCTTACTGGTGAGTGTTACAGCACTTGAATGTGTTATGTGCAGAGTTTTTTCCTTCAGATGTGTCCAGAGTTTCTTCCTTCTTGCAGGTTCGTGGTCTTGCTCACTTCCTTAATGAAGCTGTAGACCTTAATGGTGAGTGTTACAGCACTTCAAGGTGTTATGTCCAGAGTTTTTTCCTTCAGATGTGTCCTGAGTGTCTTCCTTCTGGCAGGTTCATGGTCTTGCTCACTTCACTAACGAAGCTGCAGACCTTACTGGTGAGTGTTACAGCACTTAAAGGTGTTATGTCCACAGTTTGTTCCTTCAGATGTGTCCAGGGTTTCTGTCTTCTGGCAGGTACATGGTCTTGCTCACTTCAAGAATGAAGCTGCCGAACTTAGTGGTGAGTGTTACAGCACTTAAAGGTGTTATGTCCAGTGTTTGTTCCTTCAGATGTGTCCAGAGTTTCTTCCTTCTTGCAGGTTCGTGGTCTGGCTCACTTCCTTAATGAAGCTGCAGACCTTACCGGTGAGTGTTACAGCACTTAAAGGTGTTATGTCCAGAGTTTTTTTCCTTCAGATGTGTCCAGGGTTTCTGTCTTCTGGCAGGTTCATGGTCTTGCTCACTTCACTAATGAAGCTGCAGACCTTACTGGTGAGTGTTACAGCACTTAAAGGTGTTATGTCCAGAGTTTGTTCCTCCAGATGTGTCCAGGGTTTCTGTCTTCTGGCAGGTACATGGTCTTGCTCACTTCAAGAATGAAGCTGCCGAACTTAGTGGTGAGTGTTACAGTACTTAAAGGTGTTATGTCCAGAGTTTTTTCCTTCAGATGCGTCCAGCGTTTCTTCCTTCTGGCAGGTACATGGTCTTGCTCACTTCAAGAATGAAGCTGCAGACATTACTGTTTAGTGTTAAAGCACTTAAAGGTGTTATGTCCAGAGTTTGTTCCTTCAGATTTGTCCAGAGTTTCTTCCTTCTGGCAGGTTCATGGTGTTGCTCACTTCAACAATGAAGCTGCAGACCTTAGTGTTGAGTGTTACAGCACTTAAAAGTGTTATGTCCAGAGTTTGTTCCTTCAGATGTGTCCAGAGTTTTTTCCTTCTGGCAGGTTCGTGGTCTTGCTCACTTCCTTAATGAAGCTGCAGACCTTACTGGTGAGTGTTACAGCACTTAAAGGTGTTATGTCCAGAGTTTGTTCCTTCAGATATGTCCAGTGTTTCTTCCTTCTGGCAGGTTCATGGTGTTGCTCACTTTAAGAATGAAGCTGCAGACCTTAATGGTGAGTGTTACAGCACTTGAAGGTGTTATGTGCAGAGTTTTTTCCTTCAGATGTGTCCAGAGTTTCTTCATTCTTGCAGGTTCGTGGTCTTGCTCACTTCCTTAATGAAGCTGCAGACCTTAATGGTGAGTGTTACAGCACTTAAAGGTGTTATGTCCAGAGTTTGTTCCTTCAGATGTGTCCAGGGTTTCTGTCTTCTGGCAGGTTCATGGTCTTGCTCACTTCACTAAACGAAGCTGCAGACCTTACTGGTGAGTGTTACAGCACTTAAAGGTGTTATGTCCACAGTTTGTTCCTTCAGATGTGTCCAGGGTTTCTGTCTTCTGGCAGGTACATGGTCTTGCTCACTTCAAGAATGAAGCTGCCGAACTTAGTGGTGAGTGTTACAGCACTTAAAGGTGTTATGTCCAGTGTTTGTTCCTTCAGATGTGTCCAGAGTTTCTTCCTTCTTGCAGGTTCGTGGTCTGGCTCACTTCCTTAATGAAGCTGCAGACCTTAATGGTGAGTGTTACAGCACTTAAAGGTGTTATGTCCAGAGTTTTTTTCCTTCAGATGTGTCCTGAGTGTCTTCCTTCTGGCAGGTTCATGGTCTTGCTCACTTCACTAATGAAGCTGCAGACCTTACTGGTGAGTGTTACAGCACTTAAAGGTGTTATGTCCAGAGTTTGTTCCTTCAGATGTGTCCAGGGTTTCTGTCTTCTGGCAGGTACATGGTCTTGCTCACTTCAAGAATGAAGCTGCCGAACTTAGTGGTGAGTGTTACAGTACTTAAAGGTGTTATGTCCAGAGTTTTTTCCTTCAGATGTGTCCAGCGTTTCTTCCTTCTGGCAGGTTCATGGTCTTGCTCACTTCAAGAATGAAGCTGCAGACCATACTCTTTAGTGTTAAAGCACTTCAAGGTGTTATGTCCAGAGTTTGTTCCTTCAGATGTGTCCAGAGTTTCTTCCTTCTGGCATGTTCATGGTGTTGCTCACTTCAAGAATGAAGCTGCAGACCTTAGTGTTGAGTGTTACAGCACTTAAACGTGTTATGTCCAGTGTTTGTTCCTTCAGATGTGTCCAGAGTTTCTTCCTTCTTGCAGGTTCGTGGTCTTGCTCACTTCCTTAATGAAGCTGCAGACCTTACTGGTGAGTGTTACAGCACTTAAAGGTGTTATGTCCAGAGTTTGTTCCTTCAGATGTGTCCAGTGTTTCTTCCTTCTGGCAGGTTCATGGTCTTGCTCACTTCAAGAATGAAGCTGCAGACTTTTGTGGTGGGTGTTACAGCATTTAAAGTTGTTATGTCCACAATTTGTTCCTTCAGATGTGTCTAGTGTTTCTTCCTTCTGGGAGTTTCATGGTCTTGCTCACTTCAAGAATGAAGTTGCAGACTTTACTGGTGAGTGTTACAGTACTTAAAGCTGTTATGTCCAGAGTTTGATCCTTCAGATGTTTCCAGAGTTTCTTCCTTCTGGCAGGTTCCTGGTCTTGCTCACTTCTTTAATGAAGCTGCAGACCTTACTGGTGAGTATTACAGCACTTAAAGGTGTTATGTCCAGAGATTGTTTCTCCAGATGTGTCCAGAGTTTCTTCCTTCTGGCAGTTTCGTGGTCTTCCTCACTTCAAGAATGAAGCTGCAGACCTTAGTGTTGAGTGTTATAGCACGTAAAGGTGTTATGTCCAGAGTTTGTTCCTTCAGATGTGTCCAGAGTTACTTCCTTCTGGCAGGTTCATGGTGTTGCTCACTTCAAGAATCAAGCTGCAGACCTTACTGGTGAGTGTTACAGCACTTAAAGCTGTTATGTCCAGAGTTTGTTCCTTCAGATGTTTCCAGAGTTTCTTCCTTCTGGCAGGTACGTGGTCTTGCTCACTTCTTTAATGAAGCTGCAGACCTTACTGGTGAGTGTTTCAGCACTTAAAGGTGTTATGTCCAGAGTTTGTTCCTTCAGATGTGTCCAGAGTGTCTTCCTTCTGGCAGGTTCATGGTCTTGCTCACTTCACTAATGAAGCTGCAGACCTTACAGGTGAGTGTTACAGCACTTAAAGGTGTTATGTCCAGAGTTTGTTCCTTCAGATGTGTCCAGGGTTTCTGTCTTCTGGCAGGTTCATGGACTTCCTCACTTCAAGAATGAAGCTGCCGACCTTAGTGGTGAGTGTTACAGCACTTGAAGTTGTTATGTCCAGAGTTCTTTCCTTCAGATGTGTCCAGCGTTTCTTCCTTTTAGCAGGTTCATGGTCTTCCTCACTTCAAGAATGAAGCTGCAGACCTTACTGGTGAGTGTTACCGCAATTAAAGTTGTTATATCCAGAGTTTGTTCCTTCAGATGTTTCCAGAGTTTCTTCCTTCTGTCAGGTTCGTGGTGTTGCTCACTTCTTTAATGAAGCTGCAGACCTTACTGGTGAGTGTTACAGCACTTAAAGGTGTTATGTCCAGAGTTTGTTTCTTCAGATGTGTCCAGAGTTTCTTCCTTCTGGCAGTTTCGTGGTCTTCCTCACTTCAAGAATGAAGCTGCAGACCTTACTGGTGAGTGTTACAGCACTTTAAGGTGTTATGTCCAGAGTTTGTTCCTTCAGATGTGTCCAGAGTGTCTTCCTTCTGGCAGGTTCATGGTCTTGCTCACTTCAAGAATGAAGCTGCACACCTTACTGGTGAGTGTTACAGCACTTAAAGGTGTTATGTCCAGAGATTTTTCCTTCAGATGTGTCCAGGGTTTCTGTCTTCTGGCAGGTTCATGGTCTTGCTCACTTCAAGAATGAAGCTGCAGACTTTAGTGGTGAGTGTTACAGCACTTAAAGGTGTTATGTCCAGAGTTTGTTCCTTCAGATGTGTCCAGAGTTGCTTCCTTCTGGCAGGTTCGTGGTCTTGCTCACTTCCTTAATGAAGCTGCAGACCTTACTGGTGAGTGTTACAGCACTTAAAGGTGTTATGTCCAGAGTTTGTTCCTTCAGATGTGTCCAGTGTTTCTTCCTTCTGGCAGGTTCATGGTGTTGCTCACTTGAAGAATGAAGCTGCAGACCTTCCTGGTGAGTGTTACAGTACTTGATGGTGTTATGTGCAGAGTTTTTTCCTTCAGATGTTTCCAGAGTTTCTTCCTTCTTGCAGGTTCGTGGTCTTGCTCACTTCCTTAATGAAGCTGCAGACCTTAATGGTGAGTGTTACAGCACTTAAAGATGTTATGTCCAGAGTTTGTTCCTTCAGATGTGTCCTGAGTGTCTTCCTTCTGGCAGGTTCATGGTCTTGCTCACTTCACTAATTAAGCTGCAGACCTTACTGGTGAGTGTTACAGCACTTAAAGGTGTTATGTCCAGAGTTTGTTCCTTCACCTGTGTCCAGGGTTTCTGTCTTATGGCACGTACATGGTCTTGCTCACTTCAAGAATGAAGCTGCCGAACTTAGTGGTGAGTGTTACAGTACTTAAAGGTGTTATGTCTAGAGTTTTTTCCTTCAGATGCGTCCAGCGTTTCTTCCTTCTGGCATGTTCATGGTCTTGCTCACTTCAAGAATGAAGTTGCAGACCTTACTGTTTAGTGTTAAAGCACTTAAAGGTGTTATGTCCAGAGTTTGTTCCTTCAGATGTGTCCAGAGTTTCTTCCTTCTGGCATGTTCATGGTGTTGCTCACTTCAAGAATGAAGCTGCAGACCTTAGTGTTGAGTGTTACAGCACTTAAAGGTGTTATGTCCAGTGTTTGTTCCTTCAGATGTGTCCAGAGTTTCTTCCTTCTTGCAGGTTCGTGGTCTTGCTCACTTCCTTAATGAAGCTGCAGACCGTACTGGTGAATGTTACAGCACTTAAAGGTGTTATGTCCAGAGTTTGTTCCTTCAGATGTGTCCAGTGTTTCTTCCTTCTGGCAGGTTCATGGTCTTGCTCACTTCAAGAATGAAGCTGCAGACTTTTGTGGTGAGTGTTACAGCAGTTAAAGTTGTTATGTCCAGAGTTCTTTCCTTCAGATGTGTCCAGCGTTTCTTCCTTCTGGCAGGTTCATGGTCTTCCTCACTTCAAGAATGAAGCTGCAGACCTTACTGTTGAGTGTTACAGCAATTAAAGTTGTTATATCCAGAGTTTGTTCCTTCAGATGTTTCCAGAGTTTCTTCCTTCTGGCAGGTTCGTGGTCTTGCTCACATCTTTAATGAAGCTGCAGACCTTACTGGTGAGTCTTACAGCACTTAAAGGTGTTATGTCCAGAGATTGTTTCTTCAGATGTGTCCAGAGTTTCTTCCTTCTGGCAGTTTCGTGGTCTTCCTCACTTCAAGAATGAAGCCGCAGACCTTAGTGTTGAGTGTTACAGCACGTAAAGGTGTTATGTCCAGAGTTTGTTCCTTCAGATGTGTCCAGAGTGTCTTCCTTCTGGCAGGTTCATGGTCTTGCTCACTTCACTAATGAAGCTGCAGACCTTACTGGGGAGTGTTACAGCACTTTAAGGTGTTTTGTGCAGAGTTTCTTCCTTCAGATGTGTCCAGTGTTTCTTCCTTCTGGCAGGTTCATGGTCTTGCTCACTTCAAGAATGAAGCTGCAGACTTTTGTGGTGAGTGTTACAGCAGTTAACGTTGTTATGTCCACAATTTGTTCCTTCAGATGTGTCCAGTGTTTCTTCCTTCTGGCAGTTTCGTGGTCTTCCTCACTTCAAGAATGAAGCTGCAGACCTTAGTGTTGAGTGTTACAGCACTTAAATGTGTTATGTCCAGAGTTTTTTCCTTCAGATATGTCCAGCGTTTCTTCCTTCTGACAAGTTCATGGTGTTGCTCACTTCAAGAGTGAAGCTGCAGACCTTACTGTTGAGTTTTAAAGCACTTAAAGCTGTTATGTCCAGAGTTTGTTCCTTCAGATGTGTCCAGAGTTTCTTCCTTCTGGCAGGTTCGTGGTCTTGCTCACTTCTTTAATGAAGCTGCAGTCCTTACTGGTGAGTGTTACAGCACTTAAAGGTGTTATGTCCAGAGTTTTTTACATCAGATGTGTCCAGAGTTTCTTCCTTCTGGCAGTTTCGTGGTCTTCCTCACTTCAAGAACGAAGCTGCAGACCTTACTGGTGAGTGTTACAGCACTTAAAGTTGTTATGTCCAGAGATTGTTCCTTCAGATGTGTCCAGAGTGTCTTCCTTCTGGCAGGTTCATGGTCTTGCTCACTTCACTAATGAAGCTGCAGACCTTACTGGTGAGGGTGGCAGCACTTAAAGGTGTTATGACCAGAGGTTGTTCCTTCAGATGTGTCCAGGGTTTCTGTCTTCTGGCAGGTTCATGGTCTTGCTCACTTCAAGAATGAAGCTGCCGACCTTTGTGGTGAGTGTTACAGCACTTAAAGGTGTTATGTCCAGAGTTTGTTCCTTCAGATGCGTCCAGCGTTTCTTCCTTCTGGCATGTTCATGGTCTTGCTCACTTCAAGAATGAAGCTGCAGACCTTACTGTTGAGTGTTACAGCACTTAAAGGTGTTATGTCCAGAGTTTGTTCCTTCAGATGTGTCCAGAGTTTCTTCCTTCTGGCATGTTCATGGTCTTGCTCACTTCAAGAATGAAGCTGCAGACCTTACTGGTGAGTGTTACAGCACTTAAAGGTGTTATGTCCAGAGTTTGTTCCTTCAGATGTGTCCAGTGTTTCTTCCTTCTGGCAGGTTCATGGTCTTGCTCACTTCAAGAATGAAGCTGCAGACTTTTGTGGTGAGTGTTACAGCATTTAAAGTTGTTATGTCCACAATTTGTTCCTTCAGATGTGTCCAGTGTTTCTTCCTTCTGGCAGGTTCATGGTCTTGCTCACTTCAAGAATGAAGTTGCAGACCTTACTGGTGACTGTTACAGTACTTAAAGCTGTTATGTCCAGAGTTTGATCCTTCAGATATTTCCAGAGTTTCTTCCTTCTGGCAGGTTCGTGTTCTTGCTCACTTCTTTAATGAAGCTGCAGAACTTACTGGTGAGTATTACAGCACTTAAATGTGTTATGTCCAGAGATTGTTTCTCCAGATGTGTCCAGAGTTTCTTCCTTCTGGCAGTTTCGTGGTCTTCCTCACTTCAAGAATGAAGCTGCAGACCTTAGTGGTGAGTGTTACAGCACGTAAAGGTGTTATGTCCAGAGTTTGTTCCTTCAGATGTGTCCAGTGTTTCTTCCTTCTGGCAGGTTCATGGTGTTGCTCACTTGAAGAATGAAGCTGCAGACCTTCCTGGTGAGTGTTACAGTACTTGATGGTGTTATGTGCAGAGTTTTTTCCTTCAGATGTTTCCAGAGTTTCTTCCTTCTTGCAGGTTCGTGGTCTTGCTCACTTCCTTAATGAAGCTGCAGACCTTAATGGTGAGTGTTACAGCACTTAAAGATGTTATGTCCAGAGTTTGTTCCTTCAGATGTGTCCTGAGTGTCTTCCTTCTGGCAGGTTCATGGTCTTGCTCACTTCACTAATTAAGCTGCAGACCTTACTGGTGAGTGTTACAGCACTTAAAGGTGTTATGTCCAGAGTTTGTTCCTTCACCTGTGTCCAGGGTTTCTGTCTTATGGCACGTACATGGTCTTGCTCACTTCAAGAATGAAGCTGCCGAACTTAGTGGTGAGTGTTACAGTACTTAAAGGTGTTATGTCTAGAGTTTTTTCCTTCAGATGCGTCCAGCGTTTCTTCCTTCTGGCATGTTCATGGTCTTGCTCACTTCAAGAATGAAGTTGCAGACCTTACTGTTTAGTGTTAAAGCACTTAAAGGTGTTATGTCCAGAGTTTGTTCCTTCAGATGTGTCCAGAGTTTCTTCCTTCTGGCATGTTCATGGTGTTGCTCACTTCAAGAATGAAGCTGCAGACCTTAGTGTTGAGTGTTACAGCACTTAAAGGTGTTATGTCCAGTGTTTGTTCCTTCAGATGTGTCCAGAGTTTCTTCCTTCTTGCAGGTTCGTGGTCTTGCTCACTTCCTTAATGAAGCTGCAGACCGTACTGGTGAATGTTACAGCACTTAAAGGTGTTATGTCCAGAGTTTGTTCCTCCAGATGTGTCCAGTGTTTCTTCCTTCTGGCAGGTTCATGGTCTTGCTCACTTCAAGAATGAAGCTGCAGACTTTTGTGGTGAGTGTTACAGCAGTTAAAGTTGTTATGTCCACAATTTGTTCCTTCAGATGTGTCCAGTGTTTCTTCCTTCTGGCAGGTTCATGGTCTTGCTCACTTCAAGAATGAAGCTGCAGACCTTACTGGTGAGTGTTGCAGTACTTAAAGCTGTTATGTCCAGAGTTTGATCCTTCAGATGTTTCCAGAGTTTCTTCCTTCTGGCAGGTTCGTGGTCTTGCTCACTTCTTTAATGAAGCTGCAGACCATACTGGTGAGTGTTACAGCACTTAAAGGTGTTATGTCCAGAGATTGTTTCTTCAGATGTGTCCAGAGTTTCTTCCTTCTGGCAGTTTCGTGGTCTTCCTCACTTCAAGAATGAAGCTGCAGACCTTAGTGTTGAGTGTTACAGCACGTAAAGGTGTTATGTCCAGAGTTTGTTCCTTCAGATGTGTCCAGAGTGTCTTCCTTCTGGCAGGTTCATGGTCTTGCTCACTTCACTAATGAAGCTGCAGACCTTACTGGGGAGTGTTACAGCACTTTAAGGTGTTTTGTGCAGAGTTTCTTCCTTCAGATGTGTCCAGTGTTTCTTCCTTCTGGCAGGTTCATGGTCTTGCTCACTTCAAGAATGAAGCTGCAGACTTTTGTGGTGAGTGTTACAGCAGTTAACGTTGTTATGTCCACAATTTGTTCCTTCAGATGTGTCCAGTGTTTCTTCCTTCTGGCAGTTTCGTGGTCTTCCTCACTTCAAGAATGAAGCTGCAGACCTTAGTGTTGAGTGTTACAGCACTTAAATGTGTTATGTCCAGAGTTTTTTCCTTCAGATATGTCCAGCGTTTCTTCCTTCTGACAAGTTCATGGTGTTGCTCACTTCAAGAGTGAAGCTGCAGACCTTACTGTTGAGTTTTAAAGCACTTAAAGCTGTTATGTCCAGAGTTTGTTCCTTCAGATGTGTCCAGAGTTTCTTCCTTCTGGCAGGTTCGTGGTCTTGCTCACTTCTTTAATGAAGCTGCAGTCCTTACTGGTGAGTGTTACAGCACTTAAAGGTGTTATGTCCAGAGTTTGTTTCTTCAGATGTGTCCAGAGTTTCTTCCTTCTGGCAGTTTCGTGGTCTTCCTCACTTCAAGAACGAAGCTGCAGACCTTACTGGTGAGTGTTACAGCACTTAAAGTTGTTATGTCCAGAGATTGTTCCTTCAGATGTGTCCAGAGTGTCTTCCTTCTGGCAGGTTCATGGTCTTGCTCACTTCACTAATGAAGCTGCAGACCTTACTGGTGAGGGTGGCAGCACTTAAAGGTGTTATGACCAGAGGTTGTTCCTTCAGATGTGTCCAGGGTTTCTGTCTTCTGGCAGGTTCATGGTCTTGCTCACTTCAAGAATGAAGCTGCCGACCTTTGTGGTGAGTGTTACAGCACTTGGAGTTGTTATGTCCAGAGTTTTTTCCTTCAGATGTGTCCAGCGTTTCTTCCTACTGGCAGGTTCATGGTCTTGCTCACTTCAAGAATGAAGCTGCAGACCTTACTATTCAGTGTTAAAGCACTTAAAGGTGTTATATCCAGAGTTAGATCCTTCAGATGTGTCCAGAGTTTCTTCCTTCTCGCAGGTTCATGGTGTTGCTCAATTCAAGAATGAAGCTGCAGACTTTAGTGTTGAGTGTTACAGCACTTAAATGTGTTATGTCCAGAGTTTGTTCCTTCAGATGTGTCCAGAATTTCTTCATTCTTGGAGGTTCGTGGTCTTGCTCACTTCCTTAATGAAGCTGCAGACCTTACCGGTGAGTGTTACAGCACTTAAAGGTGTTATGTCCAGAGTTTGTTCCTTCAGATGTGTCCAGGGTTTCTGTCTTCTGGCAGGATC